>NC_000007.14:58756517-59056517 GCF_000001405.40 Homo sapiens | reverse complement strand
ACGCAAAAAAGTTACTGAGAACTCTTCTTAGTCTAGCATTAAAGGAAGAAACCCCGTTTGCAACGAAGGCCTCAAAGAGGTCCAAATATCCACTTGCAGACATAACAAGCAGAGTGTTTCTAAACTGCTCTAAGAAAAGAAAGGTTAAACTCTGTGAGTTGAAGGCACACATCACAAAGTAGTTTCTGAGAATGATTCTGTCTAGTTTTTATTTGAAGATATTTCCTTTTCTACTTTTGGCATCAAATCGCTTGAAATCTCCACTTGCAAACTCCACAAAAAGAGTGTTTCAAATCTGCTCTGTGTAAAGGGACGTTCCACTCTGTGAGTTGAATACACACAGCACAAAGAAGTTACTGAGAATTCTTCTGTCTAGCATGAAATGAAGAAATCCCGTTTCCAACGAAGGCCTCAATGCGGTCCATATATCCACTTGCAGACTTTACAAACAGAGTGTTTCCAAACTGCTCTATGAAAAGAAAGGTTAAACTATGTGAGTTGAACGCACACATCACAAAGAATTTTCTGAGAATGATTCTGTCTGGTTTTTATTTGAAGATATTTCCCTTTCTACTGTTGGCATCAAATGGCTAGAAATCTCCACTTGCAAATTCCGCAAAAAGAGTGTTTCAAATCTGCTCTGTCTAAAGGGACGTTCCACTCTGTGAGTTGAATGCACACAACACAAAGAATTTACTGAGAATTCTTCTGTCTAGCAGTCAATGAAGAAATCCCGTTTCCAACGAAGGCCTCAAACAGGTCCATATATCCAATTGCAGACTTTACAAACAGTGTGTTTCCAAACTCCTCTATGAAAAGAAAGGTTAAACTCTGTGAGTTGAACCCACACATCACAAAGCACTTTCTGAGAATGATTCTGTCTAGTTGTTATACGAAGATATTTCCTTTTCTGCAATTGTCCTCAAATCGCTTGAAATCTCCACCTGAAAATGCCACAGCAAGAGTGTTTCAAATCTGCTCTCTCTAAAGCATGGTTCAACTCTGTGAGTTGAATACACACAACACAAAAAAGTTACTGAGAACTCTTCTTAGTCTAGCATGAAAGGAAGAAACCCCGTTTGCAACGAAGGCCTCAAAGAGGTCCAAATATCCACTTGCAGACATAACAAGCAGAGTGTTTCTAAACTGCTCTAAGAAAAGAAAGGTTAAACTATGTGAGTTGAACGCACACATCACAAAGAATTTTCTGAGAATGATTCTGTCTGGTTTTTATTTGAAGATATTTCCCTTTCTACTGTTGGCATCAAATGGCTAGAAATCTCCACTTGCAAATTCCGCAAAAAGAGTGTTTCAAATCTGCTCTGTGTAAAGGGACGTTCCACTCTGTGAGTTGAATGCACACAACACAAAGAATTTACTGAGAATTCTTCCGTCTAGCATTCAATGAAGAAATCCCGTTTCCAACGAAGGCCTCAAACAGGTCCATATATCCAATTGCAGACTTTACAAACAGTGTGTTTCCAAACTCCTCTATGAAAAGAAAGGTTAAACTCTGTGAGTTGAACGCACACATCACAAAGCACTTTCTGAGAATGATTCTTGTCTGGTTATTATACGAAGATATTTCCTTTTCTGCAATTGTCCTCAAATCGCTTGAAATCTCCACCTGAAAATGCCACAGCAAGAGTGTTTCAAATCTGCTCTCTCTAAAGCAAGGTTCAACTCTGTGAGTTGAATACACACAACACAAAAAAGTTACTGAGAACTCTTCTTAGTCTAGCATGAAAGGAAGAAACCCCGTTTGCAACGAAGGCCTCAAAGAGGTCCAAATATCCACTTGCAGACATAACAAGCAGAGTGTTTCTAAACTGCTCTAAGAAAAGAAAGGTTAAACTCTGTGAGTTGAAGGCACACATCACAAAGTAGTTTTTGAGAATGATTCTGTCTAGTTTTTATTTGAAGATATTTCCTTTTCTACTGTTGGCATCAAATCGCTTGAAATCTCCACTTGCAAACTCCACAAAAAGAGTGTTTCAAATCCGCTCTGTGCAAAGGGACGTTCCACTCTGTGAGTTGAATACACACAGCACAAAGAAGTTACTGAGAATTCTTCTGTCTAGCATGAAATGAAGAAATCCCGTTTCCAACGAAGGCCTCAATGCGGTCCATATATCCACTTGCAGACTTTACAAACAGAGTGTTTCCAAACTGCTCTATGAAAAGAAAGGTTAAACTATGTGAGTTGAACGCACACATCACAAAGAATTTTCTGAGAATGATTCTGTCTGGTTTTTATTTGAAGATATTTCCCTTTCTACTGTTGGCATCAATGGCTAGAAATCTCCACTTGCAAATTCCGCAAAAAGAGTGTTTCAAATCTGCTCTGTCTAAAGGGACGTTCCACTCTGTCAGTTGAATGCACACAACACAAAGAATTTACTGAGAATTCTTCCGTCTAGCATTCAATGAAGAAATCCCGTTTCCAACGAAGGCCTCAAACAGGTCCATATATCCAATTGCAGACTTTACAAACAGTGTGTTTCCAAACTCCTCTATGAAAAGAAAGGTTAAACTCTGTGAGTTGAACGCACACAACACAAAGCACTTTCTGAGAATGATTCTGTCTGGTTGTTATACGAAGATATTTCCTTTTCTGCAATTGTCCTCAAATCGCTTGAAATCTCCACCTGAAAATGTCACAGCAAGAGTGTTTCAAATCTGCTCTCTCTAAAGCAAGGTTCAACTCTGTGAGTTGAATACACACAACACAGAAAAGGTTACTGAGAACTCTTCTTAGTCTAGCATGAACGGAAGAAACCCCGTTTGCAACGAAGGCCTCAAAGAGGTCCAAATATCCACTTGCAGACATAACAAGCAGAGTGTTTCTAAACTGCTCTAAGAAAAGAAAGGTTAAACTCTGTGAGTTGAAGGCACACATCACAAAGTAGTTTCTGAGAATGATTCTGTCTAGTTTTTATTTGAAGATATTTCCTTTTCTACTGTTGGCATCAAATCGCTTGAAATCTCCACTTGCAAACTCCACAAAAAGAGTGTTTCAAATCTGCTCTGTGTAAAGGGACGTTCCACTCTGTGAGTTGAATACACACAGCACAAAGAAGTTACTGAGAATTCTTCTGTCTAGCATGAAATGAAGAAATCCCGTTTCCAACGAAGGCCTCAATGCGGTCCATATATCCACTTGCAGACTTTACAAACAGAGTGTTTCCAAACTGCTCTATGAAAAGAAAGGTTAAACTATGTGAGTTGAACGCACACATCACAAAGAATTTTCTGAGAATGATTCTGTCTGGTTTTTATTTGAAGATATTTCCCTTTCTACTGTTGGCATCAAATGGCTAGAAATCTCCACTTGCAAATTCCGCAAAAAGAGTGTTTCAAATCTGCTCTGTCTAAAGGGACGTTCCACTCTGTGAGTTGAATGCACACAACACAAAGAATTTACTGAGAATTCTTCCGTCTAGCATTCAATGAAGAAATCCCGTTTCCAACGAAGGCCTCAAACAGGTCCATATATCCACTTGCAGACTTTACAAACAGTGTGTTTCCAAACTCCTCTATGGAAAGAAAAGTTAAACTCTGTGAGTTGAACGCACACATCACAAAGCACTTTCTGAGAATGATTCTGTCTGGTTATTATACGAAGATATTTCCTTTTCTGCAATTGTCCTCAAATCGCTTGAAATCTCCACCTGAAAATGCCACAGCAAGAGTGTTTCAAATCTGCTCTCTCTAAAGCAAGGTTCAACTCTGTGAGTTGAATACACACAACACAAAAAAGTTACTGAGAACTCTTCTTAGTCTAGCATGAAAGGAAGAAACCCCGTTTGCAACGAAGGCCTCAAAGAGGTCCAAATATCCACTTGCAGACATAACAAGCAGAGTGTTTCTAAACTGCTCTAAGAAAAGAAAGGTTAAACTCTGTGAGTTGAAGGCACACATCACAAAGTAGTTTCTGAGAATGATTCTGTCTAGTTTTTATTTGAAGATATTTCCTTTTCTACTGTTGGCATCAAATCGCTTGAAATCTCCACTTGCAAACTCCACAAAAAGAGTGTTTCAAATCTGCTCTGTGCAAAGGGACGTTCCACTCCTGTGAGTTGAATACACACAGCACAAAGAAGTTACTGAGAATTACTTCTGTCTAGCATGAAATGAAGAAATCCCGTTTCCAACGAAGGCCTCAATGCGGTCCATATATCCACTTGCAGACTTTACAAACAGAGTGTTTCCAAACTGCTCTATGAAAAGAAAGGTTAAACTATGTGAGTTGAACGCACACATCACAAAGAATTTTCTGAGAATGATTCTGTCTGGTTTTTATTTGAAGATATTTCCCTTTCTACTGTTGGCATCAAATGGCTAGAAATCTCCACTTGCAAATTCCGCAAAAAGAGTGTTTCAAATCTGCTCTGTCTAAAGGGACGTTCCACTCTGTCAGTTGAATGCACACAACACAAAGAATTTACTGAGAATTCTTCCGTCTAGCATTCAATGAAGAAATCCCGTATCCAACGAAGGTCTCAAACAGGTCCATATATCCACTTGCAGACTTTACAAACAGTGTGTTTCCAAACTCCTCTATGAAAAGAAAGGTTAAACTCTGTGAGTTGAACACACACATCACAAAGCACTTTCTGAGAATGATTCTGTCTGGTTATTATACGAAGATATTTCCTTTTCTGCAATTGTCCTCAAATCGCTTGAAATCTCCACCTGAAAATGCCACAGCAAGAGTGTTTCAAATCTGCTCTCTCTAAAGCAAGGTTCAACTCTGTGAGTTGAATACACACAACACAAAAAAGTTACTGAGAACTCTTCTTAGTCTAGCATGAAAGGAAGAAACCCCGTTTGCAACGAAGGCCTCAAAGAGGTCCAAATATCCACTTGCAGACATAACAAGCAGAGTGTTTCTAAACTGCTCTAAGAAAAGAAAGGTTAAACTCTGTGAGTTGAAGGCACACATCACAAAGTAGTTTCTGAGAATGATTCTGTCTAGTTTTTATTTGAAGATATTTCCTTTTCTACTGTTGGCATCAAATCGCTTGAAATCTCCACTTGCAAACTCCACAAAAAGAGTGTTTCAAATCTGCTCTGTGCAAAGGGACGTTCCACTCTGTGAGTTGAATACACACAGCACAAAGAAGTTACTGAGAATTCTTCTGTCTAGCATGAAATGAAGAAATCCCGTTTCCAACGAAGGCCTCAATGCGGTCCATATATCCACTTGCAGACTTTACAAACAGAGTGTTTCCAAACTGCTCTATGAAAAGAAAGGTTAAACTATGTGAGTTGAACGCACACATCACAAAGAATTTTCTGAGAATGATTCTGTCTGGTTTTTATTTGAAGATATTTCCCTTTCTACTGTTGGCATCAAATGGCTAGAAATCTCCACTTGCAAATTCCGCAAAAAGAGTGTTTCAAATCTGCTCTGTCTAAAGGGACGTTCCACTCTGTGAGTTGAATGCACACCACACAAAGAATTTACTGAGAATTCTTCCGTCTAGCATTCAATGAAGAAATCCCGTTTCCAACGAAGGCCTCAAACAGGTCCATATATCCAATTGCAGACTTTACAAACAGTGTGTTTCCAAACTCCTCTATGAAAAGAAAGGTTAAACTCTGTGAGTTGAACGCACACATCACAAAGCACTTTCTGAGAATGATTCTGTCTGGTTGTTATACGAAGATATTTCCTTTTCTGCAATTGTCCTCAAATCGCTTGAAATCTCCACCTGAAAATGCCACAGCAAGAGTGTTTCAAATCTGCTCTCTCTAAAGCAAGGTTCAACTCTGTGAGTTGAATACACACAACACAAAAATGTTACTGAGAACTCTTCTTAGTCTAGCATGAAAGGAAGAAACCCCGTTTGCAACGAAGGCCTCAAAGAGGTCCAAATATCCACTTGCAGACATAACAAGCAGAGTGTTTCTAAACTGCTCTAAGAAAAGAAAGGTTAAACTCTGTGAGTTGAAGGCACACATCACAAAGTAGTTTCTGAGAATGATTCTGTCTAGTTTTTATTTGAAGATATTTCCTTTTCTACTGTTGGCATCAAATCGCTTGAAATCTCCACTTGCAAACTCCACAAAAAGAGTGTTTCAAATCTGCTCTGTGCAAAGGGACGTTCCACTCTGTGAGTTGAATACACACAGCACAAAGAAGTTACTGAGAATTCTTCTGTCTAGCATGAAATGAAGAAATCCCGTTTCCAACGAAGGCCTCAATGCGGTCCATATATCCACTTGCAGACTTTACAAACAGAGTGTTTCCAAACTGCTCTATGAAAAGAAAGGTTAAACTATGTGAGTTGAACGCACACATCACAAAGAATTTTCTGAGAATGATTCTGTCTGGTTTTTATTTGAAGATATTTCCCTTTCTACTGTTGGCATCAAATGGCTAGAAATCTCCACTTGCAAATTCCGCAAAAAGAGTGTTTCAAATCTGCTCTGTCTAAAGGGACGTTCCACTCTGTGAGTTGAATGCACACAACACAAAGAATTTACTGAGAATTCTTCCGTCTAGCATTCAATGAAGAAATCCCGTTTCCAACGAAGGCCTCAAACAGGTCCATATATCCACTTGCAGACTTTACAAACAGTGTGTTTCCAAACTCCTCTATGGAAAGAAAAGTTAAACTCTGTGAGTTGAACGCACACATCACAAAGCACTTTCTGAGAATGATTCTGTCTGGTTATTATACGAAGATATTTCCTTTTCTGCAATTGTCCTCAAATCGCTTGAAATCTCCACCTGAAAATGCCACAGCAAGAGTGTTTCAAATCTGCTCTCTCTAAAGCAACGTTCAACTCTGTGAGTTGAATACACACAACACAAAAAAGTTACTGAGAACTCTTCTTAGTCTAGCATGAAAGGAATAAACCCCGTTTGCAACGAAGGCCTCAAAGAGGTCCAAATATCCACTTGCAGACATAACAAGCAGAGTGTTTCTAAACTGCTCTAAGAAAAGAAAGGTTAAACTCTGTGAGTTGAAGGCACACATCACAAAGTAGTTTCTGAGAATGATTCTGTCTAGTTTTTATTTGAAGATATTTCCTTTTCTACTGTTGGCATCAAATCGCTTGAAATCTCCACTTGCAAACTCCACAAAAAGAGTGTTTCAAATCTGCTCTGTGCAAAGGGACGTTCCACTCTGTGAGTTGAATACACACAGCACAAAGAAGTTACTGAGAATTCTTCTGTCTAGCATGAAATGAAGAAATCCCGTTTCCAACGAAGGCCTCAATGCGGTCCATATATCCACTTGCAGACTTTACAAACAGAGTGTTTCCAAACTGCTCTATGAAAAGAAAGGTTAAACTATGTGAGTTGAACGCACACATCACAAAGAATTTTCTGAGAATGATTCTGTCTGGTTTTTATTTGAAGATATTTCCCTTTCTACTGTTGGCATCAAATGGCTAGAAATCTCCACTTGCAAATTCCGCAAAAAGAGTGTTTCAAATCTGCTCTGTCTAAAGGGACGTTCCACTCTGTGAGTTGAATGCACACAACACAAAGAATTTACTGAGAATTCTTCCGTCTAGCATTCAATGAAGAAATCCCGTTTCCAACGAAGGCCTCAAACAGGTCCATATATCCAATTGCAGACTTTACAAACAGTGTGTTTCCAAACTCCTCTATGAAAAGAAAGGTTAAACTCTGTGAGTTGAACGCACACATCACAAAGCACTTTCTGAGAATGATTCTTTCTGGTTATTATACGAAGATATTTCCTTTTCTGCAATTGTCCTCAAATCGCTTGAAATCTCCACCTGAAAATGTCACAGCAAGAGTGTTTCAAATCTGCTCTCTCTAAAGCAAGGTTCAACTCTGTGAGTTGAATACACACAACACAAAAAAGTTACTGAGAACTCTTCTTAGTCTAGCATGAAAGAAGAAACCCCGTTTGCAACGAAGGCCTCAAAGAGGTCCAAATATCCACTTGCAGACATAACAAGCAGAGTGTTTCTAAACTGCTCTAAGAAAAGAAAGGTTAAACTCTGTGAGTTGAAGGCACACATCACAAAGTAGTTTCTGAGAATGATTCTGTCTAGTTTTTATTTGAAGATATTTCCTTTTCTACTGTTGGCATCAAATCGCTTGAAATCTCCACTTGCAAATTCCACAAAAAGAGTGTTTCAAATCTGCTCTGTGTAAAGGGACGTTCCACTCTGTGAGTTGAATACACACAGCACAAAGAAGTTACTGAGAATTCTTCTGTCTAGCATGAAATGAAGAAATCCCGTTTCCAACGAAGGCCTCAATGCGGTCCATATATCCACTTGCAGACTTTGCAAACAGAGTGTTTCCAAACTGCTCTATGAAAAGAAAGGTTAAACTATGTGATTTGAACGCACACATCACAAAGAATTTTATGAGAATGATTCTGTCTGGTTTTTATTTGAAGATATTTCCCTTTCTACTGTTGGCATCAAATTGCTAGAAATCTCCACTTGCAAATTACGCAAAAAGAGTGTTTCAAATCTGCTCTGTCTAAAGGGACGTTCCACTCTGTGAGTTGAATGCACACAACACAAAGAATTTACTGAGAATTCTTCCGTCTAGCATTCAATGAAGAAATCCCGTTTCCAACGAAGGCCTCAAACAGGTCCATATATCCAATTGCAGACTTTACAAACAGTGTGTTTCCAAACTCCTTTATGAAAAGAAAGGTTAACTCTGTGAGTTGAATGCACACATCACAAAGCACTTTCTGATAATGATTCTGTCTAGTTTTTGTTTGCAGATATTTCCTTTTCTACTGTTGGCATCAAATCGCTTGAAATCTCCACTTGCAAATTCCACAAAAAGAGTGTTTCAAATCTGCTCTGTGCAAAGGGACGTTCCACTCTGTGAGTTGAATACACACAGCACAAAGAAGTTACTGAGAATTCTTCTGTCTAGCATGAAATGAAGAAATCCCGTTTCCAACGAAGGCCTCAATGCGGTCCATATATCCACTTGCAGACTTTACAAACAGAGTGTTTCCAAACTGCTCTATGAAAAGAAAGGTTAAACTATGTGAGTTGAACGCACACATCACAAAGAATTTTCTGAGAATGATTCTGTCTGGTTTTTATTTGAAGATATTTCCCTTTCTACTGTTGGCATCAAATGGCTAGAAATCTCCACTTGCAAATTCCGCAAAAAGAGTGTTTCAAATCTGCTCTGCCTAAAGGGACGTTCTACTCTGTGAGTTGAATGCACACAACACAAAGAATTTACTGAGAATTCTTCCGTCTAGCATTCAATGAAGAAATCCCGTTTCCAACGAAGGCCTCAAACAGGTCCATATATCCACTTGCAGAGTTTACAAACAGTTTGTTTCCAAACTCCTCTATGAAAAGAAAGGTTAAACTCTGTGAGTGGAACGCACACATCACAAAGCACTTTCTGAGAATGATTCTGTCTGGTTATTATAGGAAGATATTTCCTTTTCTGCAATTGTCCTCAAATCGCTTGAAATCTCCACCTGAAAATGCCACAGCAAGAGTGTTTCAAATCTGCTCTCTCTAAAGCAAGGTTCAACTCTGTGAGTTGAATACACACAACACAAAAAAGTTACTGAGAACTCTTCTTAGTCTAGCATGAAAGGAAGAAACCCCGTTTGCAACGAAGGCCTCAAAGAGGTCCAAATATCCACTTGCAGACATAACAAGCAGAGTGTTTCTAAACTGCTCTAAGAAAAGAAAGGTTAAACTCTGTGAGTTGAAGGCACACATCACAAAGTAGTTTCTGAGAATGATTCTGTCTAGTTTTTATTTGAAGATATTTCCTTTTCTACTGTTGGCATCAAATCGCTTGAAATCTCCACTTGCAAACTCCACAAAAAGAGTGTTTCAAATCTGCTCTGTGTAAAGGGACGTTCCACTCTGTGAGTTGAATACACACAGCACAAAGAAGTTACTGAGAATTCTTCTGTCTAGCATGAAATGAAGAAATCCCGTTTCCAACGAAGGGCCTCAATGCGGTCCATATATCCACTTGCAGACTTTACAAACAGAGTGTTTCCAAACTGCTCTATGAAAAGAAAGGTTAAACTATGTGAGTTGAACGCACACATCACAAAGAATTTTCTGAGAATGATTCTGTCTGGTTTTTATTTGAAGATATTTCCCTTTCTACTGTTGGCATCAAATGGCTAGAAATCTCCACTTGCAAATTCCGCAAAAAGAGTGTTTCAAATCTGCTCTGTCTAAAGGGACGTTCCACTCTGTGAGTTGAATGCACACAACACAAAGAATTTACTGAGAATTCTTCCGTCTAGCATTCAATGAAGAAATCCCGTTTCCAACGAAGGCCTCAAACAGGTCCATGTATCCACCTGCAGACTTTACAAACAGTGTGTTTCCAAACTCCTCTATGAAAAGAAAGGTTAAACTCTGTGAGTTGAACGCACACATCACAAAGCACTTTCTGAGAATGATTCTGTCTGGTTATTATACGAAGATATTTCCTTTTCTGCAATTGTCCTCAAATCGCTTGAAATCTCCACCTGAAAATGCCACAGCAAGAGTGTTTCAAATCTGCTCTCTCTAAAGCAAGGTTCAACTCTGTGAGTTGAATACACACAACACAAAAAAGTTACTGAGAACACTTCTTAGTCTAGCATGAAAGGAAGAAACCCCGTTTGCAACGAAGGCCTCAAAGAGGTCCAAATATCCACTTGCAGACATAACAAGCAGAGTGTTTCTAAACTGCTCTAAGAAAAGAAAGGTTAAACTCTGTGAGTTAAAGGCACACATCACAAAGTAGTTTCTGAGAATGATTCTGTCTAGTTTTTATTTGAAGATATTTCCTTTTCTACTGTTGGCATCAAATCGCTTGAAATCTCCACTTGCAAACTCCACAAAAAGAGTGTTTCAAATCTGCTCTGTGCAAAGGGACGTTCCACTCTGTGAGTTGAATACACACAGCACAAAGAAGTTACTGAGAATTCTTCTGTCTAGCATGAAATGAAGAAATCCCGTTTCCAACGAAGGCCTCAATGCGGTCCATATATCCACTTGCAGACTTTACAAACAGAGTGTTTCCAAACTGCTCTATGAAAAGAAAGGTTAAACTATGTGAGTTGAACGCACACATCACAAAGAATTTTCTGAGAATGATTCTGTCTGGTTTTTATTTGAAGATATTTCCCTTTCTACTGTTGGCATCAAATGGCTAGAAATCTCCACTTGCAAATTCCGCAAAAAGAGTGTTTCAAATCTGCTCTGTCTAAAGGGACGTTCCACTCTGTGAGTTGAATGCACACAACACAAAGAATTTACTGAGAATTCTTCCGTCTAGCATTCAATGAAGAAATCCCGTTTCCAACGAAGGCCTCAAACAGGTCCATATATCCACTTGCAGACTTTACAAACAGTGTGTTTCCAAACTCCTCTATGAAAAGAAAGGTTAAACTCTGTGAGTTGAACGGCACACATCACAAAGCACTTTCTGAGAATGATTCTGTCTGGTTATTATACGAAGATATTTCCTTTTCTGCAATTGTCCTCAAAACGCTTGAAATCTCCACCTGAAAATGCCACAGCAAGAGTGTTTCAAATCTGCTCTCTCTAAAGCAAGGTTCAACTCTGTGAGTTGAATACACACAACACAAAAAAGTTACTGAGAACTCTTCTTAGTCTAGCATTAAAGGAAGAAACCCCGTTTGCAACGAAGGCCTCAAAGAGGTCCAAATATCCACTTGCAGACATAACAAGCACAGTGTTTCTAAAGTGCTCTAAGAAAAGAAAGGTTAAACTCTGTGAGTTGAAGGCACACATCACAAAGTAGTTTCTGAGAATGATTCTGTCTAGTTTTTATTTGAAGATATTTCCTTTTCTACTGTTGGCATCAAATCGCTTGAAATCTCCACTTGCAAACTCCACAAAAAGAGTGTTTCAAATCTGCTCTGTGTAAAGGGACGTTCCACTCTGTGAGTTGAATACACACAGCACAAAGAAGTTACTGAGAATTCTTCTGTCTAGCATGAAATGAAGAAATCCCGTTTCCAACGAAGGCCTCAATGCGGTCCATATATCCACTTGCAGACTTTACAAACAGAGTGTTTCCAAACTGCTCTATGAAAAGAAAGGTTAAACTATGTGAGTTGAACGCACACATCACAAAGAATTTTCTGAGAATGATTCTGTCTGGTTTTTATTTGAAGATATTTCCCTTTCTACTGTTGGCATCAAATGGCTAGAAATCTCCACTTGCAAATTCCGCAAAAAGAGTGTTTCAAATCTGCTCTGTCTAAAGGGACGTTCCACTCTGTGAGTTGAATGCACACAACACAAAGAATTTACTGAGAATTCTTCCGTCTAGCATTCAATGAAGAAATCCCGTTTCCAACGAAGGCCTCAAGCAGGTCCATATATCCAATTGCAGACTTTACAAACAGTGTGTTTCCAAACTCCTCTATGAAAAGAAAGGTTAAACTCTGTGAGTTGAACGCACACATCACAAAGCACTTTCTGAGAATGATTCTGTCTGGTTATTATACGAAGATATTTCCTTTTCTGCAATTGTCCTCAAATCGCTTGAAATCTCCACCTGAAAATGCCACAGCAAGAGTGTTTCAAATCTGCTCTCTCTAAAGCAAGGTTCAACTCTGTGAGTTGAATACACACAACACAAAAAAGTTACTGAGAACTCTTCTTAGTCTAGCATGAAAGGAAGAAACCCCGTTTGCAACGAAGGCCTCAAAGAGGTCCAAATATCCACTTGCAGACATAACAAGCAGAGTGTTTCTAAACTGCTCTAAGAAAAGAAAGGTTAAACTCTGTGAGTTGAAGGCACACATCACAAAGTAGTTTCTGAGAATGATTCTGTCTAGTTTTTATTTGAAGATATTTCCTTTTCTACTGTTGGCATCAAATCGCTTGAAATCTCCACTTGCAAACTCCACAAAAAGAGTGTTTCAAATCTGCTCTGTGTAAAGGGACGTTCCACTCTGTGAGTTGAATACACACAGCACAAAGAAGTTACTGAGAATTCTTCTGTCTAGCACGAAATGAAGAAATCCCGTTTCCAACGAAGGCCTCAATGCGGTCCATATATCCACTTGCAGACTTTACAAACAGAGTGTTTCCAAACTGCTCTATGAAAAGAAAGGTAAAACTATGTGAGTTGAACGCACACATCACAAAGAATTTTCTGAGAATGATTCTGTCTGGTTTTTATTTGAAGATATTTCCCTTTCTACTGTTGGCATCAAATGGCTAGAAATCACCACTTGCAAATTCCGCAAAAAGAGTGTTTCAAATCTGCTCTGTCTAAAGGGACGTTCCACTCTGTGAGTTGAATGCACACAACACAAAGAATTTACTGAGAATTCTTCCGTCTAGCATTCAATGAAGAAATCCCGTTTCCAAAGAAGGCCTCAAACAGGTCCATATATCCAATTGCAGACTTTACAAACAGTGTGTTTCCAAACTCCTCTATGAAAAGAAAGGTTAAACTCTGTGAGTTGAACGCACACATCACAAAGCACTTTCTGAGAATGATTCTGTCTGGTTATTATACGAAGATATTTCCTTTTCTGCAATTGTCCTCAAATCGCTTGAAATCTCCACCTGAAAATGCCACAGCAAGAGTGTTTCAAATCTGCTCTCTCTAAAGCAAGGTTCAACTCTGTGAGTTGAATACACACAACACAAAAAAGTTACTGAGAACTCTTCTTAGTCTAGCATGAAAGGAAGAAACCCCGTTTGCAACGAAGGCCTCAAAGAGGTCCAAATATCCACTTGCAGACATAACAAGCAGAGTGTTTCTAAACTGCTCTAAGAAAAGAAAGGTTAAACTCTGTGAGTTGAAGGCACACATCACAAAGTAGTTTCTGAGAATGATTCTGTCTAGTTTTTATTTGAAGATATTTCCTTTTCTACTGTTGGCATCAAATCGCTTGAAATCTCCACTTGCAAACTCCACAAAAAGAGTGTTTCAAATCTGCTCTGTGCAAAGGGACGTTCCACTCTGTGAGTTGAATACACACAGCACAAAGAAGTTACTGAGAATTCTTCTGTCTAGCATGAAATGAAGAAATCCCGTTTCCAACGAAGGCCTCAATGCGGTCCATATATCCACTTGCAGACTTTACAAACAGAGTGTTTCCAAACTGCTCTATGAAAAGAAAGGTTAAACTATGTGAGTTGAACGCACACATCACAAAGAATTTTCTGAGAATGATTCTGTCTGGTTTTTATTTGAAGATATTTCCCTTTCTACTGTTGGCATCAAATGGCTAGAAATCTCCACTTGCAAATTCCGCAAAAAGAGTGTTTCAAATCTGCTCTGTCTAAAGGGACGTTCCACTCTGTCAGTTGAATGCACACAACACAAAGAATTTACTGAGAATTCTTCCGTCTAGCATTCAATGAAGAAATCCCGTTTCCAACGAAGGCCTCAAACAGGTCCATATATCCAATTGCAGACTTTACAAACAGTGTGTTTCCAAACTCCTCTATGAAAAGAAAGGTTAAACTCTGTGAGTTGAACGCACACATCACAAAGCACTTTCTGAGAATGATTCTGTCTGGTTGTTATACGAAGATATTTCCTTTTCTGCAATTGTCCTCAAATCGCTTGAAATCTCCACCTGAAAATGCCACAGCAAGAGTGTTTCAAATCTGCTCTCTCTAAAGCAAGGTTCAACTCTGTGAGTTGAATACACACAACACAAAAAAGTTACTGAGAACTCTTCTTAGTCTAGCATGAAAGGAAGAAACCCCGTTTGCAACGAAGGCCTCAAAGAGGTCCAAATATCCACTTGCAGACATAACAAGCAGAGTGTTTCTAAACTGCTCTAAGAAAAGAAAGGTTAAACTCTGTGAGTTGAAGGCACACATCACAAAGTAGTTTCTGAGAATGATTCTGTCTAGTTTTTATTTGAAGATATTTCCTTTTCTACTGTTGGCATCAAATCGCTTGAAATCTCCACTTGCAAACTCCACAAAAAGAGTGTTTCAAATCTGCTCTGTGCAAAGGGACGTTCCACTCTGTGAGTTGAATACACACAGCACAAAGAAGTTACTGAGAATTCTTCTGTCTAGCATGAAATGAAGAAATCCCGTTTCCAACGAAGGCCTCAATGCGGTCCATATATCCACTTGCAGACTTTACAAACAGAGTGTTTCCAAACTGCTCTATGAAAAGAAAGGTTAAACTATGTGAGTTGAACGCACACATCACAAAGAATTTTCTGAGAATGATTCTGTCTGGTTTTTATTTGAAGATATTTCCCTTTCTACTGTTGGCATCAAATGGCTAGAAATCTCCACTTGCAAATTCCGCAAAAAGAGTGTTTCAAATCTGCTCTGTCTAAAGGGACGTTCCACTCTGTGAGTTGAATGCACACAACACAAAGAATTTACTGAGAATTCTTCCGTCTAGCATTCAATGAAGAAATCCCGTTTCCAACGAAGGCCTCAAACAGGTCCATATATCCAATTGCAGACTTTACAAACAGTGTGTTTCCAAACTCCTCTATGAAAAGAAAGGTTAAACTCTGTGAGTTGAACGCACACATCACAAAGCACTTTCTGAGAATGATTCTGTCTGGTTGTTATACGAAGATATTTCCTTTTCTGCAATTGTCCTCAAATCGCTTGAAATCTCCACCTGAAAATGCCACAGCAAGAGTGTTTCAAATCTGCTCTCTCTAAAGCAAGGTTCAACTCTGTGAGTTGAATACACACAACACAAAAAAGTTACTGAGAACTCTTCTTAGTCTAGCATGAAAGGAAGAAACCCCGTTTGCAACGAAGGCCTCAAAGAAGGTCCAAATATCCACTTGCAGACATAACAAGCAGAGTGTTTCTAAACTGCTCTAAGAAAAGAAAGGTTAAACTCTGTGAGTTGAAGGCAGACATCACAAAGTAGTTTCTGAGAATGATTCTGTCTAGTTTTTATTTGAAGATATTTCCTTTTCTACTGTTGGCATCAAATCGCTTGAAATCTCCACTTGCAAATTCCACAAAAAGAGTGTTTCAAATCTGCTCTGTGTAAAGGAACGTTCCACTCTGTGAGTTGAATACACACAGCACAAAGAAGTTACTGAGAATTCTTCTGTCTAGCATGAAATGAAGAAATCCCGTTTCCAACGAAGGCCTCAATGCGGTCCATATATCCACTTGCAGACTTTACAAACAGAGTGTTTCCAAACTGCTCTATGAAAAGAAAGGTTAAACTATGTGAGTTGAACGCACACATCACAAAGAATTTTCTGAGAATGATTCTGTCTGGTTTTTATTTGAAGATATTTCCCTTTCTACTGTTGGCATCAAATGGCTAGAAATCTCCACTTGCAAATTCCGCAAAAAGAGTGTTTCAAATCTGCTCTGTCTAAAGGGACGCTCCACTCTGTCAGTTGAATGCACACAACACAAAGAATTTACTGAGACTTCTTCCGTCTAGCATTCAATGAAGAAATCCCGTTTCCAAAGAAGGCCTCAAACAGGTCCATATATCCAATTGCAGACTTTACAAACAGTGTGTTTCCAAACTCCTCTATGAAAAGAAAGGTTAAACTCTGTGAGTTGAACGCACACATCACAAAGCACTTTCTGAGAATGATTTTGTCTGGTTATTATACGAAGATATTTCCTTTTCTGCAATTGTCCTCAAATCGCTTGAAATCTCCACCTGAAAATGCCACAGCAAGAGTGTTTCAAATCTGCTCTCTCTAAAGCAAGGTTCAACTCTGTGAGTTGAATACACACAACACAAAAAAGTTACTGAGAACTCTTCTTAGTCTAGCATGAAAGGAAGAAACCCCGTTTGCAACGAAGGCCTCAAAGAGGTCCAAATATCCACTTGCAGACATAACAAGCAGAGTGTTTCTAAACTGCTCTAAGAAAAGAAAGGTTAAACTCTGTGAGTTGAAGGCACACATCACAAAGTAGTTTCTGAGAATGATTCTGTCTAGTTTTTATTTGAAGATATTTCCTTTTCTACTGTTGGCATCAAATCGCTTGAAATCTCCACTTGCAAACTCCACAAAAAGAGTGTTTCAAATCTGCTCTGTGCAAAGGGACGTTCCACTCTGTGAGTTGAATACACACAGCACAAAGAAGTTACTGAGAATTCTTCTGTCTAGCATGAAATGAAGAAATCCCGTTTCCAACGAAGGCCTCAATGCGGTCCATATATCCACTTGCAGACTTTACAAACAGAGTGTTTCCAAACTGCTCTATGAAAAGAAAGGTTAAACTATGTGAGTTGAACGCACACATCACAAAGAATTTTCTGAGAATGATTCTGTCTGGTTTTTATTTGAAGATATTTCCCTTTCTACTGTTGGCATCAAATGGCTAGAAATCTCCACTTGCAAATTCCGCAAAAAGAGTGTTTCAAATCTGCTCTGTCTAAAGGGACGTTCCACTCTGTGAGTTGAATGCACACCACACAAAGAATTTACTGAGAATTCTTCCGTCTAGCATTCAATGAAGAAATCCCGTTTCCAACGAAGGCCTCAAACAGGTCCATATATCCAATTGCAGACTTTACAAACAGTGTGTTTCCAAACTCCTCTATGAAAAGAAAGGTTAAACTCTGTGAGTTGAACGCACACATCACAAAGCACTTTCTGAGAATGATTCTGTCTGGTTGTTATACGAAGATATTTCCTTTTCTGCAATTGTCCTCAAATCGCTTGAAATCTCCACCTGAAAATGCCACAGCAAGAGTGTTTCAAATCTGCTCTCTCTAAAGCAAGGTTCAACTCTGTGAGTTGAATACACACAACACAAAAATGTTACTGAGAACTCTTCTTAGTCTAGCATTAAAGGAAGAAACCCCGTTTGCAACGAAGGCCTCAAAGAGGTCCAAATATCCACTTGCAGACATAACAAGCAGAGTGTTTCTAAACTGCTCTAAGAAAAGAAAGGTTAAACTCTGTGAGTTGAAGGCACACATCACAAAGTAGTTTCTGAGAATGATTCTGTCTAGTTTTTATTTGAAGATATTTCCTTTTCTACTGTTGGCATCAAATCGCTTGAAATCTCCACTTGCAAACTCCACAAAAAGAGTGTTTCAAATCTGCTCTGTGTAAAGGGACGTTCTACTCTGTGAGTTGAATACACACAGCACAAAGAAGTTACTGAGAATTCTTCTGTCTAGCATGAAATGAAGAAATCCCGTTTCCAACGAAGGCCTCAATGCGGTCCATATATCCACTTGCAGACTTTACAAACAGAGTGTTTCCAAACTGCTCTATGAAAAGAAAGGTTAAACTATGTGAGTTGAACGCACACATCACAAAGAATTTTCTGAGAATGATTCTGTCTGGTTTTTATTTGAAGATATTTCCCTTTCTACTGTTGGCATCAAATGGCTAGAAATCTCCACTTGCAAATTCCGCAAAAAGAGTGTTTCAAATCTGCTCTGTCTAAAGGGACGTTCCACTCTGTCAGTTGAATGCACACAACACAAAGAATTTACTGAGAATTCTTCCGTCTAGCATTCAATGAAGAAATCCCGTTTCCAACGAAGGCCTCAAACAGGTCCATATATCCAAATGCAGACTTTACAAACAGTGTGTTTCCAAACTCCTCTATGAAAAGAAAGGTTAAACTCTGTGAGTTGAACGCACACATCACAAAGCACTTTCTGAGAATGATTCTGTCTGTTTATTATACGAAGATATTTCCTTTTCTGCAATTGTCCTCAAATCGCTTGAAATCTCCACCTGAAAATGCCACAGCAAGAGGGTTTCAAATCTGCTCTCTCTAAAGCAAGGTTCACCTCTGTGAGTTGAATACACACAACACAAAAAAGTTACTGAGAACTCTTCTTAGTCTAGCATTAAAGGAAGAAACCCCGTTTGCAACGAAGGCCTCAAAGAGGTCCAAATATCCACTTGCAGACATAACAAGCAGAGTGTTTCTAAACTGCTCTAAGAAAAGAAAGGTTAAACTCTGTGAGTTGAAGGCACACATCACAAAGTAGTTTCTGAGAATGATTCTGTCTAGTTTTTATTTGAAGATATTTCCTTTTCTACGGTTGGCATCAAATCGCTTGAAATCTCCACTTGCAAACTCCACAAAAAGAGTGTTTCAAATCTCCTCTGTGTAAAGGGACGTTCCACTCTGTGAGTTGAATACACACAGCACAAAGAAGTTACTGAGTATTCTTCTGTCTAGCATGAAATGAAGAAATCCCGTTTCCAACGAAGGCCTCAATGCGGTCCATATATCCACTTGCAGACTTTACAAACAGAGTGTTTCCAAACTGCTCTATGAAAAGAAAGGTTAAACTATGTGAGTTGAACGCACACATCACAAAGAATTTTCTGAGAATGATTCTGTCTGGTTTTTATTTGAAGATATTTCCCTTTCTACTGTTGGCATCAAATGGCTAGAAATCTCCACTTGCAAATTCCGCAAAAAGAGTGTTTCAAATCTGCTCTGTCTAAAGGGACGTTCCACTCTGTCAGTTGAATGCACACAACACAAAGAATTTACTGAGAATTCTTCCGTCTAGCATTCAATGAAGAAATCCCGTTTCCAACGAAGGCCTCAAACAGGTCCATATATCCAATTGCAGACTTTACAAACAGTGTGTTTCCAAACTCCTCTATGAAAAGAAAGGTTAAACTCTGTGAGTTGAACGCCCACATCACAAAGCACTTTCTGAGAATGATTCTGTCTGGTTATTATACGAAGATATTTCCTTTTCTGCAATTGTCCTCAAATCGCTTGAAATCTCCACCTGAAAATGCCACAGCAAGAGTGTTTCAAATCTGCTCTCTCTAAAGCAAGGTTCAACTCTGTGAGTTGAATACACACAACACAAAAAAGTTACTGAGAACTCTTCTTAGTCTAGCATGAAAGGAAGAAACCCCGTTTGCAACGAAGGCCTCAAAGAGGTCCAAATATCCACTTGCAGACATAACAAGCAGAGTGTTTCTAAACTGCTCTAAGAAAAGAAAGGTTAAACTCTGTGAGTTGAAGGCACACATCACAAAGTAGTTTCTGAGAATGATTCTGTCTAGTTTTTATTTGAAGATATTTCCTTTTCTACTGTTGGCATCAAATCGCTTGAAATCTCCACTTGCAAATTCCACAAAAAGAGTGTTTCAAATCTGCTCTGTGCAACGGGACGTTCCACTCTGTGAGTTGAATACACACAGCACAAAGAAGTTACTGAGAATTCTTCTGTCTAGCGTGAAATGAAGAAATCCCGTTTCCAACGAAGGCCTCAATGCGGTCCATATATCCACTTGCAGACTTTACAAACAGAGTGTTTCCAAACCGCTCTATGAAAAGAAAGGTTAAACTATGTGAGTTGAACGCACACATCACAAAGAATTTTCTGAGAATGATTCTGTCTGGTTTTTATTTGAAGATATTTCCCTTTCTACTGTTGGCATCAAATGGCTAGAAATCTCCACTTGCAAATTCCGCAAAAAGAGTGTTTCAAATCTGCTCTGTCTAAAGGGACGTTCCACTCTGTGAGTTGAATGCACACAACACAAAGAATTTACTGAGAATTCTTCCGTCTAGCATTCAATGAAGAAATCCCGTTTCCAACGAAGGCCTCAAACAGGTCCATATATCCACTTGCAGACTTTACAAACAGTGTGTTTCCAAACTCCTCTATGAAAAGAAAGGTTAAACTCTGTGAGTGGAACGCACACATCACAAAGCACTTTCTGAGAATGATTCTGTCTGGTTATTATACGAAGATATTTCCTTTTCTGCAATTGTCCTCAAATCGCTTGAAATCTCCACCTGAAAATGCCACAGCAAGAGTGTTTCAAATCTGCTCTCTCTAAAGCAAGGTTCAACTCTGTGAGTTGAATACACACAACACAAAAAAGTTACTGAGAACTCTTCTTAGTCTAGCATTAAAGGACGAAACCCCGTTTGCAACGAAGGCCTCAAAGAGGTCCAAATATCCACTTGCAGACATAACAAGCAGAGTGTTTCTAAACTGCTCTAAGAAAAGAAAGGTTAAACTCTGTGAGTTGAAGGCACACATCACAAAGTAGTTTCTGAGAATGATTCTGTCTAGTTTTTATTTGAAGATATTTCCTTTTCTACTGTTGGCATCAAATCGCTTGAAATCTCCACTTGCAAACTCCACAAAAAGAGTGTTTCAAATCTGCTCTGTGCAAAGGGACGTTCCACTCTGTGAGTTGAATACACACAGCACAAAGAAGTTACTGAGAATTCTTCTGTCTAGCATGAAATGAAGAAATCCCGTTTCCAACGAAGGCCTCAATGCGGTCCATATATCCACTTGCAGACTTTACAAACAGAGTGTTTCCAAACTGCTCTATGAAAAGAAAGGTTAAACTATGTGAGTTGAACGCACACATCACAAAGAATTTTCTGAGAATGATTCTGTCTGGTTTTTATTTGAAGATATTTCCCTTTCTACTGTTGGCATCAAATGGCTAGAAATCTCCACTTGCAAATTCCGCAAAAAGAGTGTTTCAAATCTGCTCTGTCTAAAGGGACGTTCCACTCTGTGAGTTGAATGCACACAACACAAAGAATTTACTGAGAATTCTTCCGTCTAGCATTCAATGAAGAAATCCCGTTTCCAACGAAGGCCTCAAACAGGTCCATATATCCACTTGCAGAGTTTACAAACAGTGTGTTTCCAAACTCCTCTATGAAAAGAAAGGTTAAACTCTGTGAGTGGAACGCACACATCACAAAGCACTTTCTGAGAATGATTCTGTCTGGTTATTATACGAAGATATTTCCTTTTCTGCAATTGTCCTCAAAACGCTTGAAATCTCCACCTGAAAATGCCACAGCAAGAGTGTTTCAAATCTGCTCTCTCTAAAGCAAGGTTCAACTCTGTGAGTTGAATACACACAACACAAAAAAGTTACTGAGAACTCTTCTTAGTCTAGCATGAAAGGAAGAAACCCCGTTTGCAACGAAGGCCTCAAAGAGGTCCAAATATCCACTTGCAGACATAACAAGCAGAGTGTTTCTAAACTGCTCTAAGAAAAGAAAGGTTAAACTCTGTGAGTTGAAGGCACACATCACAAAGTAGTTTTTGAGAATGATTCTGTCTAGTTTTTATTTGAAGATATTTCCTTTTCTACTGTTGGCATCAAATCGCTTGAAATCTCCACTTGCAAACTCCACAAAGGAGTGTTTCAAATCCGCTCTGTGCAAAGGGACGTTCCACTCTGTGAGTTGAATACACACAGCACAAAGAAGTTACTGAGAATTCTTCTGTCTAGCATGAAATGAAGAAATCCCGTTTCCAACGAAGGCCTCAATGCGGTCCATATATCCACTTGCAGACTTTACAAACAGAGTGTTTCCAAACTGCTCTATGAAAAGAAAGGTTAAACTATGTGAGTTGAACGCACACATCACAAAGAATTTTCTGAGAATGATTCTGTCTGGTTTTTATTTGAAGATATTTCCCTTTCTACTGTTGGCATCAAATGGCTAGAAATCTCCACTTGCAAATTCCGCAAAAAGAGTGTTTCAAATCTGCTCTGTCTAAAGGGACGTTCCACTCTGTGAGTTGAATGCACACAACACAAAGAAGTTACTGAGAATTCTTCTGTCTAGCATGAAATGAAGAAATCCCGTTTCCAACGAAGGCCTCAATGCGGTCCATATATCCACTTGCAGACTTTACAAACAGTGTGTTTCCAAACTCCTCTATGAAAAGAAAGGTTAAACTCTGTGAGTGGAACGCACACATCACAAAGCACTTTCTGAGAATGATTCTGTCTGGTTATTATACGAAGATATTTCCTTTTCTGCAATTGTCCTCAAAACGCTTGAAATCTCCACCTGAAAATGCCACAGCAAGAGTGTTTCAAATCTGCTCTCTCTAAAGCAAGGTTCAACTCTGTGAGTTGAATACACACAACACAAAAAAGTTACTGAGAACTCTTCTTAGTCTAGCATTAAAGGAAGAAACCCCGTTTGCAACGAAGGCCTCAAAGAGGTCCAAATATCCACTTGCAGACATAACAAGCAGAGTGTTTCTAAACTGCTCTAAGAAAAGAAAGGTTAAACTCTGTGAGTTGAAGGCACACATCACAAAGTAGTTTCTGAGAATGATTCTGTCTAGTTTTTATTTGAAGATATTTCCTTTTCTACTGTTGGCATCAAATCGCTTGAAATCTCCACTTGCAAACTCCACAAAAAGAGTGTTTCAAATCTGCTCTGTGTAAAGGGACGTTCCACTCTGTGAGTTGAATACACACAGCACAAAGAATTTACTGAGAATTCTTCTGTCTAGCATGAAATGAAGAAATCCCGTTTCCAACGAAGGCCTCAATGCGGTCCATATATCCACTTGCAGACTTTACAAACAGAGTGTTTCCAAACTGCTCTATGAAAAGAAAGGTTAAACTATGTGAGTTGAACGCACACATCACAAAGAATTTTCTGAGAATGATTCTGTCTGGTTTTTATTTGAAGATATTTCCCTTTCTACTGTTGGCATCAAATGGCTAGAAATCTCCACTTGCAAATTCCGCAAAAAGAGTGTTTCAAATCTGCTCTGTCTAAAGGGACGTTCCACTCTGTCAGTTGAATGCACACAACACAAAGAATTTACTGAGAATTCTTCCGTCTAGCAATCAATGAAGAAATCCCGTTTCCAACGAAGGCCTCAAACAGGTCCATATATCCAATTGCAGACTTTACAAACAGTGTGTTTCCAAACTCCTCTATGAAAAGAAAGGTTAAACTCTGTGAGTGGAACGCACACATCACAAAGCACTTTCTGAGAATGATTCTGTCTGGTTATTATACGAAGATATTTCCTTTTCTGCAATTGTCCTCAAATCGCTTGAAATCTCCACCTGAAAATGCCACAGCAAGAGTGTTTCAAATCTGCTCTCTCTAAAGCAAGGTTCAACTCTGTGAGTTGAATACACACAACACAAAAAAGTTACTGAGAACTCTTCTTAGTCTAGCATGAAAGGAAGAAACCCCGTTTGCAACGAAGGCCTCAAAGAGGTCCAAATATCCACTTGCAGACATAACAAGCAGAGTGTTTCTAAACTGCTCTAAGAAAAGAAAGGTTAAACTCTGTGAGTTGAAGGCACACATCACAAAGTAGTTTCTGAGAATGATTCTGTCTAGTTTTTATTTGAAGATATTTCCTTTTCTACTGTTGGCATCAAATCGCTTGAAATCTCCACTTGCAAATTCCACAAAAAGAGTGTTTCAAATCTGCTCTGTGCAAAGGGACGTTCCACTCTGTGAGTTGAATACACACAGCACAAAGAAGTTACTGAGAATTCTTCTGTCTAGCATGAAATGAAGAAATCCCGTTTCCAACGAAGGCCTCAATGCGGTCCATATATCCACTTGCAGACTTTACAAACAGAGTGTTTCCAAACTGCTCTATGAAAAGAAAGGTTAAACTATGTGAGTTGAACGCACACATCACAAAGAATTTTCTGAGAATGATTCTGTCTGGTTTTTATTTGAAGATATTTCCCTTTCTACTATTGGCATCAAATGGCTAGAAATCTCCACTTGCAAATTCCGCAAAAAGAGTGTTTCAAATCTGCTCTGTCTAAAGGGACGTTCCACTCTGTGAGTTGAATGCACACAACACGAAGAATTTACTGAGAATTCTTCCGTCTAGCATTCAATGAAGAAATCCCGTTTCCAACGAAGGCCTCAAACAGGTCCATATATCCAATTGCAGACTTTACAAACAGTGTGTTTCCAAACTCCTCTATGAAAAGAAAGATTAAACTCTGTGAGTTGAACGCACACATCACAAAGCACTTTCTGAGAATGATTCTGTCTGGTTGTTATACGAAGATATTTCCTTTTCTGCAATTGTCCTCAAATCGCTTGAAATCTCCACCTGAAAATGCCACAGCAAGAGTGTTTCAAATCTGCTCTCTCTAAAGCAAGGTTCAACTCTGTGAGTTGAATACACACAACACAAAAAAGTTACTGAGAACTCTTCTTAGTCTAGCATTAAAGGAAGAAACCCCGTTTGCAACGAAGGCCTCAAAGAGGTCCAAATATCCACTTGCAGACATAACAAGCAGAGTGTTTCTAAACTGCTCTAAGAAAAGAAAGGTTAAACTCTGTGAGTTGAAGGCACACATCACAAAGTAGTTTCTGAGAATGATTCTGTCTAGTTTTTATTTGAAGATATTTCCTTTTCTACTGTTGGCATCAAATCGCTTGAAATCTCCACTTGCAAATTCCACAAAAAGAGTGTTTCAAATCTGCTCTGTGCAAAGGGACGTTCCACTCTGTGAGTTGAATACACACAGCACAAAGAAGTTACTGAGAATTCTTCTGTCTAGCATGAAATGAAGAAATCCCGTTTCCAACGAAGGCCTCAATGCGGTCCATATATCCACTTGCAGACTTTACAAACAGAGTGTTTCCAAACTGCTCTATGAAAAGAAAGGTTAAACTATGTGAGTTGAACGCACACATCACAAAGAATTTTCTGAGAATGATTCTGTCTGGTTTTTATTTGAAGATATTTCCCTTTCTACTGTTGGCATCAAATGGCTAGAAATCTCCACTTGCAAATTCCGCAAAAAGAGTGTTTCAAATCTGCTCTGTCTAAAGGGACGTTCCACTCTGTGAGTTGAATGCACACCACACAAAGAATTTACTGAGAATTCTTCCGTCTAGCATTCAATGAAGAAATCCCGTTTCCAACGAAGGCCTCAAACAGGTCCATATATCCAATTGCAGACTTTACAAACAGTGTGTTTCCAAACTCCTCTATGAAAAGAAAGGTTAAACTCTGTGAGTTGAACGCACACATCACAAAGCACTTTCTGAGAATGATTCTGTCTGGTTGTTATACGAAGATATTTCCTTTTCTGCAATTGTCCTCAAATCGCTTGAAATCTCCACCTGAAAATGCCACAGCAAGAGTGTTTCAAATCTGCTCTCTCTAAAGCAAGGTTCAACTCTGTGAGTTGAATACACACAACACAAAAAAGTTACTGAGAACTCTTCTTAGTCTAGCATGAAAGGAAGAAACCCCGTTTGCAACGAAGGCCTCAAAGAGGTCCAAATATCCACTTGCAGACATAACAAGCAGAGTGTTTCTAAACTGCTCTAAGAAAAGAAAGGTTAAACTATGTGAGTTGAACGCACACATCACAAAGAATTTTCTGAGAATGATTCTGTCTGGTTTTTATTTGAAGATATTTCCCTTTCTACTGTTGGCATCAAATGGCTAGAAATCTCCACTTGCAAATTCCGCAAAAAGAGTGTTTCAAATCTGCTCTGTGTAAAGGGACGTTCCACTCTGTGAGTTGAATGCACACAACACAAAGAATTTACTGAGAATTCTTCCGTCTAGCATTCAATGAAGAAATCCCGTTTCCAACGAAGGCCTCAAACAGGTCCATATATCCAATTGCAGACTTTACAAACAGTGTGTTTCCAAACTCCTCAATGAAAAGAAAGGTTAAACTCTGTGAGTTGAATGCACACATCACAAAGCACTTTCTGAGAATGATTCTGTCTGGTTGTTATACGAAGATATTTCCTTTTCTGCAATTGTCCTCAAATCGCTTGAAATCTCCACCTGAAAATGCCACAGCAAGAGTGTTTCAAATCTGCTCTCTCTAAAGCAAGGTTCAACTCTGTGAGTTGAATACACACAACACAAAAAAGTTACTGAGAACTCTTCTTAGTCTAGCATGAAAGGAAGAAACCCCGTTTGCAACGAAGGCCTCAAAGAGGTCCAAATATCCACTTGCAGACATAACAAGCAGAGTGTTTCTAAACTGCTCTAAGAAAAGAAAGGTTAAACTCTGTGAGTTGAAGGCAGACATCACAAAGTAGTTTCTGAGAATGATTCTGTCTAGTTTTTATTTGAAGATATTTCCTTTTCTACTGTTGGCATCAAATCGCTTGAAATCTCCACTTGCAAACTCCACAAAAAGAGTGTTTCAAATCTGCTCTGTGCAAAGGGACGTTCCACTCTGTGAGTTGAGTACACACAGCACAAAGAAGTTACTGAGAATTCTTCTGTCTAGCATGAAATGAAGAAATCCCGTTTCCAACGAAGGCCTCAATGCGGTCCATAGATCCACTTGCAGACTTTACAAACAGAGTGTTTCCAAACTGCTCTATGAAAAGAAAGGTTAAACTATGTGAGTTGAACGCACACATCACAAAGAATTTTCTGAGAATGATTCTGTCTGGTTTTTATTTGAAGATATTTCCCTTTCTACTGTTGGCATCAAATGGCTAGAAATCTCCACATGCAAATTCCGCAAAAAGAGTGTTTCAAATCTGCTCTGTCTTAAGGGACGTTCCACTCTGTCAGTTGAATGCACACAACACAAAGAATTTACTGAGAATTCTTCCGTCTAGCATTCAATGAAGAAATCCCGTTTCCAACGAAGGCCTCAAACAGGTCCATATATCCAATTGCAGACTTTACAAACAGTGTGTTTCCAAACTCCTCTATGAAAAGAAAGGTTAAACTCTGTGAGTTGAACGCACACATCACAAAGCACTTTCTGAGAATGATTCTGTCTGGTTGTTATACGAAGATATTTCCTTTTCTGCAATTGTCCTCAAATCGCTTGAAATCTCCACCTGAAAATGCCACAGCAAGAGGGTTTCAAATCTGCTCTCTCTAAAGCAAGGTTCAGCTCTGTGAGTTGAATACACACAACACAAAAAAGTTACTGAGAACTCTTCTTAGTCTAGCATGAAAGGAAGAAACCCCGTTTGCAACGAAGGCCTCAAAGAGGTCCAAATATCCACTTGCAGACATAACAAGCAGAGTGTTTCTAAACTGCTCTAAGAAAAGAAAGGTTAAACTCTGTGAGTTGAAGGCACACATCACAAAGTAGTTTCTGAGAATGATTCTGTCTAGTTTTTATTTGAAGATATTTCCTTTTCTACTGTTGGCATCAAATCGCTTGAAATCTCCACTTGCAAACTCCACAAAAAGAGTGTTTCAAATCTGCTCTGTGTAAAGGGACGTTCCACTCTGTGAGTTGAATACACACAGCACAGAGAAGTTACTGAGAATTCTTCTGTCTAGCATGAAATGAAGAAATCCCGTTTCCAACGAAGGCCTCAATGCGGTCCATATATCCACTTGCAGACTTTACAAACAGAGTGTTTCCAAACTGCTCTATGAAAAGAAAGGTTAAACTATGTGAGTTGAACGCACACATCACAAAGAATTTTCTGAGAATGATTCTGTCTGGTTTTTATTTGAAGATATTTCCCTTTCTACTGTTGGCATCAAATGGCTAGAAATCTCCACTTGCAAATTCCGCAAAAAGAGTGTTTCAAATCTGCTCTGTCTAAAGAGACGTTCCACTCTGTCAGTTGAATGCACACAACACAAAGTATTTACTGAGAATTCTTCCGTCTAGCATTCAATGAAGAAATCCCGTTTCCAACGAAGGCCTCAAACAGGTCCATATATCCACTTGCAGAGTTTACAAACAGTGTGTTTCCAAACTCCTCTATGAAAAGAAAGGTTAAACTCTGTGAGTGGAACGCACACATCACAAAGCACTTTCTGAGAATGATTCTGTCTGGTTATTATACGAAGATATTTCCTTTTCTGCAATTGTCCTCAAATCGCTTGAAATCTCCACCTGAAAATGCCACAGCAAGAGTGTTTCAAATCTGCTCTCTCTAAAGCAAGGTTCAACTCTGTGAGTTGAATACACACAACACAAAAAAGTTACTGAGAACTCTTCTTAGTCTAGCATGAAAGGAAGAAACCCCGTTTGCAACGAAGGCCTCAAAGAGGTCCAAATATCCACTTGCAGACATAACAAGCAGAGTGTTTCTAAACTGCTCTAAGAAAAGAAAGGTTAAACTATGTGAGTTGAACGCACACATCACAAAGAATTTTCTGAGAATGATTCTGTCTAGTTTTTATTTGAAGATATTTCCTTTTCTACTGTTGGCATCAAATCGCTTGAAATCTCCACTTGCAAACTCCACAAAAAGAGTGTTTCAAATCTGCTCTGTGCAAAGGGACGTTCCACTCTGTGAGTTGAATACACACAGCACAAAGAAGTTACTGAGAATTCTTCTGTCTAGCATGAAATGAAGAAATCCCGTTTCCAACGAAGGCCTCAATGCGGTCCATATATCCACTTGCAGACTTTACAAACAGAGTGTTTCCAAACTGCTCTATGAAAAGAAAGGTTAAACTATGTGAGTTGAACGCACACATCACAAAGAATTTTCTGAGAATGATTCTGTCTGGTTTTTATTTGAAGATATTTCCCTTTCTACTGTTGGCATCAAATGGCTAGAAATCTCCACTTGCAAATTCCGCAAAAAGAGTGTTTCAAATCTGCTCTGTCTAAAGGGACGTTCCACTCTGTCAGTTGAATGCACACAACACAAAGAATTTACTGAGAAATTCTTCCGTCTAGCATTCAATGAAGAAATCCCGTTTCCAACGAAGGCCTCAAACAGGTCCATATATCCAATTGCAGACTTTACAAACAGTGTGTTTCCAAACTCCTCTATGAAAAGAAAGGTTAAACTCTGTGAGTTGAACGCACACATCACAAAGCACTTTCTGAGAATGATTCTGTCTGGTTATTATACGAAGATATTTCCTTTTCTGCAATTGTCCTCAAATCGCTTGAAATCTCCACCTGAAAATGCCACAGCAAGAGTGTTTCAAATCTGCTCTCTCTAAAGCAAGGTTCAACTCTGTGAGTTGAATACACACAACACAAAAAAGTTACTGAGAACTCTTCTTAGTCTAGCATGAAAGGAAGAAACCCCGTTTGCAACGAAGGCCTCAAAGAGGTCCAAATATCCACTTGCAGACATAACAAGCAGAGTGTTTCTAAAGTGCTCTAAGAAAAGAAAGGTTAAACTCTGTGAGTTGAAGGCACACATCAAAAAGTAGTTTCTGAGAATGATTCTGTCTAGTTTTTATTTGAAGATATTTCCTTTTCTACTGTTGGCATCAAATCGCTTGAAATCTCCACTTGCAAACTCCACAAAAAGAGTGTTTCAAATCTGCTCTGTGTAAAGGGACGTTCCACTCTTGTGAGTTGAATACACACAGCACAAAGAAGTTACTGAGAATTCTTCTGTCTAGCATGAAATGAAGAAATCCCGTTTCCAACGAAGGCCTCAATGCGGTCCATATATCCACTTGCAGACTTTACAAACAGAGTGTTTCCAAACTGCTCTATGAAAAGAAAGGTTAAACTATGTGAGTTGAACGCACACATCACAAAGAATTTTCTGAGAATGATTCTGTCTGGTTTTTATTTGAAGATATTTCCCTTTCTACTGTTGGCATCAAATGGCTAGAAATCTCCACTTGCAAATTCCGCAAAAAGAGTGTTTCAAATCTGCTCTGTCTAAAGGGACGTTCCACTCTGTGAGTTGAATGCACACAACACAAAGAATTTACTGAGAATTCTTCCGTCTAGCATTCAATGAAGAAATCCCGTTTCCAACGAAGGCCTCAAACAGGTCCATATATCCACTTGCAGACTTTACAAACAGTGTGTTTCCAAACTCCTCTATGAAAAGAAAGGTTAAACTCTGTGAGTGGAACGCACACATCACAAAGCACTTTCTGAGAATGATTCTGTCTGGTTATTATACGAAGATATTTCCTTTTCTGCAATTGTCCTCAAAACGATTGAAATCTCCACCTGAAAATGCCACAGCAAGAGTGTTTCAAATCTGCTCTCTCTAAAGCAAGGTTCAACTCTGTGAGTTGAATACACACAACACAGAAAAGTTACTGAGAACTCTTCTTAGTCTAGCATGAAAGGAAGAAACCCCGTTTGCAACGAAGGCCTCAAAGAGGTCCAAATATCCACTTGCAGACATAACAAGCAGAGTGTTTCTAAACTGCTCTAAGAAAAGAAAGGTTAAACTCTGTGAGTTGAAGGCACACATCACAAACTAGTTTCTGAGAATGATTCTGTCTAGTTTTTATTTGAAGATATTTCCTTTTCTACTGTTGGCATCAAATCGCTTGAAATCTCCACTTGCAAACTCCACAAAAAGAGTGTTTCAAATCTGCTCTGTGTAAAGGGACGTTCCACTCTGTGAGTTGAATACACACAGCACAAAGAAGTTACTGAGAATTCTTCTGTCTAGCATGAAATGAAGAAATCCCGTTTCCAACGAAGGCCTCAATGCGGTCCATATATCCACTTGCAGACTTTACAAACAGAGTGTTTCCAAACTGCTCTATGAAAAGAAAGGTTAAACTATGTGAGTTGAACGCACACATCACAAAGAATTTTCTGAGAATGATTCTGTCTGGTTTTTATTTGAAGATATTTCCCTTTCTACTGTTGGCATCAAATGGCTAGAAATCTCCACTTGCAAATTCCGCAAAAAGAGTGTTTCAAATCTGCTCTGTCTAAAGGGACGTTCCACTCTGTGAGTTGAATGCACACAACACAAAGAATTTACTGAGAATTCTTCCGTCTAGCATTCAATGAAGAAATCCCGTTTCCAACGAAGGCCTCAAACAGGTCCATATATCCACTTGCAGACTTTACAAACAGTGTGTTTCCAAACTCCTCTATGAAAAGAAAGGTTAAACTCTGTGAGTGGAACGCACACATCACAAAGCACTTTCTGAGAATGATTCTGTCTGGTTATTATACGAAGATATTTCCTTTTCTGCAATTGTCCTCAAATCGCTTGAAATCTCCACCTGAAAATGCCACAGCAAGAGTGTTTCAAATCTGCTCTCTCTAAAGCAAGGTTCAACTCTGTGAGTTGAATACACACAACACAAAAAAGTTACTGAGAACTCTTCTTAGTCTAGCATTAAAGGAAGAAACCCTGTTTGCAACGAAGGCCTCAAAGAGGTCCAAATATCCACTTGCAGACATAACAAGCAGAGTGTTTCTAAACTGCTCTAAGAAAAGAAAGGTTAAACTCTGTGAGTTGAAGGCACACATCACAAAGTAGTTTCTGAGAATGATTCTGTCTAGTTTTTATTTGAAGATATTTCCTTTCCTACTGTTGGCATTAAATCGCTTGAAATCTCCACTTGCAAACTCCACAAAAAGAGTGTTTCAAATCTGCTCTGTGCAAAGGGACGTTCCACTCTGTGAGTTGAATACACACAGCACAAAGAAGTTACTGAGAATTCTTCTGTCTAGCATGAAATGAAGAAATCCCGTTTCCAACGAAGGCCTCAATGCGGTCCATATATCCACTTGCAGACTTTACAAACAGAGTGTTTCCAAACTGCTCTATGAAAAGAAAGGTTAAACTATGTGAGTTGAACGCACACATCACAAAGAATTTTCTGAGAATGATTCTGTCTGGTTTTTATTTGAAGATATTTCCCTTTCTACTGTTGGCATCAAATGGCTAGAAATCTCCACTTGCAAATTCCGCAAAAAGAGTGTTTCAAATCTGCTCTGTCTAAAGGGACGTTCCACTCTGTGAGTTGAATGCACACAACACAAAGAATTTACTGAGAATTCTTCCGTCTAGCATTCAATGAAGAAATCCCGTTTCCAACGAAGGCCTCAAACAGGTCCATATATCCAATTGCAGACTTTACAAACTGTGTGTTTCCAAACTCCTCTATGAAAAGAAAGGTTAAACTCTGTGAGTTGAACGCACACATCACAAAGCACTTTCTGAGAATGATTCTGTCTGGTTGTTATACGAAGATATTTCCTTTTCTGCAATTGTCCTCAAATCGCTTGAAATCTCCACCTGAAAATGCCACAGCAAGAGTGTTTCAAATCTGCTCTCTCTAAAGCAAGGTTCAACTCTGTGAGTTGAATACACACAACACAAAAAAGTTACTGAGAACTCTTCTTAGTCTAGCATGAAAGGAAGAAACCCCGTTTGCAACGAAGGCCTCAAAGAGGTCCAAATATCCACTTGCAGACATAACAAGCAGAGTGTTTCTAAACTGCTCTAAGAAAAGAAAGGTTAAACTGTGTGAGTTGAACGCACACATCACAAAGAATTTTCTGAGAATGATTCTGTCTAGTTTTTATTTGAAGATATTTCCTTTTCTACTGTTGGCATCAAATCGCTTGAAATCTCCACTTGCAAACTCCACAAAAAGAGTGTTTCAAATCTGCTCTGTGCAAAGGGACGTTCCACTCTGTGAGTTGAATACACACAGCACAAAGAAGTTACTGAGAATTCTTCTGTCTAGCATGAAATGAAGAAATCCCGTTTCCAACGAAGGCCTCAATGCGGTCCATATATCCACTTGCAGACTTTACAAACAGAGTGTTTCCAAACTGCTCTATGAAAAGAAAGGTTAAACTATGTGAGTTGAACGCACACATCACAAAGAATTTTCTGAGAATGATTCTGTCTGGTTTTTATTTGAAGATATTCCCCTTTCTACTGTTGGCATCAAATGGCTAGAAATCTCCACTTGCAAATTCCGCAAAAAGAGTGTTTCAAATCTGCTCTGTCTAAAGGGACGTTCCACTCTGTGAGTTGAATGCACACAACACAAAGAATTTACTGAGAATTCTTCCGTCTAGCATTCAATGAAGAAATCCCGTTTCCAACGAAGGCCTCAAACAGGTCCATATATCCTCTTGCAGAGTTTACAAACAGTGTGTTTCCAAACTCCTCTATGAAAAGAAAGGTTAAACTCTGTGAGTGGAACGCACACATCACAAAGCACTTTCTGAGAATGATTCTGTCTGGTTGTTATACGAAGATATTTCCTTTTCTGCAATTGTCCTCAAATCGCTTGAAATCTCCACCTGAAAATGCCACAGCAAGAGTGTTTCAAATCTGCTCTCTCTAAAGCAAGGTTCAGCTCTGTGAGTTGAATACACACAACACAAAAAAGTTACTGAGAACTCTTCTTAGTCTAGCATGAAAGGAAGAAACCCCGTTTGCAACGAAGGCCTCAAAGAGGTCCAAATATCCACTTGCAGACATAACAAGCAGAGTGTTTCTAAACTGCTCTAAGAAAAGAAAGGTTAAACTCTGTGAGTTGAAGGCACACATCACAAAGTAGTTTCTGAGAATGATTCTGTCTAGTTTTTATTTGAAGATATTTCCTTTTCTACTGTTGGCATCAAATCGCTTGAAATCTCCACTTGCAAACTCCACAAAAAGAGTGTTTCAAATCTGCTCTGTGCAAAGGGACGTTCCACTCTGTGAGTTGAATACACACAGCACAAAGAAGTTACTGAGAATTCTTCTGTCTAGCATGAAATGAAGAAATCCCGTTTCCAACGAAGGCCTCAATGCGGTCCATATATCCACTTGCAGACTTTACAAACAGAGTGTTTCCAAACTGCTCTATGAAAAGAAAGGTTAAACTATGTGAGTTGAACGCACACATCACAAAGAATTTTCTGAGAATGATTCTGTCTGGTTTTTATTTGAAGATATTTCCCTTTCTACTGTTGGCATCAAATGGCTAGAAATCTCCACTTGCAAATTCCGCAAAAAGAGTGTTTCAAATCTGCTCTGTCTAAAGGGACGTTCCACTCTGTGAGTTGAATGCACACAACACAAAGAATTTACTGAGAATTCTTCCGTCTAGCATTCAATGAAGAAATCCCGTTTCCAACGAAGGCCTCAAACAGGTCCATATATCCACTTGCAGAGTTTACAAACAGTGTGTTTCCAAACTCCTCTATGAAAAGAAAGGTTAAACTCTGTGAGTGGAACGCACACATCACAAAGCACTTTCTGAGAATGATTCTGTCTGGTTATTATACGAAGATATTCCCTTTTCTGCAATTTTCCTCAAATCGCTTGAAATCTCCACCTGAAAATGCCACAGCAAGAGTGTTTCAAATCTGCTCTCTCTAAAGCAAGGTTCAACTCTGTGATTTGAATACACACAGCACAAAGAAGTTACTGAGAATTCTTCTGTCTAGCATGAAATGAAGAAATCCCGTTTCCAACGAAGGCCTCAATGCGGTCCATATATCCACTTGCAGACTTTACAAACAGAGTGTTTCCAAACTGCTCTATGAAAAGAAAGGTTAAACTATGTGAGTTGAACGCACACATCACAAAGAATTTTCTGAGAATGATTCTGTCTGGTTTTTATTTGAAGATATTTCCCTTTCTACTGTTGGCATCAAATGGCTAGAAATCTCCACTTGCAAATTCCGCAAAAAGAGTGTTTCAAATCTGCTCTGTCTAAAGGGACGTTCCACTCTGTGAGGTGAATGCACACAACACAAAGAATTTACTGAGAATTCTTCCGTCTAGCATTCAATGAAGAAATCCCGTTTCCAACGAAGGCCTCAAACAGGTCCATATATCCACTTGCAGACTTTACAAACAGTGTGTTTCCAAACTCCTCTATGAAAAGAAAGGTTAAACTCTGTGAGTTGAACGCACACATCACAAAGCACTTTCTGAGAATGATTCTGTCTGGTTATTATACGAAGATATTTCCTTTTCTGCAATTGTCCTCAAATCGCTTGAAATCTCCACCTGAAAATGCCACAGCAAGAGTGTTTCAAATCTGCTCTCTCTAAAGCAAGGTTCAACTCTGTGAGTTGAATACACACAACACAAAAAAGTTACTGAGAACACTTCTTAGTCTAGCATGAAAGGAAGAAACCCCGTTTGCAACGAAGGCCTCAAAGAGGTCCAAATATCCACTTGCAGACATAACAAGCAGAGTGTTTCTAAACTGCTCTAAGAAAAGAAAGGTTAAACTCTGTGAGTTGAAGGCACACATCACAAAGTAGTTTCTGAGAATGATTCTGTCTAGTTTTTATTTGAAGATATTTCCTTTTCTACTGTTGGCATCAAATCGCTTGAAATCTCCACTTGCAAACTCCACAAAAAGAGTGTTTCAAATCTGCTCTGTGCAAAGGGACGTTCCACTCTGTGAGTTGAATACACACAGCACAAAGAAGTTACTGAGAATTCTTCTGTCTAGCATGAAATGAAGAAATCCCGTTTCCAACGAAGGCCTCAATGCGGTCCATATATCCACTTGCAGACTTTACAAACAGAGTGTTTCCAAACTGCTCTATGAAAAGAAAGGTTAAACTATGTGAGTTGAACGCACACATCACAAAGAATTTTCTGAGAATGATTCTGTCTGGTTTTTATTTGAAGATATTTCCCTTTCTACTGTTGGCATCAAATGGCTAGAAATCTCCACTTGCAAATTCCGCAAAAAGAGTGTTTCAAATCTGCTCTGTCTAAAGGGACGTTCCACTCTGTGAGTTGAATGCACACAACACAAAGAATTTACTGAGAATTCTTCCGTCTAGCATTCAATGAAGAAATCCCGTTTCCAACGAAGGCCTCAAACAGGTCCATATATCCAATTGCAGACTTTACAAACAGTGTGTTTCCAAACTCCTCTATGAAAAGAAAGGTTAAACTCTGTGAGTTGAACGCACACATCACAAAGCACTTTCTGAGAATGATTCTGTCTGGTTATTATACGAAGATATTTCCTTTTCTGCAATTGTCCTCAAATCGCTTGAAATCTCCACCTGAAAATGCCACAGCAAGAGTGTTTCAAATCTGCTCTCTCTAAAGCAAGGTTCAACTCTGTGAGTTGAATACACACAACACAAAAAAGTTACTGAGAACTCTTCTTAGTCTAGCATGAAAGGAAGAAACCCCGTTTGCAACGAAGGCCTCAAAGAGGTCCAAATATCCACTTGCAGACATAACAAGCAGAGTGTTTCTAAACTGCTCTAAGAAAAGAAAGGTTAAACTCTGTGAGTTGAAGGCACACATCACAAAGTAGTTTCTGAGAATGATTCTGTCTAGTTTTTATTTGAAGATATTTCCTTTTCTACTGTTGGCATCAAATCGCTTGAAATCTCCACTTGCAAATTCCACAAAAAGAGTGTTTCAAATCTGCTCTGTGCAAAGGGACGTTCCACTCTGTGAGTTGAATACACACAGCACAAAGAAGTTACTGAGAATTCTTCTGTCTAGCATGAAATGAAGAAATCCCGTTTCCAACGAAGGCCTCAATGCGGTCCATAGATCCACTTGCAGACTTTACAAACAGAGTGTTTCCAAACTGCTCTATGAAAAGAAAGGTTAAACTATGTGAGTTGAACGCACACATCACAAAGAATTTTCTGAGAATGATTCTGTCTAGTTTTTATTTGAAGATATTTCCCTTTGTATTGTTGGCATCAAATGGCTAGAAATCTCCACTTGCAACTTCCGCAAAAAGAGTGTTTCAAATCTGCTCTGTCTAAAGGGACGTTCCACTCTGTGAGTTGAATGCACACAACACAAAAAAGTTACTGAGAACTCTTCTTAGTCTAGCATTAAAGGAAGAAACCCCGTTTGCAACGAAGGCCTCAAAGAGGTCCAAATATCCACTTGCAGACATAACAAGCAGAGTGTTTCTAAACTGCTCTAAGAAAAGAAAGGTTAAACTCTGTGAGTTGAAGGCACACATCACAAAGTAGTTTCTGAGAATGATTCTGTCTAGTTTTTATTTGAAGATATTTCCTTTTCTACTGTTGGCATCAAATCGCTTGAAATCTCCACTTGCAAATTCCACAAAAAGAGTGTTTCAAATCTGCTCTGTGTAAAGGGACGTTCCACTCTGTGAGTTGAATACACACAGCACAAAGAAGTTACTGAGAATTCTTCTGTCTAGCATGAAATGAAGAAATCCCGTTTCCAACGAAGGCCTCAATGCGGTCCATATATCCACTTGCAGACTTTACAAACAGAGTGTTTCCAAACTGCTCTATGAAAAGAAAGGTTAAACTATGTGAGTTGAACGCACACATCACAAAGAATTTTCTGAGAATGATTCTGTCTGGTTTTTATTTGAAGATATTTCCCTTTCTACTGTTGGCATCAAATGGCTAGAAATCTCCACTTGCAAATTCCGCAAAAAGAGTGTTTCAAATCTGCTCTGTCTAAAGGGACGTTCCACTCTGTGAGTTGAATGCACACAACACAAAGTATTTACTGAGAATTCTTCCGTCTAGCATTCAATGAAGAAATCCCGTTTCCAACGAAGGCCTCAAACAGGTCCATATATCCACTTGCAGAGTTTACAAACAGTGTGTTTCCAAACTCCTCTATGAAAAGAAAGGTTAAACTCTGTGAGTGGAACGCACACATCACAAAGCACTTTCTGAGAATGATTCTGTCTGGTTATTATACGAAGATATTTCCTTTTCTGCAATTGTCCTCAAATCGCTTGAAATCTCCACCTGAAAATGCCACAGCAAGAGTGTTTCAAATCTGCTCTCTCTAAAGCAAGGTTCAACTCTGTGAGTTGAATACACACAACACAAAAAAGTTACTGAGAACTCTTCTTAGTCTAGCATGAAAGGAAGAAACCCCGTTTGCAACGAAGGCCTCAAAGAGGTCCAAATATCCACTTGCAGACATAACAAGCAGAGTGTTTCTAAACTGCTCTAAGAAAAGAAAGGTTAAACTCTGTGAGTTGAAGGCACACATCACAAAGTAGTTTCTGAGAATGATTCTGTCTAGTTTTTATTTGAAGATATTTCCTTTTCTACTGTTGGCATCAAATCGCTTGAAATCTCCACTTGCAAACTCCACAAAAAGAGTGTTTCAAATCTGCTCTGTGCAAAGGGACGTTCCACTCTGTGAGTTGAATACACACAGCACAAAGAAGTTACTGAGAATTCTTCTGTCTAGCATGAAATGAAGAAATCCCGTTTCCAACGAAGGTCTCAATGCGGTCCATATATCCACTTGCAGACTTTACAAACAGAGTGTTTCCAAACTGCTCTATGAAAAGAAAGGTTAAACTATGTGAGCTGAACGCACACATCACAAAGAATTTTCTGAGAATGATTCTGTCTGGTTTTTATTTGAAGATATTTCCCTTTCTACTGTTGGCATCAAATGGCTAGAAATCTCCACTTGCAAATTCCGCAAAAAGAGTGTTTCAAATCTGCTCTGTCTAAAGGGACGTTCCACTCTGTGAGTTGAATGCACACAACACAAAGAATTTACTGAGAATTCTTCCGTCTAGCATTCAATGAAGAAATACCGTTTCCAACGAAGGCCTCAAACAGGTCCATATATCCAATTGCAGACTTTACAAACAGTGTGTTTCCAAACTCCTCTATGAAAAGAAAGGTTAAACTCTGTGAGTTGAACGCACACATCACAAAGCACTTTCTGAGAATGATTCTGTCTGGTTGTTATACGAAGATATTTCCTTTTCTGCAATTGTCCTCAAATCGCTTGAAATCTCCACCTGAAAATGCCACAGCAAGAGTGTTTCAAATCTGCTCTCTCTAAAGCAAGGTTCAACTCTGTGAGTTGAATACACACAACACAAAAAAGTTACTGAGAACTCTTCTTAGTCTAGCATTAAAGGAAGAAACCCCGTTTGCAACGAAGGCCTCAAAGAGGTCCAAATATCCACTTGCAGACATAACAAGCAGAGTGTTTCTAAACTGCTCTAAGAAAAGAAAGGTTAAACTCTGTGAGTTGAAAGCACACATCACAAAGTAGTTTCTGAGAATGATTCTGTCTAGTTTTTATTTGAAGATATTTCCTTTTCTACTGTTGGCATCAAATCGCTTGAAATCTCCACTTGCAAACTCCACAAAAAGAGTGTTTCAAATCTGCTCTGTGTAAAGGGACGTTCCACTCTGTGAGTTGAATACACACAGCACAAAGAAGTTACTGAGAATTCTTCTGTCTAGCATGAAATGAAGAAATCCCGTTTCCAACGAAGGCCTCAATGCGGTCCATATATCCACTTGCAGACTTTACAAACAGAGTGTTTCCAAACTGCTCTATGAAAAGAAAGGTTAAACTATGTGAGTTGAACGCACACATCACAAAGAATTTTCTGAGAATGATTCTGTCTGGTTTTTATTTGAAGATATTTCCCTTTCTACTGTTGGCATCAAATGGCTAGAAATCTCCACTTGCAAATTCCGCAAAAAGAGTGTTTCAAATCTGCTCTGTCTAAAGGGACGTTCCACTCTGTGAGTTGAATGCACACAACACAAAGAATTTACTGAGAATTCTTCCGTCTAGCATGCAATGAAGAAATCCCGTTTCCAACGAAGGCCTCAAACAGGTCCATATATCCAATTGCAGACTTTACAAACAGTGTGTTTCCAAACTCCTCTATGAAAAGAAAGGTTAAACTCTGTGAGTTGAACGCACACATCACAAAGCACTTTCTGAGAATGATTCTGTCTGGTTATTATACGAAGATATTTCCTTTTCTGCAATTGTCCTCAAATCGCTTGAAATCTCCACCTGAAAATGCCACAGCAAGAGTGTTTCAAATCTGCTCTCTCTAAAGCAAGGTTCAACTCTGTGAGTTGAATACACACAACACAAAAAAGTTACTGAGAACTCTTCTTAGTCTAGCATGAAAGGAAGAAACCCCGTTTGCAACGAAGGCCTCAAAGAGGTCCAAATATCCACTTGCAGACATAACAAGCAGAGTGTTTCTAAACTGCTCTAAGAAAAGAAAGGTTAAACTCTGTGAGTTGAAGGCACACATCACAAAGTAGTTTCTGAGAATGATTCTGTCTAGTTTTTATTTGAAGATATTTCCTTTTCTACTGTTGGCATCAAATCGCTTGAAATCTCCACTTGCAAATTCCACAAAAAGAGTGTTTCAAATCTGCTCTGTGCAAAGGGACGTTCCACTCTGTGAGTTGAATACACACAGCACAAAGAAGTTACTGAGAATTCTTCTGTCTAGCATGAAATGAAGAAATCCCGTTTCCAACGAAGGCCTCAATGCGGTCCATATATCCACTTGCAGACTTTACAAACAGAGTGTTTCCAAACTGCTCTATGAAAAGAAAGGTTAAACTATGTGAGTTGAACGCACACATCACAAAGAATTTTCTGAGAATGATTCTGTCTGGTTTTTATTTGAAGATATTTCCCTTTCTACTGTTGGCATCAAATGGCTAGAAATCTCCACTTGCAAATTCCGCAAAAAGAGTGTTTCAAATCTGCTCTGTCTAAAGGGACGTTCCACTCTGTGAGTTGAATGCACACAACACAAAGAATTTACTGAGAATTCTTCCGTCTAGCATTCAATGAAGAAATCCCGTTTCCAACGAAGGCCTCAAACAGGTCCATATATCCAATTGCAGACTTTACAAACAGTGTGTTTCCAAACTCCTCTATGAAAAGAAAGGTTAAACTCTGTGAGTTGAACGCACACATCACAAAGCACTTTCTGAGAATGATTCTGTCTGGTTATTATACGAAGATATTTCCTTTTCTGCAATTGTCCTCATATCGCTTGAAATCTCCACCTGAAAATGCCACAGCAAGAGTGTTTCAAATCTGCTCTCTCTAAAGCAAGGTTCAACTCTGTGAGTTGAATACACACAACACAAAAAAGTTACTGAGAACTCTTCTTAGTCTAGCATGAAAGGAAGAAACCCCGTTTGCAACGAAGGCCTCAAAGAGGTCCAAATATCCACTTGCAGACATAACAAGCAGAGTGTTTCTAAACTGCTCTAAGAAAAGAAAGGTTAAACTCTGTGAGTTGAAGGCACACATCACAAAGTAGTTTCTGAGAATGATTCTGTCTAGTTTTTATTTGAAGATATTTCCTTTTCTACTGTTGGCATCAAATCGCTTGAAATCTCCACTTGCAAACTCCACAAAAAGAGTGTTTCAAATCTGCTCTGTGCAAAGGGACGTTCCACTCTGTGAGTTGAATACACACAGCACAAAGAAGTTACTGAGAATTCTTCTGTCTAGCATGAAATGAAGAAATCCCGTTTCCAACGAAGGCCTCAATGCGGTCCATAGATCCACTTGCAGACTTTACAAACAGAGTGTTTCCAAACTGCTCTATGAAAAGAAAGGTTAAACTATGTGAGTTGAACGCACACATCACAAAGAATTTTCTGAGAATGATTCTGTCTGGTTTTTATTTGAAGATATTTCCCTTTCTACTGTTGGCATCAAATGGCTAGAAATCTCCACTTGCAAATTCCGCAAAAAGAGTGTTTCAAATCTGCTCTGTCTAAAGGGACGTTCCACTCTGTGAGTTGAATGCACACAACACAAAGAATTTACTGAGAATTCTTCCGTCTAGCATTCAATGAAGAAATCCCGTTTCCAACGAAGGCCTCAAACAGGTCCATATATCCACTTGCAGACTTTACAAACAGTGTGTTTCCAAACTCCTCTATGAAAAGAAAGGTTAAACTCTGTGAGTTGAACGCACACATCACAAAGCACTTTCTGAGAATGATTCTGTCTGGTTATTATACGAAGATATTTCCTTTTCTGCAATTGTCCTCAAATCGCTTGAAATCTCCACCTGAAAATGCCACAGCAAGAGTGTTTCAAATCTGCTCTCTCTAAAGCAAGGTTCAACTCTGTGAGTTGAATACACACAACACAAAAAAGTTACTGAGAACTCTTCTTAGTCTAGCATGAAAGGAAGAAACCCCGTTTGCAACGAAGGCCTCAAAGAGGTCCAAATATCCACTTGCAGACATAACAAGCAGAGTGTTTCTAAACTGCTCTAAGAAAAGAAAGGTTAAACTCTGTGAGTTGAAGGCACACATCACAAAGTAGTTTCTGAGAATGATTCTGTCTAGTTTTTATTTGAAGATATTTCCTTTTCTACTGTTGGCATCAAATCGCTTGAAATCTCCACTTGCAAATTCCACAAAAAGAGTGTTTCAAATCTGCTCTGTGCAAAGGGACGTTCCACTCTGTGAGTTGAATACACACAGCACAAAGAAGTTACTGAGAATTCTTCTGTCTAGCATGAAATGAAGAAATCCCGTTTCCAACGAAGGCCTCAATGCGGTCCATATATCCACTTGCAGACTTTACAAACAGAGTGTTTCCAAACTGCTCTATGAAAAGAAAGGTTAAACTATGTGAGTTGAACGCACACATCACAAAGAATTTTCTGAGAATGATTCTGTCTGGTTTTTATTTGAAGATGTTTCCCTTTCTACTGTTGGCATCAAATGGCTAGAAATCTCCACTTGCAAATTCCGCAAAAAGAGTGTTTCAAATCTGCTCTGTCTAAAGGGACGTTCCACTCTGTGAGTTGAATGCACACAACACAAAGAATTTACTGAGAATTCTTCCGTCTAGCATTCAATGAAGAAATCCCGTTTCCAACGAAGGCCTCAAACAGGTCCATATATCCAATTGCAGACTTTACAAACAGTGTGTTTCCAAACTCCTCTATGGAAAGAAAGGTTAAACTCTGTGAGTTGAACGCACACATCACAAAGCACTTTCTGAGAATGATTCTGTCTGGTTATTATACGAAGATATTTCCTTTTCTGCAATTGTCCTCAAATCGCTTGAAATCTCCACCTGAAAATGCCACAGCAAGAGTGTTTCAAATCTGCTCTCTCTAAAGCAAGGTTCAACTCTGTGAGTTGAATACACACAACACAAAAAAGTTACTGAGAACTCTTCTTAGTCTAGCATGAAAGGAAGAAACCCCGTTTGCAACGAAGGCCTCAAAGAGGTCCAAATATCCACTTGCAGACATAACAAGCAGAGTGTTTCTAAACTGCTCTAAGAAAAGAAAGGTTAAACTCTGTGAGTTGAAGGCACACATCACAAAGTAGTTTCTGAGAATGATTCTGTCTAGTTTTTATTTGAAGATATTTCCTTTTCTACTGTTGGCATCAAATCGCTTGAAATCTCCACTTGCAAACTCCACAAAAAGAGTGTTTCAAATCTGCTCTGTGCAAAGGGACGTTCCACTCTGTGAGTTGAATACACACAGCACAAAGAAGTTACTGAGAATTCTTCTGTCTAGCATGAAATGAAGAAATCCCGTTTCCAACGAAGGCCTCAATGCGGTCCATATATCCACTTGCAGACTTTACAAACAGAGTGTTTCCAAACTGCTCTATGAAAAGAAAGGTTAAACTATGTGAGTTGAACGCACACATCACAAAGAATTTTCTGAGAATGATTCTGTCTGGTTTTTATTTGAAGATATTTCCCTTTCTACTGTTGGCATCAAATGGCTAGAAATCTCCACTTGCAAATTCCGCAAAAAGAGTGTTTCAAATCTGCTCTGTCTAAAGGGACGTTCCACTCTGTGAGTTGAATGCACACAACACAAAGAATTTACTGAGAATTCTTCCGTCTAGCATTCAATGAAGAAATCCCGTTTCCAACGAAGGCCTCAAACAGGTCCATATATCCACTTGCAGACTTTACAAACAGTGTGTTTCCAAACTCCTCTATGAAAAGAAAGGTTAAACTCTGTGAGTGGAACGCACACATCACAAAGCACTTTCTGAGAATGATTCTGTCTGGTTATTATACGAAGATATTTCCTTTTCTGCAATTGTCCTCAAAACGCTTGAAATCTCCACCTGAAAATGCCACAGCAAGAGTGTTTCAAATCTGCTCTCTCTAAAGCAAGGTTCAACTCTGTGAGTTGAATACACACAACACAGAAAAGTTACTGAGAACTCTTCTTAGTCTAGCATGAAAGGAAGAAACCCCGTTTGCAACGAAGGCCTCAAAGAGGTCCAAATATCCACTTGCAGACATAACAAGCAGAGTGTTTCTAAACTGCTCTAAGAAAAGAAAGGTTAAACTCTGTGAGTTGAAGGCACACATCACAAAGTAGTTTCTGAGAATGATTCTGTCTAGTTTTTATTTGAAGATATTTCCTTTTCTACTGTTGGCATCAAATCGCTTGAAATCTCCACTTGCAAACTCCACAAAAAGAGTGTTTCAAATCTGCTCTGTGTAAAGGGACGTTCCACTCTGTGAGTTGAATACACACAGCACAAAGAAGTTACTGAGAATTCTTCTGTCTAGCATGAAATGAAGAAATCCCGTTTCCAACGAAGGCCTCAATGCGGTCCATATATCCACTTGCAGACTTTACAAACAGAGTGTTTCCAAACTGCTCTATGAAAAGAAAGGTTAAACTATGTGAGTTGAACGCACACATCACAAAGAATTTTCTGAGAATGATTCTGTCTGGTTTTTATTTGAAGATATTTCCCTTTCTACTGTTGGCATCAAATGGCTAGAAATCTCCACTTGCAAATTCCGCAAAAAGAGTGTTTCAAATCTGCTCTGTCTAAAGGGACGTTCCACTCTGTGAGTTGAATGCACACAACACAAAGAATTTACTGAGAATTCTTCCGTCTAGCATTCAATGAAGAATTCCCGTTTCCAACGAAGGCCTCAAAGAGGTCCATATATCCACTTGCAGACTTTACAAACAGTGTGTTTCCAAACTCCTCTATGAAAAGAAAGGTTAAACTCTGTGAGTTGAACGCACACATCACAAAGCACTTTCTGAGAATGATTCTGTCTGGTTATTATACGAAGATATTTCCTTTTCTGCAATTGTCCTCAAATCGCTTGAAATCTCCACCTGAAAATGCCACAGCAAGAGTGTTTCAAATCTGCTCTCTCTAAAGCAAGGTTCAACTCTGTGAGTTGAATACACACAACACAAAAAAGTTACTGAGAACTCTTCTTAGTCTAGCATTAAAGGAAGAAACCCCGTTTGCAACGAAGGCCTCAAAGAGGTCCAAATATCCACTTGCAGACATAACAAGCAGAGTGTTTCTAAACTGCTCTAAGAAAAGAAAGGTTAAACTCTGTGAGTTGAAGGCACACATCACAAAGTAGTTTCTGAGAATGATTCTGTCTAGTTTTTATTTGAAGATATTTCCTTTTCTACTGTTGGCATCAAATCGCTTGAAATCTCCACTTGCAAATTCCACAAAAAGAGTGTTTCAAATCTGCTCTGTGCAAAGGGACATTCCACTCTGTGAGTTGAATACACACAGCACAAAGAAGTTACTGAGAATTCTTCTGTCTAGCATGAAATGAAGAAATCCCGTTTCCAACGAAGGCCTCAATGCGGTCCATATATCCACTTGCAGACTTTACAAACAGAGTGTTTCCAAACTGCTCTATGAAAAGAAAGGTTAAACTATGTGAGTTGAACGCACACATCACAAAGAATTTTCTGAGAATGATTCTGTCTGGTTTTTATTTGAAGATATTTCCCTTTCTACTGTTGGCATCAAATGGCTAGAAATCTCCACTTGCAAATTCCGCAAAAAGAGTGTTTCAAATCTGCTCTGTCTAAAGGGACGTTCCACTCTGTGAGTTGAATGCACACAACACAAAGAATTTACTGAGAATTCTTCCGTCTAGCATTCAATGAAGAAATCCCGTTTCCAACGAAGGCCTCAAACAGGTCCATATATCCACTTGCAGACTTTACAAACAGTGTGTTTCCAAACTCCTCTATGAAAAGAAAGGTTAAACTCTGTGAGTTGAACGCACACATCACAAAGCACTTTCTGAGAATGATTCTGTCTGGTTATTATACGAAGATATTTCCTTTTCTGCAATTGTCCTCAAATCGCTTGAAATCTCCACCTGAAAATGCCACAGCAAGAGTGTTTCAAATCTGCTCTCTGTAAAGCAAGGTTCAACTCTGTGAGTTGAATACACACAACACAAAAAAGTTACTGAGAACTCTTCTTAGTCTAGCATGAAAGGAAAAAATCCCGTTTGCAACGAAGGCCTCAAAGAGGTCCAAATATCCACTTGCAGACATAACAAGCAGAGTGTTTCTAAACTGCTCTAAGAAAAGAAAGGTTAAACTCTGTGAGTTGAAGGCACACATCACAAAGTAGTTTCTGAGAATGATTCTGTCTAGTTTTTATTTGAAGATATTTCCTTTTCTACTGTTGGCATCAAATCGCTTGAAATCTCCACTTGCAAACTCCACAAAAAGAGTGTTTAAAATCTGCTCTGTGCAAAGGGACGTTCCAATCTGTGAGTTGAATACACACAGCACAAAGAAGTTACTGAGAATTCTTCTGTCTAGCATGAAATGAAGAAATCCCGTTTCCAACGAAGGCCTCAATGCGGTCCATATATCCACTTGCAGACTTTACAAACAGAGTGTTTCCAAACTGCTCTATGAAAAGAAAGGTTAAACTATGTGAGTTGAACGCACACATCACAAAGAATTTTCTGAGAATGATTCTGTCTGGTTTTTATTTGAAGATATTTCCCTTTCTACTGTTGGCATCAAATGGCTAGAAATCTCCACTTGCAAATTCCGCAAAAAGAGTGTTTCAAATCTGCTCTGTCTAAAGGGACGTTCCACTCTGTGAGTTGAATGCACACAACACAAAGAATTTACTGAGAATTCTTCCGTCTAGCATTCAATGAAGAAATCCCGTTTCCAACGAAGGGCTCAAACAGGTCCATATATCCACTTGCAGACTTTACAAACAGTGTGTTTCCAAACTCCTCTATGAAAAGAAAGGTTAAACTCTGTGAGTTGAACGCACACATCAAAAAGCACTTTCTGAGAATGATTCTGTCTGGTTATTATACGAAGATATTTCCTTTTCTGCAATTGTCCTCAAATCGCTTGAAATCTCCACCTGAAAATGCCACAGCAAGAGTGTTTCAAATCTGCTCTCTCTAAAGCAAGGTTCAACTCTGTGAGTTGAATACACACAACACAAAAAAGTTACTGAGAACTCTTCTTAGTCTAGCATGAAAGGAAGAAACCCCGTTTGCAACGAAGGCCTCAAAGAGGTCCAAATATCCACTTGCAGACATAACAAGCAGAGTGTTTCTAAACTGCTCTAAGAAAAGAAAGGTTAAACTCTGTGAGTTGAAGGCACACATCACAAAGTAGTTTCTGAGAATGATTCTGTCTAGTTTTTATTTGAAGATATTTCCTTTTCTACTGTTGGCATCAAATCGCTTGAAATCTCCACTTGCAAACTCCACAAAAAGAGTGTTTCAAATCTGCTCTGTGCAAAGGGACGTTCCACTCCTGTGAGTTGAATACACACAGCACAAAGAAGTTACTGAGAATTACTCTGTCTAGCATGAAATGAAGAATCCCGTTTCCAACGAAGGCCTCAATGCGGTCCATATATCCACTTGCAGACTTTACAAACAGAGTGTTTCCAAACTGCTCTATGAAAAGAAAGGTTAAACTATGTGAGTTGAACGCACACATCACAAAGAATTTTCTGAGAATGATTCTGTCTGGTTTTTATTTGAAGATATTTCCCTTTCTACTGTTGGCATCAAATGGCTAGAAATCTCCACTTGCAAATTCCGCAAAAAGAGTGTTTCAAATCTGCTCTGTCTAAAGGGACGTTCCACTCTGTGAGTTGAATGCACACAACACAAAGAATTTACTGAGAATTCTTCCGTCTAGCATTCAATGAAGAAATCCCGTTTCCAACGAAGGCCTCAAACAGGTCCATATATCCAATTGCAGACTTTACAAACAGTGTGTTTCCAAACTCCTCTATGAAAAGAAAGGTTAAACTCTGTGAGTTGAACGCACACATCACAAAGCACTTTCTGAGAATGATTCTGTCTGGTTGTTATACGAAGATATTTCCTTTTCTGCAATTGTCCTCAAATCGCTTGAAATCTCCACCTGAAAATGCCACAGCAAGAGTGTTTCAAATCTGCTCTCTCTAAAGCAAGGTTCAACTCTGTGAGTTGAATACACACAACACAAAAAAGTTACTGAGAACTCTTCCGTCTAGCATTCAATGAAGAAATCCCGTTTCCAACGAAGGGCCTCAAAGAGGTCCATATATCCACTTGCAGACTTTACAAACAGTGTGTTTCCAAACTCCTCTATGAAAAGAAAGGTTAAACTCTGTGAGTGGAATGCACACATCACAAAGCACTTTCTGAGAATGATTCTGTCTAGTTTTTGTTTGCAGATATTTCCTTTTCTACTGTTGGCATCAAATCGCTTGAAATCTCCACTTGCAAACTCCACAAAAAGAGTGTTTCAAATCTGCTCTGTGTAAAGGGACGTTCCACTCTGTGAGTTGAATACACACAGCACAAAGAAGTTACTGAGAATTCTTCTGTCTAGCATGAAATGAAGAAATCCCGTTTCCAACGAAGGCCTCAATGCGGTCCATATATCCACTTGCAGACTTTACAAACAGAGTGTTTCCAAACTGCTCTATGAAAAGAATGGTTAAACTATGTGAGTTGAACGCACACATCACAAAGAATTTTCTGAGAATGATTCTGTCTGGTTCTTATTTGAAGATATTTCCCTTTCTACTGTTGGCATCAAATGGCTAGAAATCTCCACTTGCAAATTCCGCAAAAAGAGTGTTTCAAATCTGCTCTGTCTAAAGGGACGTTCCACTCTGTGAGTTGAATGCACACAGCACAAAGAATTTACTGAGAATTCTTCTGTCTAGCATGAAATGAAGAAATCCCATTTCCAACGAAGGCCTCAAAGCGGTCCATATATCCACTTGCAGACATTACCAACAGAGTGTTCCCAAACTGCTCTATGAAAAGAAAGGTTAAACTATGTGAGTTGAACGCACACATCACAAAGAATTTTCTGAGAATGATTCTGTCTGGTTATTATACGAAGATATTTCCTTTTCTGCAATTGTCCTCAAATCGCTTGAAATCTCCACCTGAAAATGCCACAGCAAGAGTGTTTCAAATCTGCTCTCTCTAAAGCAAGGTTCAACTCTGTGAGTTGAATACACACAACACAAAAAAGTTACTGAGAACTCTTCTTAGTCTAGCATGAAAGGAAGAAACCCCGTTTGCAACGAAGGCCTCAAAGAGGTCCAAATATCCACTTGCAGACATAACAAGCAGAGTGTTTCTAAACTGCTCTAAGAAAAGAAAGGTTAAACTCTGTGAGTTGAAGGCACACATCACAAAGTAGTTCCTGAGAATGATTCTGTCTAGTTTTTATTTGAAGATATTTCCTTTTCTACTGTTGGCATCAAATCGCTTGAAATCTCCACTTGCAAACTCCACAAAAAGAGTGTTTCAAATCTGCTCTGTGCAAAGGGACGTTCCACTCTGTGAGTTGAATACACACAGCACAAAGAAGTTACTGAGAATTCTTCTGTCTAGCATGAAATGAAGAAATCCCGTTTCCAACGAAGGCCTCAATGCGGTCCATATATCCACTTGCAGACTTTACAAACAGAGTGTTTCCAAACTGCTCTATGAAAAGAAAGGTTAAACTATGTGAGTTGAACGCACACATCACAAAGAATTTTCTGAGAATGATTCTGTCTGGTTTTTATTTGAAGATATTTCCCTTTCTACTGTTGGCATCAAATGGCTAGAAATCTCCACTTGCAAATTCCGCAAAAAGAGTGTTTCAAATCTGCTCTGTCTAAAGGGACGTTCCACTCTGTGAGTTGAATGCACACAACACAAAGAATTTACTGAGAATTCTTCCGTCTAGCATTCAATGAAGAAATCCCGTTTCCAACGAAGGCCTCAAACAGGTCCATATATCCACTTGCAGACTTTACAAACAGTGTGTTTCCAAACTCCTCTATGAAAAGAAAGGTTAAACTCTGTGAGTGGAACGCACACATCACAAAGCACTTTCTGAGAATGATTCTGTCTGGTTGTTATACGAAGATATTTCCTTTTCTGCAATTGTCCTCAAATCGCTTGAAATTTCCACCTGAAAATGCCACAGCAAGAGTGTTTCAAATCTGCTCTCTCTAAAGCAAGGTTCAACTCTGTGAGTTGAATACACACAACACAAAAAAGTTACTGAGAACTCTTCTTAGTCTAGCATTAAAGGAAGAAACCCCGTTTGCAACGAAGGCCTCAAAGAGTTCCAAATATCCACTTGCAGACATAACAAGCAGAGTGTTTCTAAACTGCTCTAAGAAAAGAAAGGTTAAACTCTGTGAGTTGAAGGCACACATCACAAGGTAGTTTCTGAGAATGATTCTGTCTAGTTTTTATTTGAAGATATTTCCTTTTCTACTGTTGGCATCAAATCGCTTGAAATCTCCACTTGCAAACTCCACAAAAAGAGTGTTTCAAATCTGCTCTGTGCAAAGGGACGTTCCACTCTGTGAGTTGAATACACACAGCACAAAGAAGTTACTGAGAATTCTTCTGTCTAGCATGAAATGAAGAAATCCCGTTTCCAACGAAGGCCTCAATGCGGTCCATATATCCACTTGCAGACTTTACAAACAGAGTGTTTCCAAACTGCTCTATGAAAAGAAAGGTTAAACTATGTGAGTTGAACGCACACATCACAAAGAATTTTCTGAGAATGATTCTGTCTGGTTTTTATTTGAAGATATTTCCCTTTCTACTGTTGGCATCAAATGGCTAGAAATCTCCACTTGCAAATTCCGCAAAAAGAGTGTTTCAAATCTGCTCTGTCTAAAGGGACGTTCCACTCTGTGAGTTGAATGCACACAACACAAAGAATTTACTGAGAATTCTTCCGTCTAGCATTCAATGAAGAAATCCCGTTTCCAACGAAGGCCTCAAACAGGTCCATATATCCAATTGCAGACTTTACAAACAGTGTGTTTCCAAACTCCTCTATGAAAAGAAAGGTTAAACTCTGTGAGTTGAACGCACACAACACAAAGCACTTTCTGAGAATGATTCTGTCTGGTTATTATACGAAGATATTTCCTTTTCTGCAATTGTCCTCAAAACGCTTGAAATCTCCACCTGAAAATGCCACAGCAAGAGTGTTTCAAATCTGCTCTCTCTAAAGCAAGGTTCAACTCTGTGAGTTGAATACACACAACACAAAAAAGTTACTGAGAACTCTTCTTAGTCTAGCATGAAAGGAAGAAACCCCGTTTGCAACGAAGGCCTCAAAGAGGTCCAAATATCCACTTGCAGACATAACAAGCAGAGTGTTTCTAAACTGCTCTAAGAAAAGAAAGGTTAAACTCTGTGAGTTGAAGGCACACATCACAAAGTAGTTTCTGAGAATGATTCTGTCTAGTTTTTATTTGAAGATATTTCCTTTTCTACTGTTGGCATCAAATCGCTTGAAATCTCCACTTGCAAACTCCACAAAAAGAGTGTTTCAAATCTGCTCTGTGTAAAGGGACGTTCCACTCTGTGAGTTGAATACACACAGCACAAAGAAGTTACTGAGAATTCTTCTGTCTAGCATGAAATGAAGAAATCCCGTTTCCAACGAAGGCCTCAATGCGGTCCATATATCCACTTGCAGACTTTACAAACAGAGTGTTTCCAAACTGCTCTATGAAAAGAAAGGTTAAACTATGTGAGTTGAACGCACACATCACAAAGAATTTTCTGAGAATGATTCTGTCTGGTTTTTATTTGAAGATATTTCCCTTTCTACTGTTGGCATCAAATGGCTAGAAATCTCCACTTGCAAATTCCGCAAAAAGAGTGTTTCAAATCTGCTCTGTCTAAAGGGACGTTCCACTCTGTCAGTTGAATGCACACAACACAAAGAATTTACTGAGAATTCTTCCGTCTAGCATTCAATGAAGAAATCCCGTTTCCAACGAAGGCCTCAAACAGGTCCATATATCCAATTGCAGACTTTACAAACAGTGTGTTTCCAAACTCCTCTATGAAAAGAAAGGTTAAACTCTGTGAGTTGAACGCACACATCACAAAGCACTTTCTGAGAATGATTCTGTCTGGTTGTTATACGAAGATATTTCCTTTTCTGCAATTGTCCTCAAATCGCTTGAAATCTCCACCTGAAAATGCCACAGCAAGAGTGTTTCAAATCTGCTCTCTCTAAAGCAAGGTTCAGCTCTGCGAGTTGAATACACACAACACAAAAAAGTTACTGAGAACTCTTCTTAGTCTAGCATGAAAGGAAGAAACCCCGTTTGCAACGAAGGCCTCAAAGAGGTCCAAATATCCACTTGCAGACATAACAAGCAGAGTGTTTCTAAACTGCTCTAAGAAAAGAAAGGTTAAACTCTGTGAGTTGAAGGCACACATCACAAAGTAGTTTCTGAGAATGATTCTGTCTAGTTTTTATTTGAAGATATTTCCTTTTCTACTGTTGGCATCAAATCGCTTGTAATCTCCACTTGCAAATTCCACAAAAAGAGTGTTTCAAATCTGTTCTGTGTAAAGGAACGTTCCACTCTGTGAGTTGAATACACACAGCACAAAGAAGTTACTGAGAATTCTTCTGTCTAGCATGAAATGAAGAAATCCCGTTTCCAACCAAGGCCTCAATGCGGTCCATATATCCACTTGCAGACTTTACAAACAGAGTGTTTCCAAACTGCTCTATGAAAAGAAAGGTTAAACTATGTGAGTTGAACGCACACATCACAAAGAATTTTCTGAGAATGATTCTGTCTGGTTTTTATTTGAAGATATTTCCCTTTCTACTGTTGGCATCAAATGGCTAGAAATCTCCACTTGCAAATTCCGCAAAAAGAGTGTTTCAAATCTGCTCTGTCTAAAGGGACGTTCCACTCTGTGAGTTGAATGCACACAACACAAAGAATTTACTGAGAATTCTTCCGTCTAGCATTCAATGAAGAAATCCCGTTTCCAACGAAGGCCTCAAACAGGTCCATATATCCACTTGCAGACTTTACAAACAGTGTGTTTCCAAACTCCTCTATGAAAAGAAAGGTTAAACTCTGTGAGTGGAACGCACACATCACAAAGCACTTTCTGAGAATGATTCTGTCTGGTTATTATACGAAGATATTTCCTTTTCTGCAATTGTCCTCAAATCGCTTGAAATCTCCACCTGAAAATGCCACAGCAAGAGTGTTTCAAATCTGCTCTCTCTAAAGCAAGGTTCAACTCTGTGAGTTGAATACACACAACACAAAAAAGTTACTGAGAACTCTTCTTAGTCTAGCATGAAAGGAAGAAACCCCGTTTGCAACGAAGGCCTCAAAGAGGTCCAAATATCCACTTGCAGACATAACAAGCAGAGTGTTTCTAAACTGCTCTAAGAAAAGAAAGGTTAAACTCTGTGAGTTGAAGGCACACATCACAAAGTAGTTTCTGAGAATGATTCTGTCTAGTTTTTATTTGAAGATATTTCCTTTTCTACTGTTGGCATCAAATCGCTTGAAATCTCCACTTGCAAATTCCACAAAAAGAGTGTTTCAAATCTGCTCTGTGTAAAGGAACTTTCCACTCTGTGAGTTGAATACACACAGCACAAAGAAGTTACTGAGAATTCTTCTGTCTAGCATGAAATGAAGAAATCCCGTTTCCAACGAAGGCCTCAATGCGGTCCATATATCCACTTGCAGACTTTACAAACAGAGTGTTTCCAAACTGCTCTATGAAAAGAAAGGTTAAACTATGTGAGTTGAACGCACACATCACAAAGAATTTTCTGAGAATGATTCTGTCTGGTTTTTATTTGAAGATATTTCCCTTTCTACTGTTGGCATCAAATGGCTAGAAATCTCCACTTGCAAATTCCGCAAAAAGAGTGTTTCAAATCTGCTCTGTCTAAAGGGACGTTCCACTCTGTGAGTTGAATGCACACAACACAAAGAATTTACTGAGAATTCTTCCGTCTAGCATTCAATGAAGAAATCCCGTTTCCAACGAAGGCCTCAAACAGGTCCATATATCCAATTGCAGACTTTACAAACAGTGTGTTTCCAAACTCCTCTATGAAAAGAAAGGTTAAACTCTGTGAGTGGAACGTACACATCACAAAGCACTTTCTGAGAATGATTCTGTCTGGTTGTTATACGAAGATATTTCCTTTTCTGCAATTGTCCTCAAATCGCTTGAAATCTCCACCTGAAAATGTCACAGCAAGAGTGTTTCAAATCTGCTCTCTCTAAAGCAAGGTTCAACTCTGTGAGTTGAATACACACAACACAGAAAAGTTACTGAGAACTCTTCTTAGTCTAGCATGAAAGGAAGAAACCCCGTTTGCAACGAAGGCCTCAAAGAGGTCCAAATATCCACTTGCAGACATAACAAGCAGAGTGTTTCTAAACTGCTCTAAGAAAAGAAAGGTTAAACTCTGTGAGTTGAAGGCACACATCACAAAGTAGTTTCTGAGAATGATTCTGTCTAGTTTTTATTTGAAGATATTTCCTTTTCTACTGTTGGCATCAAATCGCTTGAAATCTCCACTTGCAAACTCCACAAAAAGAGTGTTTCAAATCTGCTCTGTGCAAAGGGACGTTCCACTCTGTGAGTTGAATACACGCAGCACAAAGAAGTTACTGAGAATTCTTCTGTCTAGCATGAAATGAAGAAATCCCGTTTCCAACGAAGGCCTCAATGCGGTCCATATATCCACTTGCAGACTTTACAAACAGAGTGTTTCCAAACTGCTCTATGAAAAGAAAGGTTAAACTATGTGAGTTGAACGCACACATCACAAAGAATTTTCTGAGAATGATTCTGTCTGGTTTTTATTTGAAGATATTTCCCTTTCTACTGTTGGCATCAAATGGCTAGAAATCTCCACTTGCAAATTCCGCAAAAAGAGTGTTTCAAATCTGCTCTGCCTAAAGGGACGTTCCACTCTGTGAGTTGAATGCACACAACACAAAGAATTTACTGAGAATTCTTCCGTCTAGCATTCAATAAAGAAATCCCGTTTCCAACGAAGGCCTCAAACAGGTCCATATATCCACTTGCAGAGTTTACAAACAGTTTGTTTCCAAACTCCTCTATGAAAAGAAAGGTTAAACTCTGTGAGTGGAACGCACACATCACAAAGCACTTTCTGAGAATGATTCTGTCTGGTTATTATACGAAGATATTTCCTTTTCTGCAATTGTCCTCAAATCGCTTGAAATCTCCACCTGAAAATGCCACAGCAAGAGTGTTTCAAATCTGCTCTCTCTAAAGCAAGGTTCAACTCTGTGAGTTGAATACACACAACACAAAAATGTTACTGAGAACTCTTCTTAGTCTAGCATGAAAGGAAGAAACCCCGTTTGCAACGAAGGCCTCAAAGAGGTCCAAATATCCACTTGCAGACATAACAAGCAGAGTGTTTCTAAACTGCTCTAAGAAAAGAAAGGTTAAACTCTGTGAGTTGAAGGCACACATCACAAAGTAGTTTCTGAGAATGATTCTGTCTAGTTTTTATTTGAAGATATTTCCTTTTCTACTGTTGGCATCAAATCGCTTGAAATCTCCACTTGCAAACTCCACAAAAAGAGTGTTTCAAATCTGCTCTGTGTAAAGGGACGTTCCACTCTGTGAGTTGAATACACACAGCACAAAGAAGTTACTGAGAATTCTTCTGTCTAGCATGAAATGAAGAAATCCCGTTTCCAACGAAGGCCTCAATGCGGTCCATATATCCACTTGCAGACTTTACAAACAGAGTGTTTCCAAACTGCTCTATGAAAAGAAAGGTTAAACTATGTGAGTTGAACGCACACATCACAAAGAATTTTCTGAGAATGATTCTGTCTGGTTTTTATTTGAAGATATTTCCCTTTCTACTGTTGGCATCAAATGGCTAGAAATCTCCACTTGCAAATTCCGCAAAAAGAGTGTTTCAAATCTGCTCTGTCTAAAGGGACGTTCCACTCTGTGAGTTGAATGCACACAACACAAAGAATTTACTGAGAATTCTTCCGTCTAGCATTCAATGAAGAAATCCCGTTTCCAACGAAGGCCTCAAACAGGTCCATATATCCACTTGCAGACTTTACAAACAGTGTGTTTCCAAACTCCTCTATGAAAAGAAAGGTTAAACTCTGTGAGTGGAACGCACACATCACAAAGCACTTTCTGAGAATGATTCTGTCTGGTTATTATACGAAGATATTTCCTTTTCTGCAATTGTCCTCAAATCGCTTGAAATCTCCACCTGAAAATGCCACAGCAAGAGTGTTTCAAATCTGCTCTCTCTAAAGCAAGGTTCAACTCTGTGAGTTGAATACACACAACACAAAAAAGTTACTGAGAACTCTTCTTAGTCTAGCATGAAAGGAAGAAACCCCGTTTGCAACGAAGGCCTCAAAGAGGTCCAAATATCCACTTGCAGACATAACAAGCAGAGTGTTTCTAAACTGCTCTAAGAAAAGAAAGGTTAAACTCTGTGAGTTGAAGGCACACATCACAAAGTAGTTTCTGAGAATGATTCTGTCTAGTTTTTATTTGAAGATATTTCCTTTTCTACTGTTGGCATCAAATCGCTTGAAATCTCCACTTGCAAACTCCACAAAAAGAGTGTTTCAAATCTGCTCTGTGCAAAGGGACGTTCCACTCTGTGAGTTGAATACACACAGCACAAAGAAGTTACTGAGAATTCTTCTGTCTAGCATGAAATGAAGAAATCCCGTTTCCAACGAAGGCCTCAATGCGGTCCATATATCCACTTGCAGACTTTACAAACAGAGTGTTTCCAAACTGCTCTATGAAAAGAAAGGTTAAACTATGTGAGTTGAACGCACACATCACAAAGAATTTTCTGAGAATGATTCTGTCTGGTTTTTATTTGAAGATATTTCCCTTTCTACTGTTGGCATCAAATGGCTAGAAATCTCCACTTGCAAATTCCGCAAAAAGAGTGTTTCAAATCTGCTCTGTCTAAAGGGACGTTCCACTCTGTGAGTTGAATGCACACAACACAAAGAATTTACTGAGAATTCTTCCGTCTAGCATTCAATGAAGAAATCCCGTTTCCAACGAAGGCCTCAAACAGGTCCATATATCCACTTGCAGACTTTACAAACAGTGTGTTTCCAAACTCCTCTATGAAAAGAAAGGTTAAACTCTGTGAGTGGAACGCACACATCACAAAGCACTTTCTGAGAATGATTCTGTCTGGTTATTATACGAAGATATTTCCTTTTCTGCAATTGTCCTCAAATCGCTTGAAATCTCCACCTGAAAATGCCACAGCAAGAGTGTTTCAAATCTGCTCTCTCTAAAGCAAGGTTCAACTCTGTGAGTTGAATACACACAACACAAAAAAGTTACTGAGAACTCTTCTTAGTCTAGCATGAAAGGAAGAAACCCCGTTTGCAACGAAGGCCTCAAAGAGGTCCAAATATCCACTTGCAGACATAACAAGCAGAGTGTTTCTAAACTGCTCTAAGAAAAGAAAGGTTAAACTCTGTGAGTTGAAGGCACACATCACAAAGCAGTTTCTGAGAATGATTCTGTCTAGTTTTTATTTGAAGATATTTCCTTTTCTACTGTTGGCATCAAATCGCTTGAATTCTCCACTTGCAAACTCCACAAAAAGAGTGTTTCAAATCTGCTCTGTGTAAAGGGACGTTCCACTCTGTGAGTTGAATACACACAGCACAAAGAAGTTACTGAGAATTCTTCTGTCTAGCATGAAATGAAGAAATCCCGTTTCCAACGAAGGCCTCAAAGCGGTCCATATATCCACTTGCAGACATTACCAACAGAGTGTTCCCAAACTGCTCTATGAAAAGAAAGGTTAAACTATGTGAGTTGAACGCACACATCACAAAGAATTTTCTGAGAATGATTCTGTCTGGTTTTTATTTGAAGATATTTCCCTTTCTACTGTTGGCATCAAATGGCTAGAAATCTCCACTTGCAAATTCCGCAAAAAGAGTGTTTCAAATCTGCTGTGTCTAAAGGGACGTTCCACTCTGTGAGTTGAATGCACACAACACAAAGAATTTACTGAGAATTCTTCCGTCTAGCATTCAATGAAGAAATCCCGTTTCCAACGAAGGCCTCAAACAGGTCCATATATCCACTTGCAGACTTTACAAACAGTGTGTTTCCAAACTCCTCTATGAAAAGAAAGGTTAAACTCTGTGAGTGGAACGCACACATCACAAAGCACTTTCTGAGAATGATTCTGTCTGGTTATTATACGAAGATATTTCCTTTTCTGCAATTGTCCTCAAATCGCTTGAAATCTCCACCTGAAAATGCCACAGCAAGAGTGTTTCAAATCTGCTCTCTCTAAAGCAAGGTTCAACTCTGTGAGTTGAATACACACAACACAAAAAAGTTACTGAGAACTCTTCTTAGTCTAGCATTAAAGGAAGAAACGCCGTTTGCAACGAAGGCCTCAAAGAGGTCCAAATATCCACTTGCAGACATAACAAGCAGAGTGTTTCTAAACTGCTCTAAGAAAAGAAATGTTAAACTCTGTGAGTTGAAGGCACACATCACAAAGTAGTTTCTGAGAATGATTCTGTCTAGTTTTTATTTGAAGATATTTCCTTTTCTACTGTTGGCATCAAATCGCTTGAAATCTCCACTTGCAAACTCCACAAAAAGAGTGTTTCAAATCTGCTCTGTGCAAAGGGACGTTCCACTCTGTGAGTTGAATACACACAGCACAAAGAAGTTACTGAGAATTCTTCTGTCTAGCATGAAATGAAGAAATCCCGTTTCCAACGAAGGCCTCAATGCGGTCCATATATCCACTTGCAGACTTTACAAACAGAGTGTTTCCAAACTGCTCTATGAAAAGAAAGGTTAAACTATGTGAGTTGAACGCACACATCACAAAGAATTTTCTGAGAATGATTCTGTCTGGTTTTTATTTGAAGATATTTCCCTTTCTACTGTTGGCATCAAATGGCTAGAAATCTCCACTTGCAAATTCCGCAAAAAGAGTGTTTCAAATCTGCTCTGTCTAAAGGGACGTTCCACTCTGTGAGTTGAATGCACACAACACAAAGAATTTACTGAGAATTCTTCCGTCTAGCATTCAATGAAGAAATCCCGTTTCCAACGAAGGCCTCAAACAGGTCCATATATCCACTTGCAGACTTTACAAACAGTGTGTTTCCAAACTCCTCTATGAAAAGAAAGGTTAAACTCTGTGAGTGGAACGCACACATCACAAAGCACTTTCTGAGAATGATTCTGTCTGGTTGTTATACGAAGATATTTCCTTTTCTGCAATTGTCCTCAAATCGCTTGAAATCTCCACCTGAAAATGTCACAGCAAGAGTGTTTCAAATCTGCTCTCTCTAAAGCAAGGTTCAACTCTGTGAGTTGAATACACACAACACAGAAAAGTTACTGAGAACTCTTCTTAGTCTAGCATGAAAGGAAGAAACCCCGTTTGCAACGAAGGCCTCAAAGAGGTCCAAATATCCACTTGCAGACATAACAAGCAGAGTGTTTCTAACCTGCTCTAAGAAAAGAAAGGTTAAACTCTGTGAGTTGAAGGCACACATCACAAAGTAGTTTCTGAGAATGATTCTGTCTAGTTTTTATTTGAAGATATTTCCTTTTCTACTGTTGGCATCAAATCGCTTGAAATCTCCACTTGCAAACTCCACAAAAAGAGTGTTTCAAATCTGCTCTGTGCAAAGGGACGTTCCACTCTGTGAGTTGAGTACAAACAGCACAAAGAAGTTACTGAGAATTCTTCTGTCTAGCATGAAATGAAGAAATCCCGTTTCCAACGAAGGCCTCAATGCGGTCCATATATCCACTTGCAGACTTTACAAACAGAGTGTTTCCAAACTGCTCTATGAAAAGAAAGGTTAAACTATGTGAGTTGAACGCACACATCACAAAGAATTTTCTGAGAATGATTCTGTCTGGTTTTTATTTGAAGATATTTCCCTTTCTACTGTTGGCATCAAATGGCTAGAAATCTCCACTTGCAAATTCCGCAAAAAGAGTGTTTCAAATCTGCTCTGTCTAAAGGGACGTTCCACTCTGTGAGTTGAATGCACACAACACAAAGAATTTACTGAGAATTCTTCCGTCTAGCATTCAATGAAGAAATCCCGTTTCCAAAGAAGGCCTCAAACAGGTCCATATATCCAATTGCAGACTTTACAAACAGTGTGTTTCCAAACTCCTCTATGAAAAGAAAGGTTAAACTCTGTGAGTTGAACGCACACATCACAAAGCACTTTCTGAGAATGATTCTGTCTGGTTATTATACGAAGATATTTCCTTTTCTGCAATTGTCCTCAAATCGCTTGAAATCTCCACCTGAAAATGCCACAGCAAGAGTGTTTCAAATCTGCTCTCTCTAAAGCAAGGTTCAACTCTGTGAGTTGAATACACACAACACAAAAAAGTTACTGAGAACTCTTCTTAGTCTAGCATGAAAGGAAGAAACCCCGTTTGCAACGAAGGCCTCAAAGAGGTCCAAATATCCACTTGCAGACATAACAAGCAGAGTGTTTCTAAACTGCTCTAAGAAAAGAAAGGTTAAACTCTGTGAGTTGAAGGCACACCTCACAAAGTAGTTTCTGAGAATGATTCTGTCTAGTTTTTATTTGAAGATATTTCCTTTTCTACTGTTGGCATCAAATCGCTTGAAATCTCCACTTGCAAACTCCACAAAAAGAGTGTTTCAAATCTGCTCTGTGTAAAGGGACGTTCCACTCTGTGAGTTGAATACACACAGCACAAAGAAGTTACTGAGAATTCTTCTGTCTAGCATGAAATGAAGAAATCCCGTTTCCAACGAAGGGCCTCAATGCGGTCCATATATCCACTTGCAGACTTTACAAACAGAGTGTTTCCAAACTGCTCTATGAAAAGAAAGGTTAAACTATGTGAGTTGAACGCACACATCACAAAGAATTTTCTGAGAATGATTCTGTCTAGTTTTTATTTGAAGATATTTCACTTTCTACTCTTGGCATCAAATGGCTAGAAATCTCCACTTGCAAATTCCGCAAAAAGAGTGTTTCAAATCTGCTCTGTCTAAAGGGACGTTCCACTCTGTGAGTTGAATGCACACAACACAATGAATTTACTGAGAATTCTTCCGTCTAGCATTCAATGAAGAAATCCCGTTTCCAACGAAGGCCTCAAACAGGTCCATATATCCAATTGCAGACTTTACAAACAGTGTGTTTCCAAACTCCTCTATGAAAAGAAAGGTTAAACTCTGTGAGTTGAACGCACACATCACAAAGCACTTTCTGAGAATGATTCTGTCTGGTTATTATACGAAGATATTTCCTTTTCTGCAATTGTCCTCAAATCGCTTGAAATCTCCACCTGAAAATGCCACAGCAAGAGTGTTTCAAATCTGCTCTCTCTAAAGCAAGGTTCAACTCTGTGAGTTGAATACACACAACACAAAAAAGTTACTGAGAACTCTTCTTAGTCTAGCATGAAAGGAAGAAACCCCGTTTGCAACGAAGGCCTCAAAGAGGTCCAAATATCCACTTGCAGACATAACAAGGAGAGTGTTTCTAAACTGCTCTAAGAAAAGAAAGGTTAAACTCTGTGAGTTGAAGGCACACATCACAAAGTAGTTTCTGAGAATGATTCTGTCTAGTTTTTATTTGAAGATATTTCCTTTTCTACTGTTGGCATCAAATCGCTTGAAATCTCCACTTGCAAACTCCACAAAAAGAGTGTTTCAAATCTGCTCTGTGTAAAGGGACGTTCCACTCTGTGAGTTGAATACACACAGCACAAAGGAGTTACTGAGAATTCTTCTGTCTAGCATGAAATGAAGAAATCCCGTTTCCAACGAAGGCCTCAATGCGGTCCATATATCCACTTGCAGACTTTACAAACAGAGTGTTTCCAAACTGCTCTATGAAAAGAAAGGTTAAACTATGTGAGTTGAACGCACACATCACAAAGAATTTTCTGAGAATGATTCTGTCTGGTTTTTATTTGAAGATATTTCCCTTTCTACTGTTGGCATCAAATGGCTAGAAATCTCCACTTGCAAATTCCGCAAAAAGAGTGTTTCAAATCTGCTCTGTCTAAAGGGACGTTCCACTCTGTCAGTTGAATGCACACAACGCAAAAAAGTTACTGAGAACTCTTCTTAGTCTAGCATTAAAGGAAGAAACCCCGTTTGCAACGAAGGCCTCAAAGAGGTCCAAATATCCACTTGCAGACATAACAAGCAGAGTGTTTCTAAACTGCTCTAAGAAAAGAAAGGTTAAACTCTGTGAGTTGAAGGCACACATCACAAAGTAGTTTCTGAGAATGATTCTGTCTAGTTTTTATTTGAAGATATTTCCTTTTCTACTGTTGGCATCAAATCACTTGAAATCTCCACTTGCAAATTCCACAAAAAGAGTGTTTCAAATCTGCTCTGTGTAAAGGGACGTTCCACTCTGTGAGTTGAATACACACAGCACAAAGAAGTTACTGAGAATTCTTCTGTCTAGCATGAAATGAAGAAATCCCGTTTCCAACGAAGGCCTCAATGCGGTCCATATATCCACTTGCAGACTTTACAAACAGAGTGTTTCCAAACTGCTCTATGAAAAGAAAGGTTAAACTATGTGAGTTGAACGCACACATCACAAAGAATTTTCTGAGAATGATTCTGTCTGGTTTTTATTTGAAGATATTTCCCTTTCTACTGTTGGCATCAAATGGCTAGAAATCTCCACTTGCAAATTCCGCAAAAAGAGTGTTTCAAATCTGCTCTGTCTAAAGGGACGTTCCACTCTGTGAGTTGAATGCACACAACACAAAGAATTTACTGAGAATTCTTCCGTCTAGCATTCAATGAAGAAATCCCGTTTCCAACGAAGGCCTCAAACAGGTCCATATATCCACTTGCAGACTTTACAAACAGTGTGTTTCCAAACTCCTCTATGAAAAGAAAGGTTAAACTCTGTGAGTGGAACGCACACATCACAAAGCACTTTCTGAGAATGATTCTGTCTGGTTATTATACGAAGATATTTCCTTTTCTGCAATTGTCCTCAAATCGCTTGAAATCTCCACCTGAAAATGCCACAGCAAGAGTGTTTCAAATCTGCTCTCTCTAAAGCAAGGTTCAACTCTGTGAGTTGAATACACACAACACAAAAAAGTTACTGAGAACTCTTCTTAGTCTAGCATGAAAGGAAGAAACCCCGTTTGCAACGAAGGACTCAAAGAGGTCCAAATATCCACTTGCAGACATAACAAGCAGAGTGTTTCTAAACTGCTCTAAGAAAAGAAAGGTTAAACTCTGTGAGTTGAAGGCACACATCACAAAGTAGTTTCTGAGAATGATTCTGTCTAGTTTTTATTTGAAGATATTTCCTTTTCTACTGTTGGCATCAAATCGCTTGAAATCTCCACTTGCAAATTCCACAAAAAGAGTGTTTCAAATCTGCTCTGTGCAAAGGGACGTTCCACTCTGTGAGTTGAATACACACAGCACAAAGAAGTTACTGAGAATTCTTCTGTCTAGCATGAAATGAAGAAATCCCGTTTCCAACGAAGGCCTCAATGCGGTCCATATATCCACTTGCAGACTTTGCAAACAGAGTGTTTCCAAACTGCTCTATGAAAAGAAAGTTTAAACTATGTGATTTGAACGCACACATCACAAAGAATTTTATGAGAATGATTCTGTCTGGTTTTTATTTGAAGATATTTCCCTTTCTACTGTTGGCATCAAATTGCTAGAAATCTCCACTTGCAAATTCCGCAAAAAGAGTGTTTCAAATCTGCTCTGTCTAAAGGGACGTTCCACTCTGTGAGTTGAACGCACACGACACAAAGAATTTACTGAGAATTCTTCCGTCTAGCATTCAATGAAGAAATCCCGTTTCCAACGAAGGCCTCAAACAGGTCCATATATCCAATTGCAGACTTTACAAACAGTGTGTTTCCAAACTCCTTTATGAAAAGAAAGGTTAACTCTGTGAGTTGAATGCACACATCACAAAGCACTTTCTGATAATGATTCTGTCTAGTTTTTGTTTGCAGATATTTCCTTTTCTACTGTTGGCATCAAATCGCTTGAAATCTCCACTTGCAAATTCCACAAAAAGAGTGTTTCAAATCTGCTCTGTGTAAAGGGACGTTCCAATCTGTGAGTTGAATACACACAACACAAAGAAGTTACTGAGAATTCTTCTGTCTAGCATGAAATGAAGAAATCCCGTTTCCAACGAAGGCCTCAAAGCGGTCCATATATCCACTTGCAGACATTACCAACAGAGTGTTCCCAAACTGCTCTATGAAAAGAAAGGTTAAACTATGTGAGTTGAACGCACACATCACAAAGAATTTTCTGAGAATGATTCTGTCTGGTTTTTATTTGAAGATATTTCCCTTTCTACTGTTGGCATCAAATGGCTAGAAATCTCCACTTGCAAATTCCGCAAAAAGAGTGTTTCAAATCTGCTCTGTCTAAAGGGACGTTCCACTCTGTGAGTTGAATGCACACAACACAAAGAATTTACTGAGAATTCTTCCGTCTAGCATTCAATGAAGAAATCCCGTTTCCAACGAAGGCCTCAAACAGGTCCATATATCCAATTGCAGACTTTACAAACAGTGTGTTTCCAAACTCCTCTATGAAAAGAAAGGTTAAACTCTGTGAGTTGAACGCACACATCACAAAGCACATTCTGAGAATGATTCTGTCTGGTTGTTATACGAAGATATTTCCTTTTCTGCAATTGTCCTCAAATCGCTTGAAATCTCCACCTGAAAATGCCACAGCAAGAGTGTTTCAAATCTGCTCTCTCTAAAGCAAGGTTCTACTCTGTGAGTTGAATACACACAACACAAAAAAGTTACTGAGAACTCTTCTTAGTCTAGCATGAAAGGAAGAAACCCCGTTTGCAACGAAGGCCTCAAAGAGGTCCAAATATCCACTTGCAGACATAACAAGCAGAGTGTTTCTAAACTGCTCTAAGAAAAGAAAGGTTAAACTCTGTGAGTTGAAGGCACACATCACAAAGTAGTTTCTGAGAATGATTCTGTCTAGTTTTTATTTGAAGATATTTCCTTTTCTACTGTTGGCATCAAATCGCTTGAAATCTCCACTTGCAAACTCCACAAAAAGAGTGTTTCAAATCTGCTCTGTGTAAAGGGACGTTCCACTCTGTGAGTTGAATACACACAGCACAAAGAAGTTACTGAGAATTCTTCTGTCTAGCATGAAATGAAGAAATCCCGTTTCCAACGAAGGCCTCAATGCGGTCCATATATCCACTTGCAGACTTTACAAACAGAGTGTTTCCAAACTGCTCTATGAAAAGAAAGGTTAAACTATGTGAGTTGAACGCACACATCACAAAGAATTTTCTGAGAATGATTCTGTCTGGTTTTTATTTGAAGATATTTCCCTTTCTACTGTTGGCATCAAATGGCTAGAAATCTCCACTTGCAAATTCCGCAAAAAGAGTGTTTCAAATCTGCTCTGTCTAAAGGGACGTTCCACTCTGTGAGTTGAATGCACACCACACAAAGAATTTACTGAGAATTCTTCCGTCTAGCATTCAATGAAGAAATCCCGTTTCCAACGAAGGCCTCAAACAGGTCCATATATCCAATTGCAGACTTTACAAACAGTGTGTTTCCAAACTCCTCTATGAAAAGAAAGGTTAAACTCTGTGAGTTGAACGCACACATCACAAAGCACTTTCTGAGAATGATTCTGTCTGGTTGTTATACGAAGATATTTCCTTTTCTGCAATTGTCCTCAAATCGCTTGAAATCTCCACCTGAAAATGCCACAGCAAGAGTGTTTCAAATCTGCTCTCTCTAAAGCAAGGTTCAACTCTGTGAGTTGAATACACACAACACAAAAATGTTACTGAGAACTCTTCTTAGTCTAGCATTAAAGGAAGAAACCCCGTTTGCAACGAAGGCCTCAAAGAGGTCCAAATATCCACTTGCAGACATAACAAGCAGAGTGTTTCTAAACTGCTCTAAGAAAAGAAAGGTTAAACTCTGTGAGTTGAAGGCACACATCACAAAGTAGTTTCTGAGAATGATTCTGTCTAGTTTTTATTTGAAGATATTTCCTTTTCTACTGCTGGCATCAAATCGCTTGAAATCTCCACTTGCAAACTCCACAAAAAGAGTGTTTCAAATCTGCTCTGTGTAAAGGGACGTTCCACTCTGTGAGTTGAATACACACAGCACAAAGAAGTTACTGAGAATTCTTCTGTCTAGCATGAAATGAAGAAATCCCGTTTCCAACGAAGGCCTCAATGCGGTCCATATATCCACTTGCAGACTTTACAAACAGAGTGTTTCCAAACTGCTCTATGAAAAGAAAGGTTAAACTATGTGAGTTGAACGCACACATCACAAAGAATTTTCTGAGAATGATTCTGTCTGGTTTTTATTTGAAGATATTTCCCTTTCTACTGTTGGCATCAAATGGCTAGAAATCTCCACTTGCAAATTCCGCAAAAAGAGTGTTTCAAATCTGCTCTGTATAAAGGGACGTTCCACTCTGTCAGTTGAATGCACACAACACAAAGAATTTACTGAGAATTCTTCCGTCTAGCATTCAATGAAGAAATCTCGTTTCCAACGAAGGCCTCAAACAGGTCCATATATCCAATTGCAGACTTTACAAACAGTGTGTTTCCAAACTCCTCTATGAAAAGAAAGGTTAAACTCTGTGAGTTGAACGCACACATCACAAAGCACTTTCTGAGAATGATTCTGTCTAGTTTTTATTTGAAGATATTTCCCTTTCTACTGTTGGCATCAAATGGCTAGAAATCTCCACTTGCAAATTCCTCAAAAAGAGTGTTTCAAATCTGCTGTGTCTAAAGGGACGTTCCACTCTGTGAGTTGAATGCACACAACACAAAGAATTTACTGAGAATTCTTCCGTCTAGCATTCAATGAAGAAATCCCGTTTCCAACGAAGGCCTCAAACAGGTCCATATATCCACTTGCAGACTTTACAAACAGTGTGTTTCCAAACTCCTCTATGAAAAGAAAGGTTAAACTCTGTGAGTGGAACGCACACATCACAAAGCACTTTCTGAGAATGATTCTGTCTGGTTATTATACGAAGATATTTCCTTTTCTGCAATTGTCCTCAAATCGCTTGAAATCTCCACCTGAAAATGCCACAGCAAGAGTGTTTCAAATCTGCTCTCTCTAAAGCAAGGTTCAACTCTGTGAGTTGAATACACACAACACAAAAAAGTTACTGAGAACTCTTCTTAGTCTAGCATGAAAGGAAGAAACCCCGTTTGCAACGAAGGCCTCAAAGAGGTCCAAATATCCACTTGCAGACATAACAAGCAGAGTGTTTCTAAACTGCTCTAAGAAAAGAAAGGTTAAACTCTGTGAGTTGAAGGCACACATCACAAAGTAGTTTCTGAGAATGATTCTGTCTAGTTTTTATTTGAAGATATCTCCTTTTCTACTGTTGGCATCAAATCGCTTGAAATCTCCACTTGCAAATTCCACAAAAAGAGTGTTTCAAATCTGCTCTGTGTAAAGGGACGTTCCACTCTGTGAGTTGAATACACACAGCACAAAGAAGTTACTGAGAATTCTTCTGTCTAGCATGAAATGAAGAAATCCCGTTTCCAACGAAGGCCTCAATGCGGTCCATATATCCACTTGCAGACTTTACAAACAGAGTGTTTCCAAACTGCTCTATGAAAAGAAAGGTTAAACTATGTGAGTTGAACGCACACATCACAAAGAATTTTCTGAGAATGATTCTGTCTGGTTTTTATTTGAAGATATTTCCCTTTCTACTGTTGGCATCAAATGGCTAGAAATCTCCAATTGCAAATTCCGCAAAAAGAGTGTTTCAAATCTGCTCTGTCTAAAGGGACGTTCCACTCTGTGAGTTGAATGCACACAACACAAAGAATTTACTGAGAATTCTTCCGTCTAGCATTCAATGAAGAAATCCCGTTTCCAACGAAGGCCTCAAACAGGTCCATATATCCACTTGCAGACTTTACAAACAGTGTGTTTCCAAACTCCTCTATGGAAAGAAAAGTTAAACTCTGTGAGTTGAACGCACACATCACAAAGCACTTTCTGAGAATGATTCTGTCTGGTTATTATACGAAGATATTTCCTTTTCTGCAATTGTCCTCAAAACGCTTGAAATCTCCACCTGAAAATGCCACAGCAAGAGTGTTTCAAATCTGCTCTCTCTAAAGCAAGGTTCAACTCTGTGAGTTGAATACACACAACACAAAAAAGTTACTGAGAACTCTTCTTAGTCTAGCATGAAAGGAAGAAACCCCGTTTGCAACGAAGGCCTCAAAGAGGTCCAAATATCCACTTGCAGACATAACAAGCAGAGTGTTTCTAAACTGCTCTAAGAAAAGAAAGGTTAAACTCTGTGAGTTGAAGGCACACATCACAAAGTAGTTTCTGAGAATGATTCTGTCTAGTTTTTATTTGAAGATATTTCCTTTTCTACTGTTGGCATCAAATCGCTTGAAATCTCCACTTGCAAACTCCACAAAAAGAGTGTTTCAAATCTGCTCTGTGTAAAGGGACGTTCCACTCTGTGAGTTGAATACACACAGCACAAAGAAGTTACTGAGAATTCTTCTGTCTAGCATGAAATGAAGAAATCCCGTTTCCAACGAAGGCCTCAATGCGGTCCATATATCCACTTGCAGACTTTACAAACAGAGTGTTTCCAAACTGCTCTATGAAAAGAAAGGTTAAACTATGTGAGTTGAACGCACACATCACAAAGAATTTTCTGAGAATGATTCTGTCTGGTTTTTATTTGAAGATATTTCCCTTTCTACTGTTGGCATCAAATGGCTAGAAATCTCCACTTGCAAATTCCGCAAAAAGAGTGTTTCAAATCTGCTCTGTCTAAAGGGACGTTCCACTCTGTGAGTTGAATGCACACAACACAAAGAATTTACTGAGAATTCTTCCGTCTAGCATTCAATGAAGAAATCCCGTTTCCAACGGAGGCCTCAAACAGGTCCATATATCCAATTGCAGACTTTACAAACAGTGTGTTTCCAAACTCCTCTATGAAAAGAAAGGTTAAACTCTGTGAGTTGAACGCACACATCACAAAGCACTTTCTGAGAATGATTCTGTCTGGTTATTATACGAAGATATTTCCTTTTCTGCAATTGTCCTCAAATCGCTTGAAATCTCCACCTGAAAATGCCACAGCAAGAGTGTTTCAAATCTGCTCTCTCTAAAGCAAGGTTCAACTCTGTGAGTTGAATACACACAACACAAAAAAGTTACTGAGAACTCTTCTTAGTCTAGCATTAAAGGAAGAAACCCCGTTTGCAACGAAGGCCTCAAAGAGGTCCAAATATCCACTTGCAGACATAACAAGCAGAGTGTTTCTAAACTGCTCTAAGAAAAGAAAGGTTAAACTCTGTGAGTTGAAGGCACACATCACAAAGTAGTTTCTGAGAATGATTCTGTCTAGTTTTTATTTGAAGATATTTCCTTTTCTACTGTTGGCATCAAATCGCTTGAAATCTCCACTTGCAAATTCCACAAAAAGAGTGTTTCAAATCTGCTCTGTGCAAAGGGACGTTCCACTCTGTGAGTTGAATACACACAGCACAAAGAAGTTACTGAGAATTCTTCTGTCTAGCATGAAATGAAGAAATCCCGTTTCCAACGAAGGCCTCAATGCGGTCCATATATCCACTTGCAGACTTTACAAACAGAGTGTTTCCAAACTGCTCTATGAAAAGAAAGGTTAAACTATGTGAGTTGAACGCACACATCACAAAGAATTTTCTGAGAATGATTCTGTCTGGTTTTTATTTGAAGATATTTCCCTTTCTACTGTTGGCATCAAATGGCTAGAAATCTCCACTTGCAAATTCCGCAAAAAGAGTGTTTCAAATCTGCTCTGTCTAAAGGGACGTTCCACTCTGTGAGTTGAATGCACACAACACAAAGAATTTACTGAGAATTCTTCCGTCTAGCATTCAATGAAGAAATCCCGTTTCCAACGAAGGCCTCAAACAGGTCCATATATCCAATTGCAGACTTTACAAACAGTGTGTTTCCAAACTCCTCTATGAAAAGAAACGTTAAACTCTGTGAGTTGAACGCACACATCACAAAGCACTTTCTGAGAATGATTCTGTCTGGTTGTTATACGAAGATATTTCCTTTTCTGCAATTGTCCTCAAATCGCTTGAAATCTCCACCTGAAAATGCCACAGCAAGAGTGTTTCAAATCTGCTCTCTCTAAAGCAAGGTTCAACTCTGTGAGTTGAATACACACAACACAAAAATGTTACTGAGAACTCTTCTTAGTCTAGCATTAAAGGAAGAAACCCCGTTTGCAACGAAGGCCTCAAAGAGGTCCAAATATCCACTTGCAGACATAACAAGCAGAGTGTTTCTAAACTGCTCTAAGAAAAGAAAGGTTAAACTCTGTGAGTTGAAGGCACACATCACAAAGTAGTTTCTGAGAATGATTCTGTCTAGTTTTTATTTGAAGATATTTCCTTTTCTACTGTTGGCATCAAATCGCTTGAAATCTCCACTTGCAAACTCCACAAAAAGAGTGTTTCAAATCTGCTCTGTGTAAAGGGACGTTCCACTCTGTGAGTTGAATACACACAGCACAAAGAAGTTACTGAGAATTCTTCTGTCTAGCATGAAATGAAGAAATCCCGTTTCCAACGAAGGCCTCAATGCGGTCCATATATCCACTTGCAGACTTTACAAACAGAGTGTTTCCAAACTGCTCTATGAAAAGAAAGGTAAAACTATGTGAGTTGAACGCACACATCACAAAGAATTTTCTGAGAATGATTCTGTCTGGTTTTTATTTGAAGATATTTCCCTTTCTACTGTTGGCATCAAATGGCTAGAAATCTCCACTTGCAAATTCCGCAAAAAGAGTGTTTCAAATCTGCTCTGTCTAAAGGGACGTTCCACTCTGTGAGTTGAATGCACACAACACAAAGAATTTACTGAGAATTCTTCCGTCTAGCATTCAATGAAGAAATCCCGTTTCCAACGAAGGCCTCAAACAGGTCCATATATCCAATTGCAGACTTTACAAACAGTGTGTTTCCAAACTCCTCTATGAAAAGAAAGGTTAAACTCTGTGAGTTGAACGCACACATCACAAAGCACTTTCTGAGAATGATTCTGTCTGGTTGTTATACGAAGATATTTCCTTTTCTGCAATTGTCCTCAAATCGCTTGAAATCTCCACCTGAAAATGCCACAGCAAGAGTGTTTCAAATCTGCTCTCTCTAAAGCAAGGTTCAACTCTGTGAGTTGAATACACACAACACAAAAAAGTTACTGAGAACTCTTCTTAGTCTAGCATTAAAGGAAGAAACCCCGTTTGCAACGAAGGCCTCAAAGAGGTCCAAATATCCACTTGCAGACATAACAAGCAGAGTGTTTCTAAACTGCTCTAAGAAAAGAAAGGTTAAACTCTGTGAGTTGAAGGCACACATCACAAAGTAGTTTCTGAGAATGATTCTGTCTAGTTTTTATTTGAAGATATTTCCTTTTCTACTGTTGGCATCAAATCGCTTGAAATCTCCACTTGCAAACTCCACAAAAAGAGTGTTTCAAATCTGCTCTGTGTAAAGGGACGTTCCACTCTGTGAGTTGAATACACACAGCACAAAGAAGTTACTGAGAATTCTTCTGTCTAGCATGAAATGAAGAAATCCCGTTTCCAACGAAGGCCTCAATGCGGTCCATATATCCACTTGCAGACTTTACAAACAGAGTGTTTCCAAACTGCTCTATGAAAAGAAAGGTTAAACTATGTCAGTTGAATGCACACATCACAAAGAATTTTCTGAGAATGATTCTGTCTGGTTTTTATTTGAAGATATTTCCCTTTCTACTGTTGGCATCAAATGGCTAGAAATCTCCACTTGCAAATTCCGCAAAAAGAGTGTTTCAAATCTGCTCTGTCTAAAGGGACGTTCCACTCTGTGAGTTGAATGCACACAACACAAAGAATTTACTGAGAATTCTTCCGTCTAGCATTCAATGAAGAAATCCCGTTTCCAACGAAGGCCTCAAACAGGTCCATATATCCAATTGCAGACTTTACAAACTGTGTGTTTCCAAACTCCTCTATGAAAAGAAAGGTTAAACTCTGTGAGTTGAACGCACACATCACAAAGCACTTTCTGAGAATGATTCTGTCTGGTTATTATACGAAGATATTTCCTTTTCTGCAATTGTCCTCAAATCGTTTGAAATCTCCACCTGAAAATGCCACAGCAAGAGTGTTTCAAATCTGCTCTCTCTAAAGCAAGGTTCAACTCTGTGAGTTGAATACACACAACACAAAAAAGTTACTGAGAACTCTTCTTAGTCTAGCATGAAAGGAAGAAACCCCGTTTGCAACGAAGGCCTCAAAGAGGTCCAAATATCCACTTGCAGACATAACAAGCAGAGTGTTTCTAAACTGCTCTATGAAAAGAAAGGTTAAACTCTGTGAGTTGAAGGCACACATCACAAAGTAGTTTCTGAGAATGATTCTGTCTAGTTTTTATTTGAAGATATTTCCTTTTCTACTGTTGGCATCAAATCGCTTGAAATCTCCACTTGCAAACTCCACAAAAAGAGTGTTTCAAATCTGCTCTGTGTAAAGGGACGTTCCACTCTGTGAGTTGAATACACACAGCACAAAGAAGTTACTGAGAATTCTTCTGTCTAGCATGAAATGAAGAAATCCCGTTTCCAACGAAGGCCTCAATGCGGTCCATATATCCACTTGCAGACTTTACAAACAGAGTGTTTCCAAACTGCTCTATGAAAAGAAAGGTTAAACTATGTGAGTTGAACGCACACATCACAAAGAATTTTCTGAGAATGATTCTGTCTGGTTTTTATTTGAAGATATTTCCCTTTCTACTGTTGGCATCAAATGGCTAGAAATCTCCACTTCCAAATTCCGCAAAAAGAGTGTTTCAAATCTGCTCTGTCTAAAGGGACGTTCCACTCTGTGAGTTGAATACACACAACACAAAGAATTTACTGAGAATTCTTCCGTCTAGCATTCAATGAAGAAATCCCGTTTCCAACGAAGGCCTCAAACAGGTCCATATATCCAATTGCAGACTTTACAAACAGTGTGTTTCCAAACTCCTCTATGAAAAGAAAGGTTAAACTCTGTGAGTTGAACGCACACATCACAAAGCACTTTCTGAGAATGATTCTGTCTGGTTATTATACGAAGATATTTCCTTTTCTGCAATTGTCCTCAAATCGCTTGAAATCTCCACCTGAAAATGCCACAGCAAGAGTGTTTCAAATCTGCTCTCTCTAAAGCAAGGTTCAACTCTGTGAGTTGAATACACACAACACAAAAAAGTTACTGAGAACTCTTCTTAGTCTAGCATGAAAGGAAGAAACCCCGTTTGCAACGAAGGCCTCAAAGAGGTCCAAATATCCACTTGCAGACATAACAAGCAGAGTGTTTCTAAACTGCTCTAAGAAAAGAAAGGTTAAACTCTGTGAGTTGAAGGCACACATCACAAAGTAGTTTCTGAGAATGATTCCTGTCTAGTTTTTATTTGAAGATATTTCCTTTTCTACTGTTGGCATCAAATCGCTTGAAATCTCCAATTGCAAACTCCACAAAAAGAGTGTTTCAAATCTGCTCTGTGCAAAGGGACGTTCCACTCTGTGAGTTGAATACACACAGCACAAAGAAGTTACTGAGAATTCTTCTGTCTAGCATGAAATGAAGAAATCCCGTTTCCAACGAAGGCCTCAATGCGGTCCATATATCCACTTGCAGACTTTACAAACAGAGTGTTTCCAAACTGCTCTATGAAAAGAAAGGTTAAACTATGTGAGTTGAACGCACACATCACAAAGAATTTTCTGAGAATGATTCTGTCTGGTTTTTATTTGAAGATATTTCCCTTTCTACTGTTGGCATCAAATGGCTAGAAATCTCCACTTGCAAATTCCGCAAAAAGAGTGTTTCAAATCTGCTCTGTCTAAAGGGACGTTCCACTCTGTGAGTTGAATGCACACCACACAAAGAATTTACTGAGAATTCTTCCGTCTAGCAGTCAATGAAGAAATCCCGTTTCCAACGAAGGCCTCAAACAGGTCCATATATCCAATTGCAGACTGTACAAACAGTGTGTTTCCAAACTCCTCTATGAAAAGAAAGGTTAAACTCTGTGAGTTGAACGCACACATCACAAAGCACTTTCTGAGAATGATTCTGTCTGGTTGTTATACGAAGATATTTCCTTTTCTGCAATTGTCCTCAAATCGCTTGAAATCTCCACCTGAAAATGCCACAGCAAGAGTGTTTCAAATCTGCTCTCTCTAAAGCAAGGTTCAACTCTGTGAGTTGAATACACACAACACAAAAAAGTTACTGAGAACTCTTCTTAGTCTAGCATGAAAGGAAGAAACCCCGTTTGCAACGAAGGCCTCAAAGAGGTCCAAATATCCACTTGCAGACATAACAAGCAGAGTGTTTCTAAACTGCTCTAAGAAAAGAAAGGTTAAACTCTGTGAGTTGAAGGCACACATCACAAAGTAGTTTCTGAGAATGATTCTGTCTAGTTTTTATTTGAAGATATTTCCTTTTCTACTGTTGGCATCAAATCGCTTGAAATCTCCACTTGCAAACTCCACAAAAAGAGTGTTTCAAATCTGCTCTGTGCAAAGGGACGTTCCACTCTGTGAGTTGAATACACACAGCACAAAGAAGTTACTGAGAATTCTTCTGTCTAGCATGAAATGAAGAAATCCCGTTTCCAACGAAGGCCTCAATGCGGTCCATATATCCACTTGCAGACTTTACAAACAGAGTGTTTCCAAACTGCTCTATGAAAAGAAAGGTTAAACTATGTGAGTTGAACGCACACATCACAAAGAATTTTCTGAGAATGATTCTGTCTGGTTTTTATTTGAAGATATTTCCCTTTCTACTGTTGGCATCAAATGGCTAGAAATCTCCACTTGCAAATTCCGCAAAAAGAGTGTTTCAAATCTGCTCTGTCTAAAGGGACGTTCCACTCTGTGAGTTGAATGGACACAACACAAAGAATTTACTGAGAATTCTTCCGTCTAGCATTCAATGAAGAAATCCCGTTTCCAACGAAGGCCTCAAACAGGTCCATGTATCCACCTGCAGACTTTACAAACAGTGTGTTTCCAAACTCCTCTATGAAAAGAAAGGTTAAACTCTGTGAGTTGAACGCACACATCACAAAGCACTTTCTGAGAATGATTCTGTCTGGTTATTATACGAAGATATTTCCTTTTCTGCAATTGTCCTCAAATCGCTTGAAATCTCCACCTGAAAATGCCACAGGAAGAGTGTTTCAAATCTGCTCTCTCTAAAGCAAGGTTCAACTCTGTGAGTTGAATACACACAACACAAAAAAGTTACTGAGAACTCTTCTTAGTCTAGCATTAAAGGAAGAAACCCCGTTTGCAACGAAGGCCTCAAAGAGGTCCAAATATCCACTTGCAGACATAACAAGCAGAGTGTTTCTAAACTGCTCTAAGAAAAGAAAGGTTAAACTCTGTGAGTTGAAGGCACACATCACAAAGTAGTTTCTGAGAATGATTCTGTCTAGTTTTTATTTGAAGATATTTCCTTTTCTACTGTTGGCATCAAATCGCTTGAAATCTCCACTTGCAAATTCCACAAAAAGAGTGTTTCAAATCTGCTCTGTGCAAAGGGACGTTCCACTCTGTGAGTTGAATACACACAGCACAAAGAAGTTACTGAGAATTCTTCTGTCTAGCATGAAATGAAGAAATCCCGTTTCCAACGAAGGCCTCAATGCGGTCCATATATCCACTTGCAGACTTTACAAACAGAGTGTTTCCAAACTGCTCTATGAAAAGAAAGGTTAAACTATGTGAGTTGAACGCACACATCACAAAGAATTTTCTGAGAATGATTCTGTCTGGTTTTTATTTGAAGATATTTCCCTTTCTACTGTTGGCATCAAATGGCTAGAAATCTCCACTTGCAAATTCCGCAAAAAGAGTGTTTCAAATCTGCTCTGTCTAAAGGGACGTTCCACTCTGTGAGTTGAATGCACACAACACAAAGAATTTACTGAGAATTCTTCCGTCTAGCATTCAATGAAGAAATCCCGTTTCCAACGAAGGCCTCAAACAGGTCCATATATCCAATTGCAGACTTTACAAACAGTGTGTTTCCAAACTCCTCTATGAAAAGAAAGGTTAAACTCTGTGAGTTGAACGCACACATCACAAAGCACTTTCTGAGAATGATTCTGTCTGGTTATTATACGAAGATATTTCCTTTTCTGCAATTGTCCTCAAATCGCTTGAAATCTCCACCTGAAAATGCCACAGCAAGAGGGTTTCAAATCTGCTCTCTCTAAAGCAAGGTTCAACTCTGTGAGTTGAATACACACAACACAAAAAAGTTACTGACAACTCTTCTTAGTCTAGCATGAAAGGAAGAAACCCCGTTTGCAACGAAGGCCTCAAAGAGGTCCAAATATCCACTTGCAGACATAACAAGCAGAGTGTTTCTAAACTGCTCTAAGAAAAGAAAGGTTAAACTCTGTGAGTTGAAGGCACACATCACAAAGTAGTTTCTGAGAATGATTCTGTCTAGTTTTTATTTGAAGATATTTCCTTTTCTACTGTTGGCATCAAATCGCTTGAAATCTCCACTTGCAAACTCCACAAAAAGAGTGTTTCAAATCTGCTCTGTGCAAAGGGACGTTCCACTCTGTGAGTTGAATACACACAGCACAAAGAAGTTACTGAGAATTCTTCTGTCTAGCATGAAATGAAGAAATCCCGTTTCCAACGAAGGCCTCAATGCGGTCCATATATCCACTTGCAGACTTTACAAACAGAGTGTTTCCAAACTGCTCTATGAAAAGAAAGGTTAAACTATGTGAGTTGAACGCACCCATCACAAAGAATTTTCTGAGAATGATTCTGTCTGGTTTTTATTTGAAGATATTTCCCTTTCTACTGTTGGCATCAAATGGCTAGAAATCTCCACTTGCAAATTCCGCAAAAAGAGTGTTTCAAATCTGCTCTGTCTAAAGGGACGTTCCACTCTGTGAGTTGAATGCACACAACACAAAGAATTTACTGAGAATTCTTCCGTCTAGCATTCAATGAAGAAATCCCGTTTCCAACGAAGGCCTCAAACAGGTCCATATATCCACTTGCAGACTTTACAAACAGTGTGTTTCCAAACTCCTCTATGAAAAGAAAGGTTAAACTCTGTGAGTTGAACGCACACATCACAAAGCACTTTCTGAGAATGATTCTGTCTGGTTATTATACGAAGATATTTCCTTTTCTGCAATTGTCCTCAAATCGCTTGAAATCTCCACCTGAAAATGCCACAGCGAGAGTGTTTCAAATCTGCTCTCTCTAAAGCAAGGTTCAACTCTGTGAGGTGAATACACACAACACAAAAAAGTTAATGAGAACTCTTCTTAGTCTAGCATGAAAGGAAGAAACCCCGTTTGCAACGAAGGCCTCAAAGAGGTCCAAATATCCACTTGCAGACATAACAAGCCGAGTGTTTCTAAACTGCTCTAAGAAAAGAAAGGTTAAACTCTGTGAGTTGAAGGCACACATCACAAAGTAGTTTCTGAGAATGATTCTGTCTAGTTTTTATTTGAAGATATTTCCTTTTCTACTGTTGGCATCAAATCGCTTGAAATCTCCACTTGCAAACTCCACAAAAAGAGTGTTTCAAATCTGCTCTGTGCAAAGGGACGTTCCACTCTGTGAGTTGAATACACACAGCACAAAGAAGTTACTGAGAATTCTTCTGTCTAGCATGAAATGAAGAAATCCCGTTTCCAACGAAGGCCTCAATGCGGTCCATATATCCACTTGCAGACTTTACAAACAGAGTGTTTCCAAACTGCTCTATGAAAAGAAAGGTTAAACTATGTGAGTTGAACGCACACATCACAAAGAATTTTCTGAGAATGATTCTGTCTGGTTTTTATTTGAAGATATTTCCCTTTCTACTGTTGGCATCAAATGGCTAGAAATCTCCACTTGCAAATTCCGCAAAAAGAGTGTTTCAAATCTGCTCTGTCTAAAGGGACGTTCCACTCTGTGAGTTGAATGCACACCACACAAAGAATTTACTGAGAATTCTTCCGTCTAGCATTCAATGAAGAAATCCCGTTTCCAACGAAGGCCTCAAACAGGTCCATATATCCAATTGCAGACTTTACAAACAGTGTGTTTCCAAACTCCTCTATGAAAAGAAAGGTTAAATTCTGTGAGTTGAACGCACACATCACAAAGCACTTTCTGAGAATGATTCTGTCTGGTTATTATACGAAGATATTTCCTTTTCTGCAATTGTCCTCAAATCGCTTGAAATCTCCACCTGAAAATGCCACAGCAAGAGTGTTTCAAATCTGCTCTCTCTAAAGCAAGGTTCAACTCTGTGAGTTGAATACACACAACACAAAAAAGTTACTGAGAACTCTTCTTAGTCTAGCATGAAAGGAAGAAACCCCGTTTGCAACGAAGGCCTCAAAGAGGTCCAAATATCCACTTGCAGACATAACAAGCAGAGTGTTTCTAAACTGCTCTAAGAAAAGAAAGGTTAAACTCTGTGAGTTGAAGGCACACATCACAAAGTAGTTTCTGAGAATGATTCTGTCTAGTTTTTATTTGAAGATATTTCCTTTTCTACTGTTGGCATCAAATCGCTTGAAATCTCCACTTGCAAACTCCACAAAAAGAGTGTTTCAAATCTGCTCTGTGCAAAGGGACGTTCCACTCTGTGAGTTGAATACACACAGCACAAAGAAGTTACTGAGAATTCTTCTGTCTAGCATGAAATGAAGAAATCCCGTTTCCAACGAAGGCCTCAATGCGGTCCATATATCCACTTGCAGACTTTACAAACAGAGTGTTTCCAAACTGCTCTATGAAAAGAAAGGTTAAACTATGTGAGTTGAACGCACACATCACAAAGAATTTTCTGAGAATGATTCTGTCTGGTTTTTATTTGAAGATATTTCCCTTTCTACTGTTGGCATCAAATGGCTAGAAATCTCCACTTGCAAATTCCGCAAAAAGAGTGTTTCAAATCTGCTCTGTCTAAAGGGACGTTCCACTCTGTGAGTTGAATGCACACAACACAAAGAATTTACTGAGAATTCTTCCGTCTAGCATGCAATGAAGAAATCCCGTTTCCAACGAAGGCCTCAAACAGGTCCATATATCCAATTGCAGACTTTACAAACAGTGTGTTTCCAAACTCCTCTATGAAAAGAAAGGTTAAACTCTGTGAGTTGAACGCACACATCACAAAGCACTTTCTGAGAATGATTCTGTCTGGTTATTATACGAAGATATTTCCTTTTCTGCAATTGTCCTCAAATCGCTTGAAATCTCCACCTGAAAATGCCACAGCAAGAGTGTTTCAAATCTGCTCTCTCTAAAGCAAGGTTCAACTCTGTGAGTTGAATACACACAACACAAAAAAGTTACTGAGAACTCTTCTTAGTCTAGCATGAAAGGAAGAAACCCCGTTTGCAACGAAGGCCTCAAAGAGGTCCAAATATCCACTTGCAGACATAACAAGCAGAGTGTTTCTAAACTGCTCTAAGAAAAGAAAGGTTAAACTCTGTGAGTTGAAGGCACACATCACAAAGTAGTTTCTGAGAATGATTCTGTCTAGTTTTTATTTGAAGATATTTCCTTTTCTACTGTTGGCATCAAATCGCTTGAAATCTCCACTTGCAAACTCCACAAAAAGAGTGTTTCAAATCTGCTCTGTGCAAAGGGACGTTCCACTATGTGAGTTGAATACACACAGCACAAAGAAGTTACTGAGAATTCTTCTGTCTAGCATGAAATGAAGAAATCCCGTTTCCAACGAAGGCCTCAATGCGGTCCATAGATCCACTTGCAGACTTTACAAACAGAGTGTTTCCAAACTGCTCTATGAAAAGAAAGGTTAAACTATGTGAGTTGAACGCACACATCACAAAGAATTTTCTGAGAATGATTCTGTCTGGTTTTTATTTGAAGATATTTCCCTTTCTACTGTTGACATCAAATGGCTAGAAATCTCCACTTGCAAATTCCGCAAAAAGAGTGTTTCAAATCTGCTCTGTCTAAAGGGACGTTCCACTCTGTGAGTTGAATGCACACAACACAAAGAATTTACTGAGAATTCTTCCGTCTAGCATTCAATGAAGAAATCCCGTTTCCAACGGAGGCCTCAAACAGGTCCATATATCCAATTGCAGACTTTACAAACAGTGTGTTTCCAAACTCCTCTATGAAAAGAAAGGTTAAACTCTGTGAGTTGAACGCACACATCACAAAGCACTTTCTGAGAATGATTCTGTCTGGTTATTATACGAAGATATTTCCTTTTCTGCAATTGTCCTCAAATCGCTTGAAATCTCCACCTGAAAATGCCACAGCAGGAGTGTTTCAAATCTGCTCTCTCTAACGCAAGGTTCAACTCTGTGAGTTGAATACACACAACACAAAAAAGTTACTGAGAACTCTTCTTAGTGTAGCATGAAAGGAAGAAACCCCGTTTGCAACGAAGGCCTCAAAGAGGTCCAAATATCCACTTGCAGACATAACAAGCAGAGTGTTTCTAAACTGCTCTAAGAAAAGAAAGGTTAAACTCTGTGAGTTGAAGGCACACATCACAAAGTAGTTTCTGAGAATGATTCTGTCTAGTTTTTATTTGAAGATATTTCCTTTTCTACTGTTGGCATCAAATCGCTTGAAATCTCCACTTGCAAATTCCACAAAAAGAGTGTTTCAAATCTGCTCTGTGCAAAGGGACGTTCCACTCTGTGAGTTGAATACACACAGCACAAAGAAGTTACTGAGAATTCTTCTGTCTAGCATGAAATGAAGAAATCCCGTTTCCAACGAAGGCCTCAATGCGGTCCATATATCCACTTGCAGACTTTACAAACAGAGTGTTTCCAAACTGCTCTATGAAAAGAAAGGTTAAACTATGTGAGTTGAACGCACACATCACAAAGAATTTTCTGAGAATGATTCTGTCTGGTTTTTATTTGAAGATATTTCCCTTTCTACTGTTGGCATCAAACGGCTAGAAATCTCCACTTGCAAATTCCGCAAAAAGAGTGTTTCAAATCTGCTCTGTCTAAAGGGACGTTCCACTCTGTGAGTTGAATGCACACAACACAAAGAATTTACTGAGAATTCTTCCGTCTAGCATTCAATGAAGAAATCCCGTTTCCAACGAAGGCCTCAAACAGGTCCATATATCCACTTGCAGAGTTTACAAACAGTGTGTTTCCAAACTCCTCTATGAAAAGAAAGGTTAAACTCTGTGAGTGGAACGCACACATCACAAAGCACTTTCTGAGAATGATTCTGTCTGGTTATTATACGAAGATATTTCCTTTTCTGCAATTGTCCTCAAATCGCTTGAAATCTCCACCTGAAAATGCCACAGCAAGAGTGTTTCAAATCTGCTCTCTCTAAAGCAAGGTTCAACTCTGTGAGTTGAATACACACAACACAAAAAAGTTACTGAGAACTCTTCTTAGTCTAGCATGAAAGGAAGAAACCCCGTTTGCAACGAAGGCCTCAAAGAGGTCCAAATATCCACTTGCAGACATAACAAGCAGAGTGTTTCTAACCTGCTCTAAGAAAAGAAAGGTTAAACTCTGTGAGTTGAAGGCACACATCACAAAGTAGTTTCTGAGAATGATTCTGTCTAGTTTTTATTTGAAGATATTTCCTTTTCTACTGTTGGCATCAAATCGCTTGAAATCTCCACTTGCAAACTCCACAAAAAGAGTGTTTCAAATCTGCTCTGTGCAAAGGGACGTTCCACTCTGTGAGTTGAATACACATAGCACAAAGAAGTTACTGAGAATTCTTCTGTCTAGCATGAAATGAAGAAATCCCGTTTCCAACGAAGGCCTCAATGCGGTCCATATATCCACTTGCAGACTTTACAAACAGAGTGTTTCCAAACTGCTCTATGAAAAGAAAGGTTAAACTATGTGAGTTGAACGCACACATCACAAAGAATTTTCTGAGAATGATTCTGTCTGGTTTTTATTTGAAGATATTTCCCTTTCTACTGTTGGCATCAAATGGCTAGAAATCTCCACTTGCAAATTCCGCAAAAAGAGTGTTTCAAATCTGCTCTGTCTAAAGGGACGTTCCACTCTGTGAGTTGAATGCACACAACACAAAGAATTTACTGAGAATTCTTCCGTCTAGCATTCAATGAAGAAATCCCGTTTCCAACGAAGGCCTCAAACAGGTCCATATATCCAATTGCAGACTTTACAAACAGTGTGTTTCCAAACTCCTCTATGAAAAGAAAGGTTAAACTCTGTGAGTTGAACACACACATCACAAAGCACTTTCTGAGAATGATTCTGTCTGGTTGTTATACGAAGATATTTCCTTTTCTGCAATTGTCCTCAAATCGCTTGAAATCTCCACCTGAAAATGCCACAGCAAGAGTGTTTCAAATCTGCTCTCTCTAAAGCAAGGTTCAACTCTGTGAGTTGAATACACACAACACAAAAAAGTTACTGAGAACTCTTCTTAGTCTAGCATGAAAGGAAGAAACACCGTTTGCAACGAAGGCCTCAAAGAGGTCCAAATATCCACTTGCAGACATAACAAGCAGAGTGTTTCTAAAGTGCTCTAAGAAAAGAAAGGTTAAACTCTGTGAGTTGAAGGCACACATCACAAAGTAGTTTGCTGAGAATGATTCTGTCTAGTTTTTATTTGAAGATATTTCCTTTTCTACTGTTGGCATCAAATCGCTTGAATTCTCCACTTGCAAACTCCACAAAAAGAGTGTTTCAAATCTGCTCTGTGTAAAAGGACGTTCCACTCTGTGAGTTGAATACACACAGCACAAAGAAGTTACTGAGAATTCTTCTGTCTAGCATGAAATGAAGAAATCCCGTTTCCAACGAAGGCCTCAATGCGGTCCATATATCCACTTGCAGACTTTACAAACAGAGTGTTTCCAAACTGCTCTATGAAAAGAAAGGTTAAACTATGTGAGTTGAACGCACACATCACAAAGAATTTTCTGAGAATGATTCTGTCTGGTTTTTATTTGAAGATATTTCCCTTTCTACTGTTGGCATCAAATGGCTAGAAATCTCCACTTGCAAATTCCGCAAAAAGAGTGTTTCAAATCTGCTCTGTCTAAAGGGACGCTCCACTCTGTCAGTTGCATGCACACAACACAAAGAATTTACTGAGACTTCTTCCGTCTAGCATTCAATGAAGAAATCCCGTTTCCAATGAAGGCCTCAAACAGGTCCATATATCCAATTGCAGACTTTACAAACAGTGTGTTTCCAAACTCCTCTATGAAAAGAAAGGTTAAACTCTGTGAGTTGAACGCACACATCACAAAGCACTTTCTGAGAATGATTCTGTCTAGTTTTTATTTGAAGATATTTCCCTTTGTACTGTTGGCATCAAATGGCTAGAAATCTCCACTTGCAACTTCCGCAAAAAGAGTGTTTCAAATCTGCTCTGTCTAAAGGGACGTTCCACTCTGTGAGTTGAATGCACACAACACAAAAAAGTTACTGAGAACTCTTCTGTCTAGCATGAAATGAAGAAATCCCGTTTCCAACGAAGGCCTCAAACAGGTCCATATATCCACTAGCAGACTTTACAAACAGTGTGTTTCCAAACTCTTCTATGAAAAGAAAGGTTAAACTCTGTGAGTTGAACGCACACATCACAAAGCACTTTCTGAGAATGATTCTGTCTGGTTACTATACGAAGATATTTCCTTTTCTGCAATTGTCCTCAAATCGCTTGAAATCTCCCCCTAAAAATTCCACAGCAAGAGTGTTTCAAATCTGCTCTCTCTAAAGCAAGGTTCAACTCTGTGAGTTGAATACACACAACACAAAAAAGTTACTGAGAACTCTTCTTAGTCTAGCATTAAAGGAAGAAACCCCGTTTGCAACGAAGGTCTCAAAGAGGTCCAAATATCCACTTGCAGACATAACAAGCAGAGTGTTTCTAAACTGCTCTAAGAAAAGAAAGGTTAAACTCTGTGAGTAGAAGGCACACATCACAAAGTAGTTTCTGAGAATGATTCTGTCTAGTTTTTATTTGAAGATATTTCCTTTTCTACTGTTGGCATCAAATCGCTTGAAATCTCCACTTGCAAATTCCACAAAAAGAGTGTTTCAAATCTGCTCTGTGTAAAGGGACGTTCCACTCTGTGAGTTGAATACACACAGCACAAAGAAGTTACTGAGAATTCTTCTGTCTAGCATGAAATGAAAAAATCCCGTTTCCAACGAAGGCCTCAATGCGGTCCATATATCCACTTGCAGACTTTACAAACAGAGTGTTTCCAAACTGCTCTATGAAAAGAAAGGTTAAACTATGTGAGTTGAACGCACACATCACAAAGAATTTTCTGAGAATGATTCTGTCTGGTTTTTATTTGAAGATATTTCCCTTTCTACTGTTGGCATCAAATGGCTAGAAATCTCCACTTGCAAATTCCGCAAAAAGAGTGTTTCAAATCTGCTCTGTCTAAAGGGACGTTCCACTCTGTGAGTTGAATGCACACAACACAAAGAATTTACTGAGAATTCTTCCGTCTAGCATTCAATGAAGAAATCCCGTTTCCAATGAAGGCCTCAAACAGGTCCATATATCCAATTGCAGACTTTACAAACAGTGTGTTTCCAAACTCCTCTATGAAAAGAAAGGTTAAACTCTGTGAGTTGAACGCACACATCACAAAGCACTTTCTGAGAATGATTCTGTCTAGTTTTTATTTGAAGATATTTCCCTTTGTACTGTTGGCATCAAATGGCTAGAAATCTCCACTTGCAACTTCCGCAAAAAGAGTGTTTCAAATCTGCTCTGTCTAAAGGGACGTTCCACTCTGTGAGTTGAATGCACACAACACAAAAAAGTTACTGAGAACTCTTCTTAGTCTAGCATTAAAGGAAGAAACCCCGTTTGCAACGAAGGCCTCAAAGAGGTCCAAATATCCACTTGCAGACATAACAAGCAGAGTGTTTCTAAACTGCTCTAAGAAAAGAAAGGTTAAACTCTGTGAGTTGAAGGCACACATCACAAAGTAGTTTCTGAGAATGATTCTGTCTAGTTTTTATTTGAAGATATTTCCTTTTCTACTGTTGGCATCAAATCGCTTGAAATCTCCACTTGCAAATTCCACAAAAAGAGTGTTTCAAATCTGCTCTGTGCAAAGGGACGTTCCACTACTGTGAGTTGAATACACACAGCACAAAGAAGTTACTGAGAATTCTTCTGTCTAGCATGAAATGAAGAAATCCCGTTTCCAACGAAGGCCTCAATGCGGTCCATATATCCACTTGCAGACTTTACAAACAGAGTGTTTCCAAACTGCTCTATGAAAAGAAAGGTTAAACTATGTGAGTTGAACGCACACATCACAAAGAATTTTCTGAGAATGATTCTGTCTGGTTTTTATTTGAAGATATTTCCCTTTCTACTGTTGGCATCAAATGGCTAGAAATCTCCACTTGCAAATTCCGCAAAAAGAGTGTTTCAAATCTGCTCTGTCTAAAGGGACGTTCCACTCTGTGAGTTGAATGCACACAACACAAAGAATTTACTGAGAATTCTTCCGTCTAGCATTCAATGAAGAAATCCCGTTTCCAACGAAGGCCTCAAACAGGTCCATATATCCACTTGCAGACTTTACAAACAGTGTGTTTCCAAACTCCTCTATGAAAAGAAAGGTTAAACTCTGTGAGTGGAACGCACACATCACAAAGCACTTTCTGAGAATGATTCTGTCTGGTTATTATACGAAGATATTTCCTTTTCTGCAATTGTCCTCAAAACGCTTGAAATCTCCACCTGAAAATGCCACAGCAAGAGTGTTTCAAATCTGCTCTCTCTAAAGCAAGGTTCAACTCTGTGAGTTGAATACACACAACACAAAAAAGTTACTGAGAACTCTTCTTAGTCTAGCATGAAAGGAAGAAACCCCGTTTGCAACGAAGGCCTCAAAGAGGTCCAAATATCCACTTGCAGACATAACAAGCAGAGTGTTTCTAAACTGCTCTAAGAAAAGAAAGGTTAAACTCTGTGAGTTGAAGGCACACATCACAAAGTAGTTTCTGAGAATGATTCTGTCTAGTTTTTATTTGAAGATATTTCCTTTTCTACTGTTGGCATCAAATCGCTTGAAATCTCCACTTGCAAATTCCACAAAAAGAGTGTTTCAAATCTGCTCTGTGTAAAGGGACGTTCCACTCTGTGAGTTGAATACACACAGCACAAAGAAGTTACTGAGAATTCTTCTGTCTAGCATGAAATGAAGAAATCCCGTTTCCAACGAAGGCCTCAATGCGGTCCATATATCCACTTGCAGACTTTACAAACAGAGTGTTTCCAAACTGCTCTATGAAAAGAAAGGTTAAACTATGTGAGTTGAACGCACACATCACAAAGAATTTTCTGAGAATGATTCTGTCTGGTTTTTATTTGAAGATATTTCCCTTTCTACTGTTGGCATCAAATGGCTAGAAATCTCCACTTGCAAATTCCGCAAAAAGAGTGTTTCAAATCTGCTCTGTCTAAAGGGATGTTCCACTCTGTGAGTTGAATGCACACAACACAAAGAATTTACTGAGAATTCTTCCGTCTAGCATTCAATGAAGAAATCCCGTTTCCAACGAAGGCCTCAAACAGGTCCATATATCCACTTGCAGACTTTACAAACAGTGTGTTTCCAAACTCCTCTATGAAAAGAAAGGTTAAACTCTGTGAGTTGAACGCACACATCACAAAGCACTTTCTGAGAATGATTCTGTCTGGTTATTATACGAAGATATTTCCTTTTCTGCAATTGTCCTCAAATCGCTTGAAATCTCCACCTGAAAATGCCACAGCAAGAGTGTTTCAAATCTGCTCTCTCTAAAGCAAGGTTCAACTCTGTGAGTTGAATACACACAACACAAAAAAGTTACTGAGAACTCTTCTTAGTCTAGCATGAAAGGAAGAAACCAAGTTTGCAACGAAGGCCTCAAAGAGGTCCAAATATCCACTTGCAGACATAACAAGCAGAGTGTTTCTAAACTGCTCTAAGAAAAGAAAGGTTAAACCCTGTGAGTTGAAGGCACACATCACAAAGTAGTTTCTGAGAATGATTCTGTCTAGTTTTTATTTGAAGATATTTCCTTTTCTACTGTTGGCATCAAATCGCTTGAAATCTCCACTTGCAAACTCCACAAAAAGAGTGTTTCAAATCTGCTCTGTGTAAAGGGACGTTCCACTCTGTGAGTTGAATACACACAGCACAAAGAAGTTACTGAGAATTCTTCTGTCTAGCATGAAATGAAGAAATCCCGTTTCCAACGAAGGCCTCAATGCGGTCCATATATCCACTTGCAGACTTTACAAACAGAGTGTTTCCAAACTGCTCTATGAAAAGAAAGGTTAAACTATGTGAGTTGAACGCACACATCACAAAGAATTTTCTGAGAATGATTCTGTCTGGTTTTTATTTGAAGATATTTCCCTTTCTACTGTTGGCATCAAATGGCTAGAAATCTCCACTTGCAAATTCCGCAAAAAGAGTGTTTCAAATCTGCTCTGTCTAAAGGGACGTTCCACTCTGTGAGTTGAATGCACACAACACAAAGAATTTACTGAGAATTCTTCCGTCTAGCATTCAATGAAGAAATCCCGTTTCCAACGAAGGCCTCAAACAGGTCCATATATCCACTTGCAGACTTTACAAACAGTGTGTTTCCAAACTCCTCTATGAAAAGAAAGGTTAAACTCTGTGAGTTGAACGCACACATCACAAAGCACTTTCTGAGAATGATTCTGTCTGGTTATTATACGAAGATATTTCCTTTTCTGCAATTGTCCTCAAAACGCTTGAAATCTCCACCTGAAAATGCCACAGCAAGAGTGTTTCAAATCTGCTCTCTCTAAAGCAAGGTTCAACTCTGTGAGTTGAATACACACAACACAAAAAAGTTACTGAGAACTCTTCTTAGTCTAGCATGAAAGGAAGAAACCCCGTTTGCAACGAAGGCCTCAAAGAGGTCCAAATATCCACTTGCAGACATAACAAGCAGAGTGTTTCTAAACTGCTCTAAGAAAAGAAAGGTTAAACTCTGTGAGTTGAAGGCACACATCACAAAGTAGTTTCTGAGAATGATTCTGTCTAGTTTTTATTTGAAGATATTTCCTTTTCTACTGTTGGCATCAAATCGCTTGAAATCTCCACTTGCAAATTCCACAAAAAGAGTGTTTCAAATCTGCTCTGTGCAAAGGGACGTTCCACTCTGTGAGTTGAATACACACAGCACAAAGAAGTTACTGAGAATTCTTCTGGCTAGCATGAAATGAAGAAATCCCGTTTCCAACGAAGGCCTCAATGAGGTCCATATATCCACTTGCAGACTTTACAAACAGAGTGTTTCCAAACTGCTCTATGAAAAGAAAGGTTAAATTATGTGAGTTGAACGCACACATCACAAAGAATTTTCTGAGAATGATTCTGTCTGGTTTTTATTTGAAGATATTTCCCTTTCTACTGTTGGCATCAAATGGCTAGAAATCTCCACTTGCAAATTCCGCAAAAAGAGTGTTTCAAATCTGCTCTGTCTAAAGGGACGTTCCACTCTGTGAGTTGAATGCACACAACACAAAGAATTTACTGAGAATTCTTCCGTCTAGCATTCAATGAAGAAATCCCGTTTCCAACGAAGGCCTCAAAGAGGTCCATATATCCACTTGCAGACTTTACAAACAGAGTGTTTCCAAACTGCTCTATGAAAAGAAAGGTTAAACTATGTGAGTTGAACGCACACATCACAAAGAATTTTCTGAGAATGATTCTGTCTGGTTATTATACGAAGATATTTCCTTTTCTGCAATTGTCCTCAAATCGCTTGAAATCTCCACCTGAAAATGCCACAGCAAGAGTGTTTCAAATCTGCTCTCTCTAAAGCAAGGTTCAACTCTGTGAGTTGAATACACACAACACAAAAAAGTTACTGAGAACTCTTCTTAGTCTAGCATGAAAGGAAGAAACCCCGTTTGCAACGAAGGCCTCAAAGAGGTCCAAATATCCACTTGCAGACATAACAAGCAGAGTGTTTCTAAACTGCTCTAAGAAAAGAAAGGTTAAACTCTGTGAGTTGAAGGCACACATCACAAAGTAGTTTCTGAGAATGATTCTGTCTAGTTTTTATTTGAAGATATTTCCTTTTCTACTGTTGGCATCAAATCGCTTGAAATCTCCACTTGCAAACTCCACAAAAAGAGTGTTTAAAATCTGCTCTGTGCAAAGGGACGTTCCACTCTGTGAGTTGAATACACACAGCACAAAGAAGTTACTGAGAATTCTTCTGTCTAGCATGAAATGAAGAAATCCCGTTTCCAACGAAGGCCTCAATGCGGTCCATATATCCACTTGCAGACTTTACAAACAGAGTGTTTCCAAACTGCTCTATGAAAAGAAAGGTTAAACTATGTGAGTTGAACGCACACATCACAAAGAATTTTCTGAGAATGATTCTGTCTGGTTTTTATTTGAAGATATTTCCCTTTCTACTGTTGGCATCAAATGGCTAGAAATCTCCACTTGCAAATTCCGCAAAAAGAGTGTTTCAAATCTGCTCTGTCTAAAGGGACGTTCCACTCTGTGAGTTGAATGCACACAACACAAAGAATTTACTGAGAATTCTTCCGTCTAGCATGCAATGAAGAAATCCCGTTTCCAACGAAGGCCTCAAACAGGTCCATATATCCAATTGCAGACTTTACAAACAGTGTGTTTCCAAACTCCTCTATGAAAAGAAAGGTTAAACTCTGTGAGTTGAACGCACACATCACAAAGCACTTTCTGAGAATGATTCTGTCTGGTTGTTATACGAAGATATTTCCTTTTCTGCAATTGTCCTCAAATCGCTTGAAATCTCCACCTGAAAATGCCACAGCAAGAGTGTTTCAAATCTGCTCTCTCTAAAGCAAGGTTCAACTCTGTGAGTTGAATACACACAACACAAAAAAGTTACTGAGAACTCTTCTTAGTCTAGCATGAAAGGAAGAAACCCCGTTTGCAACGAAGGCCTCAAAGAGGTCCAAATATCCACTTGCAGACATAACAAGCAGAGTGTTTCTAAACTGCTCTAAGAAAAGAAAGGTTAAACTCTGTGAGTTGAAGGCACACATCACAAAGTAGTTTCTGAGAATGATTCTGTCTAGTTTTTATTTGAAGATATTTCCTTTTCTACTGTTGGCATCAAATCGCTTGAAATCTCCACTTGCAAATTCCACAAAAAGAGTGTTTCAAATCTGCTCTGTGTAAAGGGACGTTCCACTCTGTGAGTTGAATACACACAGCACAAAGAAGTTACTGAGAATTCTTCTGTCTAGCATGAAATGAAGAAATCCCGTTTCCAACGAAGGCCTCAATGCGGTCCATATATCCACTTGCAGACTTTACAAACAGAGTGTTTCCAAACTGCTCTATGAAAAGAAAGGTTAAACTATGTGAGTTGAACGCACACATCACAAAGAATTTTCTGAGAATGATTCTGTCTGGTTTTTATTTGAAGATATTTCCCTTTCTACTGTTGGCATCAAATGGCTAGAAATCTCCACTTGCAAATTCCGCAAAAAGAGTGTTTCAAATCTGCTCTGTCTAAAGGGACGTTCCACTCTGTGAGTTGAATGCACACAACACAAAGAATTTACTGAGAATTCTTCCGTCTAGCATTCAATGAAGAAATCCCGTTTCCAACGAAGGCCTCAAACAGGTCCATATATCCACTTGCAGACTTTACAAACAGTGTGTTTCCAAACTCCTCTATGAAAAGAAAGGTTAAACTCTGTGAGTGGAACGCACACATCACAAAGCACTTTCTGAGAATGATTCTGTCTGGTTATTATACGAAGATATTTCCTTTTCTGCAATTGTCCTCAAATCGCTTGAAATCTCCACCTGAAAATGCCACAGCAAGAGTGTTTCAAATCTGCTCTCTCTAAAGCAAGGTTCAACTCTGTGAGTTGAATACACACAACACAAAAAAGTTACTGAGAACTCTTCTTAGTCTAGCATGAAAGGAAGAAACCCCGTTTGCAACGAAGGCCTCAAAGAGGTCCAAATATCCACTTGCAGACATAACAAGCAGAGTGTTTCTAAACTGCTCTAAGAAAAGAAAGGTTAAACTCTGTGAGTTGAAGGCACACATCACAAGGTAGTTTCTGAGAATGATTCTGTCTAGTTTTTATTTGAAGATATTTCCTTTTCTACTGTTGGCATCAAATCGCTTGAAATCTCCACTTGCAAACTCCACAAAAAGAGTGTTTCAAATCTGCTCTGTGTAAAGGGACGTTCCACTCTGTGAGTTGAATACACACAGCACAAAGAAGTTACTGAGAATTCTTCTGTCTAGCATGAAATGAAGAAATCCCGTTTCCAACGAAGGCCTCAATGCGGTCCATATATCCACTTGCAGACTTTACAAACAGAGTGTTTCCAAACTGCTCTATGAAAAGAAAGGTTAAACTATGTGAGTTGAACGCACACATCACAAAGAATTTTCTGAGAATGATTCTGTCTGGTTTTTATTTGAAGATATTTCCCTTTCTACTGTTGGCATCAAATGGCTAGAAATCTCCACTTGCAAATTCCGCAAAAAGAGTGTTTCAAATCTGCTCTGTCTAAAGGGACGTTCCACTCTGTGAGTTGAATGCACACAACACAAAGAATTTACTGAGAATTCTTCCGCCTAGCATTCAATGAAGAAATCCCGTTTCCAACGAAGGCCTCAAAGCGGTCCATATATCCACTTGCAGACTTTACAAACAGTGTGTTTCCAAACTCCTCTATGAAAAGAAAGGTTAAACTCTGTGAGTGGAACGCACACATCACAAAGCACTTTCTGAGAATGATTCTGTCTGGTTATTATACGAAGATATTTCCTTTTCTGCAATTGTCCTCAAATCGCTTGAAATCTCCACCTGAAAATGCCACAGCAAGAGTGTTTCAAATCTGCTCTCTCTAAAGCAAGGTTCAACTCTGTGAGTTGAATACACACAACACAAAAAAGTTACTGAGAACTCTTCTTAGTCTAGCATGAAAGGAAGAAACCCCGTTTGCAACGAAGGCCTCAAAGAGGTCCAAATATCCACTTGCAGACATAACAAGCAGAGTGTTTCTAAACTGCTCTAAGAAAAGAAAGGTTAAACTCTGTGAGTTGAAGGCACACATCACAAAGTAGTTTCTGAGAATGATTCTGTCTAGTTTTTATTTGAAGATATTTCCTTTTCTACTGTTGGCATCAAATCGCTTGAAATCTCCACTTGCAAACTCCACAAAAAGAGTGTTTCAAATCTGCTCTGTGCAAAGGGACGTTCCACTCTGTGAGTTGAATACACACAGCACAAAGAAGTTACTGAGAATTCTTCTGTCTAGCATGAAATGAAGAAATCCCGTTTCCAACGAAGGCCTCAATGCGGTCCATATATCCACTTGCAGACTTTACAAACAGAGTGTTTCCAAACTGCTCTATGAAAAGAAAGGTTAAACTATGTGAGTTGAACGCACACATCACAAAGAATTTTCTGAGAATGATTCTGTCTGGTTTTTATTTGAAGATATTTCCCTTTCTACTGTTGGCATCAAATGCCTAGAAATCTCCACTTGCAAATTCCGCAAAAAGAGTGTTTCAAATCTGCTCTGTCTAAAGGGACGTTCCACTCTGTGAGTTGAATGCACACAACACAAAGAATTTACTGAGAATTCTTCCGTCTAGCATTCAATGAAGAAATCCCGTTTCCAACGGAGGCCTCAAACAGGTCCATATATCCAATTGCAGACTTTACAAACAGTGTGTTTCCAAACTCCTCTATGAAAAGAAAGGTTAAACTCTGTGAGTTGAACGCACACATCACAAAGCACTTTCTGAGAATGATTCTGTCTGGTTATTATACGAAGATATTTCCTTTTCTGCAATTGTCCTCAAATCGCTTGAAATCTCCACCTGAAAATGCCACAGCAAGAGTGTTTCAAATCTGCTCTCTCTAAAGCAAGGTTCAACTCTGTGAGTTGAATACACACAACACAAAAAAGTTACTGAGAACTCTTCTTAGTCTAGCATGAAAGGAAGAAACCCCGTTTGCAACGAAGGCCTCAAAGAGGTCCAAATATCCACTTGCAGACATAACAAGCAGAGTGTTTCTAAACTGCTCTAAGAAAAGAAAGGTTAAACTCTGTGAGTTGAAGGCACACATCACAAAGTAGTTTCTGAGAATGATTCTGTCTAGTTTTTATTTGAAGATATTTCCTTTTCTACTGTTGGCATCAAATCGCTTGAAATCTCCACTTGCAAACTCCACAAAAAGAGTGTTTCAAATCTGCTCTGTGCAAAGGGACGTTCCACTCTGTGAGTTGAATACACACAGCACAAAGAAGTTACTGAGAATTCTTCTGTCTAGCATGAAATGAAGAAATCCCGTTTCCAACGAAGGCCTCAATGCGGTCCATATATCCACTTGCAGACTTTACAAACAGAGTGTTTCCAAACTGCTCTATGAAAAGAAAGGTTAAACTATGTGAGTTGAACGCACACATCACAAAGAATTTTCTGAGAATGATTCTGTCTGGTTTTTATTTGAAGATATTTCCCTTTCTACTGTTGGCATCAAATGGCTAGAAATCTCCACTTGCAAATTCCGCAAAAAGAGTGTTTCAAATCTGCTCTGTCTAAAGGGACGTTCCACTCTGTGAGTTGAATGCACACAACACAAAGAATTTACTGAGAATTCTTCCGTCTAGCATTCAATGAAGAAATCCCGTTTCCAACGAAGGCCTCAAACAGGTCCATATATCCAATTGCAGACTTTACAAACAGTGTGTTTCCAAACTCCTCTATGAAAAGAAAGGTTAAACTCTGTGAGTTGAACGCACACAACACAAAGCACTTTCTGAGAATGATTCTGTCTGGTTGTTATACGAAGATATTTCCTTTTCTGCAATTGTCCTCAAATCGCTTGAAATCTCCACCTGAAAATGCCACAGCAAGAGTGTTTCAAATCTGCTCTCTCTAAAGCAAGGTTCAACTCTGTGAGTTGAATACACACAACACAAAAAAGTTACTGAGAACTCTTCTTAGTCTAGCATGAAAGGAAGAAACCCCGTTTGCAACGAAGGCCTCAAAGAGGTCCAAATATCCACTTGCAGACATAACAAGCAGAGTGTTTCTAAACTGCTCTAAGAAAAGAAAGGTTAAACTCTGTGAGTTGAAGGCACACATCACAAAGTAGTTTCTGAGAATGATTCTGTCTAGTTTTTATTTGAAGATATTTCCTTTTCTACTGTTGGCATCAAATCGCTTGAAATCTCCACTTGCAAACTCCACAAAAAGAGTGTTTCAAATCTGCTCTGTGTAAAGGGACGTTCCACTCTGTGAGTTGAATACACACAGCACAAAGAAGTTACTGAGAATTCTTCTGTCTAGCATGAAATGAAGAAATCCCGTTTCCAACGAAGGCCTCAATGCGGTCCATATATCCACTTGCAGACTTTACAAACAGAGTGTTTCCAAACTGCTCTATGAAAAGAAAGGTTAAACTATGTGAGTTGAACGCACACATCACAAAGAATTTTCTGAGAATGATTCTGTCTGGTTTTTATTTGAAGATATTTCCCTTTCTACTGTTGGTATCAAATGGCTAGAAATCTCCACTTGCAAATTCCGCAAAAAGAGTGTTTCAAATCTGCTCTGTCTAAAGGGACGTTCCACTCTGTGAGTTGAATGCACACAACACAAAGAATTTACTGAGAATTCTTCCGTCTAGCATTCAATGAAGAAATCCCGTTTCCAACGAAGGCCTCAAACAGGTCCATATATCCAATTGCAGACTTTACAAAGAGTGTGTTTCCAAACTCCTTTATGAAAAGAAAGGTTAACTCTGTGAGTTGAATGCACACATCACAAAGCACTTTCTGATAATGATTCTGTCTAGTTTTTGTTTGCAGATATTTCCTTTTCTACTGTTGGCATCAAATCGCTTGAAATCTCCACTTGCAAACTCCACAAAAAGAGTGTTTCAAATCTGCTCTGTGTAAAGGGACGTTCCACTCTGTGAGTTGAATACACACAGCACAAAGAAGTTACTGAGAATTCTTCTGTCTAGCATGAAATGAAGAAATCCCTTTTCCAACGAAGGCCTCAAAGCGGTCCATATATCCACTTGCAGACATTACCAACAGAGTGTTCCCAAACTGCTCTATGAAAAGAAAGGTTAAACTATGTGAGTTGAACGCACACATCACAAAGAATTTTCTGAGAATGATTCTGTCTGGTTTTTATTTGAAGATATTTCCCTTTCTACTGTTGGCATCAAATGGCTAGAAATCTCCACTTGCAAATTCCGCAAAAAGAGTGTTTCAAATCTGCTCTGTCTAAAGGGACGTTCCACTCTGTGAGTTGAATGCACACAACACAAAGAATTTACTGAGAATTCTTCCGTCTAGCATTCAATGAAGAAATCCCGTTTCCAACGAAGGCCTCAAACAGGTCCATATATCCACTTGCAGACTTTACAAACAGTGTGTTTCCAAACTCCTCTATGAAAAGAAAGGTTAAACTCTGTGAGTGGAACGCACACATCACAAAGCACTTTCTGAGAATGATTCTGTCTGGTTATTATACGAAGATATTTCCTTTTCTGCAATTGTCCTCAAATCGCTTGAAATCTCCACCTGAAAATGCCACAGCAAGAGTGTTTCAAATCTGCTCTCTCTAAAGCAAGGTTCAACTCTGTGAGTTGAATACACACAACACAAAAAAGTTACTGAGAACTCTTCTTAGTCTAGCATGAAAGGAAGAAACCCCGTTTGCAACGAAGGCCTCAAAGAGGTCCAAATATCCACTTGCAGACATAACAAGCAGAGTGTTTCTAAACTGCTCTAAGAAAAGAAAGGTTAAACTCTGTGAGTTGAAGGCACACATCACAAAGTAGTTTCTGAGAATGATTCTGTCTAGTTTTTATTTGAAGATATTTCCTTTTCTACTGTTGGCATCAAATCGCTTGAAATCTCCACTTGCAAACTCCACAAAAAGAGTGTTTCAAATCTGCTCTGTGCAAAGGGACGTTCCACTCTGTGAGTTGAATACACACAGCACAAAGAAGTTACTGAGAATTCTTCTGTCTAGCATGAAATGAAGAAATCCCGTTTCCAACGAAGGCCTCAATGCGGTCCATATATCCACTTGCAGACTTTACAAACAGAGTGTTTCCAAACTGCTCAATGAAAAGAAAGGTTAAACTATGTGAGTTGAACGCACACATCACAAAGAATTTTCTGAGAATGATTCGGTCTGGTTTTTATTTGAAGATATTTCCCTTTCTACTGTTGGCATCAAATGGCTAGAAATCTCCACTTGCAAATTCCGCAAAAAGAGTGTTTCAAATCTGCTCTGTCTAAAGGGACGTTCCACTCTGTGAGTTGAATGCACACAACACAAAGAATTTACTGAGAATTCTTCCGTCTAGCATTCAATGAAGAAATCCCGTTTCCAACGAAGGCCTCAAACAGGTCCATATATCCACTTGCAGACTTTACAAACAGTGTGTTTCCAAGCTCCTCTATGAAAAGAAAGGTTAAACTCTGTGAGTTGAACGCACACATCACAAAGCACTTTCTGAGAATGATTCTGTCTGGTTATTATACGAAGATATTTCCTTTTCTGCAATTGTCCTCAAATCGCTTGAAATCTCCACCTGAAAATGCCACAGCAAGAGTGTTTCAAATCTGCTCTCTCTAAAGCAAGGTTCAACTCTGTGAGTTGAATACACACAACACAAAAAAGTTACTGAGAACTCTTCTTAGTCTAGCATTAAAGGAAGAAACCCCGTTTGCAACGAAGGCCTCAAAGAGGTCCAAATATCCACTTGCAGACATAACAAGCAGAGTGTTTCTAAAGTGCTCTAAGAAAAGAAAGGTTAAACTCTGTGAGTTGAAGGCACACATCACAAAGTAGTTTCTGAGAATGATTCTGTCTAGTTTTTATTTGAAGATATTTCCTTTTCTACTGTTGGCATCAAATGGCTAGAAATCTCCACTTGCAAATTCCGCAAAAAGAGTGTTTCAAATCTGCTCTGTCTAAAGGGACGTTCCACTCTGTGAGTTGAATGCACACAACACAAAGAATTTACTGAGAATTCTTCCGTCTAGCATGCAATGAAGAAATCCCGTTTCCAACGAAGGCCTCAAACAGGTCCATATATCCAATTGCAGACTTTACAAACAGTGTGTTTCCAAACTCCTCTATGAAAAGAAAGGTTAAACTCTGTGAGTTGAACGCACACATCACAAAGCACTTTCTGAGAATGATTCTGTCTGGTTATTATACGAAGATATTTCCTTTTCTGCAATTGTCCTCAAATCGCTTGAAATCTCCACCTGAAAATGCCACAGCAAGAGTGTTTCAAATCTGCTCTCTCTAAAGCAAGGTTCAACTCTGTGAGTTGAATACACACAACACAAAAAAGTTACTGAGAACTCTTCTTAGTCTAGCATGAAAGGAAGAAACCCCGTTTGCAACGAAGGCCTCAAAGAGGTCCAAATATCCACTTGCAGACATAACAAGCAGAGTGTTTCTAAACTGCTCTAAGAAAAGAAAGGTTAAACTCTGTGAGTTGAAGGCACACATCACAAAGTAGTTTCTGAGAATGATTCTGTCTAGTTTTTATTTGAAGATATTTCCTTTTCTACTGTTGGCATCAAATGGCTAGAAATCTCCACTTGCAAATTCCGCAAAAAGAGTGTTTCAAATCTGCTCTGTCTAAAGGGACGTTCCACTCTGTCAGTTGAATGCACACAACACAAAGAATTTACTGAGAATTCTTCCGTCTAGCATTCAATGAAGAAATCCCGTTTCCAATGAAGGCCTCAAACAGGTCCATATATCCACTTGCAGACTTTACAAACAGTGTGTTTCCAAACTCCTCTATGAAAAGAAAGGTTAAACTCTGTGAGTTGAACGCACACATCACAAAGCACTTTCTGAGAATGATTCTGTCTGGTTATTATACGAAGATATTTCCTTTTCTGCAATTGTCCTCAAATCGCTTGAAATCTCCACCTGAAAATGCCACAGCAAGAGTGTTTCAAATCTGCTCTCTCTAAAGCAAGGTTCAACTCTGTGAGTTGAATACACACAACACAAAAAAGTTACTGAGAACTCTTCTTAGTCTAGCATGAAAGGAAGAAACCCCGTTTGCAACGAAGGCCTCAAAGAGGTCCAAATATCCACTTGCAGACATAACAAGCAGAGTGTTTCTAAACTGCTCTAAGAAAAGAAAGGTTAAACTCTGTGAGTTGAAGGCACACATCACAAAGTAGTTTCTGAGAATGATTCTGTCTAGTTTTTATTTGAAGATATTTCCTTTTCTACTGTTGGCATCAAATCGCTTGAAATCTCCACTTGCAAACTCCACAAAAAGAGTGTTTCAAATCTGCTCTGTGTAAAGGGACGTTCCACTCTGTGAGTTGAATACACACAGCACAAAGAAGTTACTGAGAATTCTTCTGTCTAGCATGAAATGAAGAAATCCCGTTTCCAACGAAGGCCTCAATGCGGTCCATAGATCCACTTGCAGACTTTACAAACAGAGTGTTTCCAAACTGCTCTATGAAAAGAAAGGTTAAACTATGTGAGTTGAACGCACACATCACAAAGAATTTTCTGAGAATGATTCTGTCTGGTTTTTATTTGAAGATATTTCCCTTTCTACTGTTGGCATCAAATGGCTAGAAATCTCCACTTGCAAATTCCGCAAAAAGAGTGTTTCAAATCTGCTCTGTCTAAAGGGACGTTCCACTCTGTCAGTTGAATGCACACAACACAAAGAATTTACTGAGAATTCTTCCGTCTAGCATTCAATGAAGAAATCCCGTTTCCAACGAAGGCCTCAAACAGGTCCATATATCCAATTGCAGACTTTACAAACAGTGTGTTTCCAAACTCCTCTATGAAAAGAAAGGTTAAACTCTGTGAGTGGAACGCACACATCACAAAGCACTTTCTGAGAATGATTCTGTCTGGTAATTATACGAAGATATTTCCTTTTCTGCAATTGTCCTCAAATCGCTTGAAATCTCCACCTGAAAATTCCACAGCGAGAGTGTTTCAAATCTGCTCTCTCTAAAGCAAGGTTCAACTCTGTGAGTTGAATACACACAACACAAAAAAGTTACTGAGAACTCTTCTTAGTCTAGCATTAAAGGAAGAAACCCCGTTTGCAACGAAGGCCTCAAAGAGGTCCAAATATCCACTTGCAGACATAACAAGCAGAGTGTTTCTAAACTGCTCTAAGAAAAGAAAGGTTAAACTCTGTGAGTTAAAGGCACACATCACAAAGTAGTTTCTGAGAATGATTCTGTCTAGTTTTTATTTGAAGATATTTCCTTTTCTACTGTTGGCATCAAATCGCTTGAAATCTCCACTTGCAAACTCCACAAAAAGAGTGTTTCAAATCTGCTCTGTGCAAAGGGACGTTCCACTCTGTGAGTTGAATACACACAGCACAAAGAAGTTACTGAGAATTCTTCTGTCTAGCATGAAATGAAGAAATCCCGTTTCCAACGAAGGCCTCAATGCGGTCCCTATATCCACTTGCAGACTTTACAAACAGAGTGTTTCCAAACTGCTCTATGAAAAGAAAGGTTAAACTATGTGAGTTGAACGCACACATCACAAAGAATTTTCTGAGAATGATTCTGTCTGGTTTTTATTTGAAGATATTTCCCTTTCTACTGTTGGCATCAAATGGCTAGAAATCTCCACTTGCAAATTCCGCCAAAAAGTGTTTCAAATCTGCTCTGTCTAAAGGGACGTTCCACTCTGTGAGTTGAATGCACACAACACAAAGAATTTACTGAGAATTCTTCCGTCTAGCATTCAATGAAGAAATCCCGTTTCCAACGAAGGCCTCAAACAGGTCCATATATCCAATTGCAGACATTACAAACAGTGTGTTTCCAAACTCCTCTATGAAAAGAAAGGTTAAACTCTGTGAGTTGAACGCACACATCACAAAGCACTTTCTGAGAATGATTCTGTCTGGTTATTATACGAAGATATTTCCTTTTCTGCAATTGTCCTCAAAACGCTTGAAATCTCCACCTGAAAATGCCACAGCAAGAGTGTTTCAAATCTGCTCTCTCTAAAGCAAGGTTCAACTCTGTGAGTTGAATACACACAACACAAAAAAGTTACTGAGAACTCTTCTTAGTCTAGCATGAAAGGAAGAAACCCCGTTTGCAACGAAGGCCTCAAAGAGGTCCAAATATCCACTTGCAGACATAACAAGCAGAGTGTTTCTAAACTGCTCTAAGAAAAGAAAGGTTAAACTCTGTGAGTTGAAGGCACACATCACAAAGTAGTTTCTGATAATGATTCTGTCTAGTTTTTATTTGAAGATATTTCCTTTTCTACTGTTGGCATCAAATCGCTTGAAATCTCCACTTGCAAATTCCACAAAAAGAGTGTTTCAAATCTGTTCTGTGTAAAGGAACGTTCCACTCTGTGAGTTGAATACACACAGCACAAAGAAGTTACTGAGAATTCTTCTGTCTAGCATGAAATGAAGAAATCCCGTTTCCAACGAAGGCCTCAATGCGGTCCATATATCAACTTGCAGACTTTACAAACAGAGTGTTTCCAAACTGCTCTATGAAAAGAAAGGTTAAACTATGTGAGTTGAACGCACACATCACAAAGAATTTTCTGAGAATGATTCTGTCTGGTTTTTATTTGAAGATATTTCCCTTTCTACTGTTGGCATCAAATGGCTAGAAATCTCCACTTGCAAATTCCGCAAAAAGAGTGTTTCAAATCTGCTCTGTCTAAAGGGACGTTCCGCTCTGGGAGTTGAATGCACACAACACAAAGAATTTACTGAGAATTCTTCCGTCTAGCAGTCAATGAAGAAATCCCGTTTCCAACGAAGGCCTCAAACAGGTCCATATATCCAATTGCAGACTTTACAAACAGTGTGTTTCCAAACTCCTCTATGAAAAGAAAGGTTAAACTCTGTGAGTTGAACGCACACATCACAAAGCACTTTCTGAGAATGATTCTGTCTGGTTGTTATACGAAGATATTTCCTTTTCTGCAATTGTCCTCAAATCGCTTGAAATCTCCACCTGAAAATGTCACAGCAAGAGTGTTTCAAATCTGCTCTCTCTAAAGCAAGGTTCAACTCTGTGAGTTGAATACACACAACACAGAAAAGTTACTGAGAACTCTTCTTAGTCTAGCATGAAAGGAAGAAACCCCGTTTGCAACGAAGGCCTCAAAGAGGTCCAAATATCCACTTGCAGACATAACAAGCAGAGTGTTTCTAAACTGCTCTAAGAAAAGAAAGGTTAAACTATGTGAGTTGAACGCACACATCACAAAGAATTTTCTGAGAATGATTCTGTCTGGTTTTTATTTGAAGATATTTCCCTTTCTACTGTTGGCATCAAATGGCTAGAAATCTCCACTTGCAAATTCCGCAAAAAGAGTGTTTCAAATCTGCTCTGTCTAAAGGGACGTTCCACTCTGTGAGTTGAATGCACACAACACAAAGAATTTACTGAGAATTCTTCCGTCTAGCATTCAATGAAGAAATCCCGTTTCCAACGAAGGCCTCAAACAGGTCCATATATCCACTTGCAGACTTTACAAACAGTGTGTTTCCAAACTCCTCTATGAAAAGAAAGGTTAAACTCTGTGAGTGGAACGCACACATCACAAAGCACTTTCTGAGAATGATTCTGTCTGGTTATTATACGAAGATATTTCCTTTTCTGCAATTGTCCTCAAAACGCTTGAAATCTCCACCTGAAAATGCCACAGCAAGAGTGTTTCAAATCTGCTCTCTCTAAAGCAAGGTTCAACTCTGTGAGTTGAATACACACAACACAAAAAAGTTACTGAGAACTCTTCTTAGTCTAGCATGAAAGGAAGAAACCCCGTTTGCAACGAAGGCCTCAAAGAGGTCCAAATATCCACTTGCAGACATAACAAGCAGAGTGTTTCTAAACTGCTCTAAGAAAAGAAAGGTTAAACTCTGTGAGTTGAAGGCACACATCACAAAGTAGTTTCTGAGAATGATTCTGTCTAGTTTTTATTTGAAGATATTTCCTTTTCTACTGTTGGCATCAAATCGCTTGAAATCTCCACTTGCAAACTCCACAAAAAGAGTGTTTCAAATCTGCTCTGTGCAAAGGGACGTTCCACTCTGTGAGTTGAATACACACAGCACAAAGAAGTTACTGAGAATTCTTCTGTCTAGCATGAAATGAAGAAATCCCGTTTCCAACGAAGGCCTCAATGCGGTCCATATATCCACTTGCAGACTTTACAAACAGAGTGTTTCCAAACTGCTCTATGAAAAGAAAGGTTAAACTATGTGAGTTGAACGCACACATCACAAAGAATTTTCTGAGAATGATTCTGTCTGGTTTTTATTTGAAGATATTTCCCTTTCTACTGTTGGCATCAAATGGCTAGAAATCTCCACTTGCAAATTCCGCAAAAAGAGTGTTTCAAATCTGCTCTGTCTAAAGGGACGTTCCACTCTGTGAGTTGAATGCACACAACACGAAGAATTTACTGAGAATTCTTCCGTCTAGCATTCAATGAAGAAATCCCGTTTCCAACGAAGGCCTCAAACAGATCCATATATCCAATTGCAGACTTTACAAACAGTGTGTTTCCAAACTCCTCTATGAAAAGAAAGGTTAAACTCTGTGAGTTGAACGCACACATCACAAAGCACTTTCTGAGAATGATTCTGTCTGGTTGTTATACGAAGATATTTCCTTTTCTGCAATTGTCCTCAAATCGCTTGAAATCTCCACCTGAAAATGCCACAGCAAGAGTGTTTCAAATCTGCTCTCTCTAAAGCAAGGTTCAACTCTGTGAGTTGAATACACACAACACAAAAAAGTTACTGAGAACTCTTCTTAGTCTAGCATGAAAGGAAGAAACCCCGTTTGCAACGAAGGCCTCAAAGAGGTCCAAATATCCACTTGCAGACATAACAAGCAGAGTGTTTCTAAACTGCTCTATGAAAAGAAAGGTTAAACTCTGTGAGTTGAAGGCACACATCACAAAGTAGTTTCTGAGAATGATTCTGTCTAGTTTTTATTTGAAGATATTTCCTTTTCTACTGTTGGCATCAAATCGCTTGAAATCTCCACTTGCAAACTCCACAAAAAGAGTGTTTCAAATCTGCTCTGTGCAAAGGGACGTTCCACTCTGTGAGTTGAATACACACAGCACAAAGAAGTTACTGAGAATTCTTCTGTCTAGCATGAAATGAAGAAATCCCGTTTCCAACGAAGGCCTCAATGCGGTCCATATATCCACTTGCAGACTTTACAAACAGAGTGTTTCCAAACTGCTCTATAAAAAGAAAGGTTAAACTATGTGAGTTGAACGCACACATCACAAAGAATTTTCTGAGAATGATTCTGTCTGGTTTTTATTTGAAGATATTTCCCTTTCTACTGTTGGCATCAAATGGCTAGAAATCTCCACTTGCAAATTCCGCAAAAAGAGTGTTTCAAATCTGCTCTGTCTAAAGGGACGTTCCACTCTGTGAGTTGAATGCACACAACACAAAGAATTTACTGAGCAATTCTTCCGTCTACCATTCAATGAAGAAATCCCGTTTCCAACGAAGGCCTCAAACAGGTCCATATATCCACTTGCAGACTTTACAAACAGTGTGTTTCCAAACTCCTCTATGAAAAGAAAGGTTAAACTCTGTGAGTTGAACGCACACATCACAAAGCACTTTCTGAGAATGATTCTGTCTGGTTATTATACGAAGATATTTCCTTTTCTGCAATTGTCCTCAAATCGCTTGAAATCTCCACCTGAAAATGCCACAGCAAGAGTGTTTCAAATCTGCTCTCTCTAAAGCAAGGTTCAACTCTGTGAGTTGAATACACACAACACAAAAAAGTTACTGAGAACTCTTCTTAGTCTAGCATGAAAGGAAGAAACCCCGTTTGCAACGAAGGCCTCAAAGAGGTCCAAATATCCACTTGCAGACATAACAAGCAGAGTGTTTCTAAACTGCTCTAAGAAAAGAAAGGTTAAACTCTGTGAGTTGAAGGCACACATCACAAAGTAGTTTCTGAGAATGATTCTGTCTAGTTTTTATTTGAAGATATTTCCTTTTCTACTGTTGGCATCAAATCGCTTGAAATCTCCACTTGCAAACTCCACAAAAAGAGTGTTTCAAATCTGCTCTGTGCAAAGGGACGTTCCAGTCTGTGAGTTGAATACACACAGCACAAAGAAGTTACTGAGAATTCTTCTGTCTAGCATGAAATGAAGAAATCCCGTTTCCAACGAAGGCCTCAATGCGGTCCATATATCCACTTGCAGACTTTACAAACAGAGTGTTTCCAAACTGCTCTATGAAAAGAAAGGTTAAACTATGTGAGTTGAACGCACACATCACAAAGAATTTTCTGAGAATGATTCTGTCTGGTTTTTATTTGAAGATATTTCCCTTTCTACTGTTGGCATCAAATGGCTAGAAATCTCCACTTGCAAATTCCGCAAAAAGGGTGTTTCAAATCTGCTCTGTCTAAAGGGACGTTCCACTCTGTCAGTTGAATGCACACAACACAAAGAATTTACTGAGAATTCTTCCGTCTAGCATTCAATGAAGAAATCCCGTTTCCAACGAAGGCCTCAAACAGGTCCATATATCCACTTGCAGAGTTTACAAACAGTTTGTTTCCAAACTCCTCTATGAAAAGAAAGGTTAAACTCTGTGAGTGGAACGCACACATCACAAAGCACTTTCTGAGAATGATTCTGTCTGGTTATTATACGAAGATATTTCCTTTTCTGCAATTGTCCTCAAATCGCTTGAAATCTCCACCTGAAAATGCCACAGCAAGAGTGTTTCAAATCTGCTCTCTCTAAAGCAAGGTTCAACTCTGTGAGTTGAATACACACAACACAAAAAAGTTACTGAGAACTCTTCTTAGTCTAGCATGAAAGGAAGAAACCCCGTTTGCAACGAAGGCCTCAAAGAGGTCCAAATATCCACTTGCAGACATAACAAGCAGAGTGTTTCTAAACTGCTCTAAGAAAAGAAAGGTTAAACTCTGTGAGTTGAAGGCACACATCACAAAGTAGTTTCTGAGAATGATTCTGTCTAGTTTTTATTTGAAGATATTTCCTTTTCTACTGTTGGCATCAAATCGCTTGAAATCTCCACTTGCAAACTCCACAAAAAGAGTGTTTCAAATCTGCTCTGTGTAAAGGGACGTTCCACTCTGTGAGTTGAATACACACAGCACAAAGAAGTTACTGAGAATTCTTCTGTCTAGCATGAAATGAAGAAATCCCGTTTCCAACGAAGGCCTCAATGCGGTCCATATATCCACTTGCAGACTTTACAAACAGAGTGTTTCCAAACTGCTCTATGAAAAGAAAGGTTAAACTATGTGAGTTGAACGCACACATCACAAAGAATTTTCTGAGAATGATTCTGTCTGGTTTTTATTTGAAGATATTTCCCTTTCTACTGTTGGCATCAAATGGCTAGAAATCTCCACTTGCAAATTCCGCAAAAAGAGTGTTTCAAATCTGCTCTGTCTAAAGGGACGTTCCACTCTGTGAGTTGAATGCACACAACACAAAGAATTTACTGAGAATTCTTCCGTCTAGCATTCAATGAAGAAATCCCGTTTCCAACGAAGGCCTCAAACAGGTCCATATATCCAATTGCAGACTTTACAAACAGTGTGTTTCCAAACTCCTCTATGAAAAGAAAGGTTAAACTCTGTGAGTTGAACGCACACATCACAAAGCACTTTCTGAGAATGATTCTGTCTGGTTATTATACGAAGATATTTCCTTTTCTGCAATTGTCCTCAAATCGCTTGAAATCTCCACCGGAAAATGCCACAGCAAGAGTGTTTCAAATCTGCTCTCTCTAAAGCAAGGTTCAACTCTGTGAGTTGAATACACACAACACAAAAAAGTTACTGAGAACTCTTCTTAGTCTAGCATTAAAGGAAGAAACCCCGTTTGCAACGAAGGCCTCAAAGAGGTCCAAATATCCACTTGCAGACATAACAAGCAGAGTGTTTCTAAACTGCTCTAAGAAAAGAAAGGTTAAACTCTGTGAGTTGAAGGCACACATCACAAAGTAGTTTCTGAGAATGATTCTGTCTAGTTTTTATTTGAAGATATTTCCTTTTCTACTGTTGGCATCAAATCGCTTGAAATCTCCACTTGCAAACTCCACAAAAAGAGTGTTTCAAATCTGCTCTGTGTAAAGGGACGTTCTACTCTGTGAGTTGAATACACACAGCACAAAGAAGTTACTGAGAATTCTTCTGTCTAGCATGAAATGAAGAAATCCCGTTTCCAACGAAGGCCTCAATGCGGTCCATATATCCACTTGCAGACTTTACAAACAGAGTGTTTCCAAACTGCTCTATGAAAAGAAAGGTTAAACTATGTGAGTTGAACGCACACATCACAAAGAATTTTCTGAGAATGATTCTGTCTGGTTTTTATTTGAAGATATTTCCCTTTCTACTGTTGGCATCAAATGGCTAGAAATCTCCACTTGCAAATTCCGCAAAAAGAGTGTTTCAAATCTGCTCTGTCTAAAGGGACGTTCCACTCTGTCAGTTGAATGCACACAACACAAAGTATTTACTGAGAATTCTTCCGTCTAGCATTCAATGAAGAAATCCCGTTTCCAACGAAGGCCTCAAACAGGTCCATATATCCACTTGCAGAGTTTACAAACAGTGTGTTTCCAAACTCCTCTATGAAAAGAAAGGTTAAACTCTGTGAGTGGAACGCACACATCACAAAGCACTTTCTGAGAATGATTCTGTCTGGTTATTATACGAAGATATTTCCTTTTCTGCAATTGTCCTCAAATCGCTTGAAATCTCCACCTGAAAATGCCACAGCAAGAGTGTTTCAAATCTGCTCTCTCTAAAGCAAGGTTCAACTCTGTGAGTTGAATACACACAACACAAAAAAGTTACTGAGAACTCTTCTTAGTCTAGCATGAAAGGAAGAAACCCCGTTTGCAACGAAGGCCTCAAAGAGGTCCAAATATCCACTTGCAGACATAACAAGCAGAGTGTTTCTAAACTGCTCTAAGAAAAGAAAGGTTAAACTCTGTGAGTTGAAGGCACACATCACAAAGTAGTTTCTGAGAATGATTCTGTCTAGTTTTTATTTGAAGATATTTCCTTTTCTACTGTTGGCATCAAATCGCTTGAAATCTCCACTTGCAAATTCCACAAAAAGAGTGTTTCAAATCTGCTCTGTGTAAAGGGACGTTCCACTCTGTGAGTTGAATACACACAGCACAAAGAAGTTACTGAGAATTCTTCTGTCTAGCATGAAATGAAGAAATCCCGTTTCCAACGAAGGCCTCAATGCGGTCCATATATCCACTTGCAGACTTTGCAAACAGAGTGTTTCCAAACTGCTCTATGAAAAGAAAGGTTAAACTATGTGATTTGAACGCACACATCACAAAGAATTTTATGAGAATGATTCTGTCTGGTTTTTATTTGAAGATATTTCCCTTTCTACTGTTGGCATCAAATGGCTAGAAATCTCCACTTGCAAATTCCGCAAAAAGAGTGTTCCAAATCTGCTCTGTCTAAAGGGACGTTCCACTCTGTGAGTTGAATGCACACAACACAAAGAATTTACTGAGAATTCTTCCGTCTAGCATTCAATGAAGAAATCCCGTTTCCAACGAAGGCCTCAAACAGGTCCATATATCCAATTGCAGACTTTACAAACAGTGTGTTTCCAAACTCCTTTATGAAAAGAAAGGTTAACTCTGTGAGTTGAATGCACACATCACAAAGCACTTTCTGATAATGATTCTGTCTAGTTTTTGTTTGCAGATATTTCCTTTTCTACTGTTGGCATCAAATCGCTTGAAATCTCCACTTGCAAACTCCACAAAAAGAGTGTTTCAAATCTGCTCTGTGTAAAGGGACGTTCCACTCTGTGAGTTGAATACACACAGCACAAAGAAGTTACTGTGAATTCTTCTGTCTAGCATGAAATGAAGAAATCCCGTTTCCAACGAAGGCCTCAAAGCGGTCCATATATCCACTTGCAGACATTACCAACAGAGTGTTCCCAAACTGCTCTATGAAAAGAAAGGTTAAACTATGTGAGTTGAACGCACACATCACAAAGAATTTTCTGAGAATGATTCTGTCTGGTTTTTATTTGAAGATATTTCCCTTTCTACTGTTGGCATCAAATGGCTAGAAATCTCCACTTGCAAATTCCGCAAAAAGAGTGTTTCAAATCTGCTCTGTCTAAAGGGACGTTCCACTCTGTGAGTTGAATGCACACAACACAAAGAATTTACTGAGAATTCTTCCGTCTAGCATTCAATGAAGAAATCCCGTTTCCAACGAAGGCCTCAAACAGGTCCATATATCCACTTGCAGACTTTACGAACAGTGTGTTTCCAAACTCCTCTATGAAAAGAAAGGTTAAACTCTGTGAGTGGAACGCACACATCACAAAGCACTTTCTGAGAATGATTCTGTCTGGTTATTATACGAAGATATTTCCTTTTCTGCAATTGTCCTCAAATCGCTTGAAATCTCCACCTGAAAATGCCACAGCAAGAGTGTTTCAAATCTGCTCTCTCTAAAGCAAGGTTCAACTCTGTGAGTTGAATACACACAACACAAAAAAGTTACTGAGAACTCTTCTTAGTCTAGCATTAAAGGAAGAAACCCCGTTTGCAACGAAGGCCTCAAAGAGGTCCAAATATCCACTTGCAGACATAACAAGCAGAGTGTTTCTAAAGTGCTCTAAGAAAAGAAAGGTTAAACTCTGTGAGTTGAAGGCACACATCACAAAGTAGTTTCTGAGAATGATTCTGTCTAGTTTTTATTTGAAGATATTTCCTTTTCTACTGTTGGCATCAAATCGCTTGAAATCTCCACTTGGAAACTCCACAAAAAGAGTGTTTCAAATCTGCTCTGTGTAAAGGGACGTTCCACTCTGTGAGTTGAATACACACAGCACAAAGAAGTTACTGAGAATTCTTCTGTCTAGCATGAAATGAAGAAATCCCGTTTCCAACGAAGGCCTCAATGCGGTCCATATATCCACTTGCAGACTTTACAAACAGAGTGTTTCCAAACTGCTCTATGAAAAGAAAGGTTAAACTATGTGAGTTGAACGCACACATCACAAAGAATTTTCTGAGAATGATTCTGTCTGGTTTTTATTTGAAGATATTTCCCTTTCTACTGTTGGCATCAAATGGCTAGAAATCTCCACTTGCAAATTCCGCAAAAAGAGTGTTTCAAATCTGCTCTGTCTAAAGGGACGTTCCACTCTGTGAGTTGAATGCACACAACACAAAGAATTTACTGAGAATTCTTCCGTCTAGCATTCAATGAAGAAATCCCGTTTCCAACGAAGGCCTCAAACAGGTCCATATATCCACTTGCAGACTTTACAAACAGTGTGTTTCCAAACTCCTCTATGAAAAGAAAGGTTAAACTCTGTGAGTGGAACGCACACATCACAAAGCACTTTCTGAGAATGATTCTGTCTGGTTTTTATTTGAAGATATTTCCCTTTCTACTGTTGGCATCAAATGGCTAGAAATCTCCACTTGCAAATTCCGCAAAAAGAGTGTTTCAAATCTGCTCTGTCTAAAGGGACGTTCCACTCTGTGAGTTGAATGCACACAACACAAAGAATTTACTGAGAATTCTTCCGTCTAGCATGCAATGAAGAAATCCCGTTTCCAACGAAGGCCTCAAACAGGTCCATATATCCAATTGCAGACTTTACAAACAGTGTGTTTCCAAACTCCTCTATGAAAAGAAAGGTTAAACTCTGTGAGTTGAACGCACACATCACAAAGCACTTTCTGAGAATGATTCTGTCTGGTTATTATACGAAGATATTTCCTTTTCTGCAATTGTCCTCAAATCGCTTGAAATCTCCACCTGAAAATGCCACAGCAAGAGTGTTTCAAATCTGCTCTCTCTAAAGCAAGGTTCAACTCTGTGAGTTGAATACACACAACACAAAAAAGTTACTGAGAACTCTTCTTAGTCTAGCATGAAAGGAAGAAACCCCGTTTGCAACGAAGGCCTCAAAGAGGTCCAAATATCCACTTGCAGACATAACAAGCAGAGTGTTTCTAAACTGCTCTAAGAAAAGAAAGGTTAAACTCTGTGAGTTGAAGGCACACATCACAAAGTAGTTTCTGAGAATGATTCTGTCTAGTTTTTATTTGAAGATATTTCCTTTTCTACTGTTGGCATCAAATCGCTTGAAATCTCCACTTGCAAATTCCACAAAAAGAGTGTTTCAAATCTGCTCTGTGTAAAGGGACGTTCCACTCTGTGAGTTGAATACACACAGCACAAAGAAGTTACTGAGAATTCTTCTGTCTAGCATGAAATGAAGAAATCCCGTTTCCAACGAAGGCCTCAATGCGGTCTATATATCCACTTGCAGACTTTACAAACAGAGTGTTTCCAAACTGCTCTATGAAAAGAAAGGTTAAACTATGTGAGTTGAACGCACACATCACAAAGAATTTTCTGAGAATGATTCTGTCTGGTTTTTATTTGAAGATATTTCCCTTTCTACTGTTGGCATCAAATGGCTAGAAATCTCCACTTGCAAATTCCGCAAAAAGAGTGTTTCAAATCTGCTCTGTCTAAAGGGACGTTCCACTCTGTCAGTTGAATGCACACAACGCAAAGAATTTACTGAGAATTCTTCCGTCTAGCATTCAATGAAGAAATCCCGTTTCCAACGAAGGCCTCAAACAGGTCCATATATCCAATTGCAGACTTTACAAACAGTGTGTTTCCAAACTCCTCTATGAAAAGAAAGGTTAAACTCTGTGAGTTGAACGCACACATCACAAAGCACTTTCTGAGAATGATTCTGTCTGGTTATTATACGAAGATATTTCCTTTTCTGCAATTGTCCTCAAATCGCTTGAAATCTCCACCTGAAAATTCCACAGCGAGAGTGTTTCAAATCTGCTCTCTCTAAAGCAAGGTTCAACTCTGTGAGTTGAATACACACAACACAAAAAAGTTACTGAGAACTCTTCTTAGTCTAGCATTAAAGGAAGAAACCCCGTTTGCAACGAAGGCCTCAAAGAGGTCCAAATATCCACTTGCAGACATAACAAGCAGAGTGTTTCTAAACTGCTCTAAGAAAAGAAAGGTTAAACTCTGTGAGTTGAAGGCACACATCACAAAGTAGTTTCTGAGAATGATTCTGTCTAGTTTTTATTTGAAGATATTTCCTTTTCTACTGTTGGCATCAAATCGGCTTGAAATCTCCACTTGCAAACTCCACAAAAAGAGTGTTTCAAATCTGCTCTGTGTAAAGGGACGTTCCACTCTGTGAGTTGAATACACACAGCACAAAGAAGTTACTGAGAATTCTTCTGTCTAGCATGAAATGAAGAAATCCCGTTTCCAACGAAGGCCTCAATGCGGTCCATATATCCACATGCAGACTTTACAAACAGAGTGTTTCCAAACTGCTCTATGAAAAGAAAGGTTAAACTATGTGAGTTGAACGCACACATCACAAAGAATTTTCTGAGAATGATTCTGTCTGGTTTTTATTTGAAGATATTTCCCTTTCTACTGTTGGCATCAAATGGCTAGAAATCTCCACTTGCAAATTCCGCAAAAAGAGTGTTTCAAATCTGCTCTGTCTAAAGGGACGTTCCACTCTGTGAGTTGAATGCACACAACACAAAGAATTTACTGAGAATTCTTCCGTCTAGCATTCAATGAAGAAATCCCGTTTCCAACGAAGGCCTCAAACAGGTCCATATATCCACTTGCAGACTTTACAAACAGTGTGTTTCCAAACTCCTCTATGAAAAGAAAGGTTAAACTCTGTGAGTGGAACGCACACATCACAAAGCACTTTCTGAGAATGATTCTGTCTGGTTATTATACGAAGATATTTCCTTTTCTGCAATTGTCCTCAAAACGCTTGAAATCTCCACCTGAAAATGCCACAGCAAGAGTGTTTCAAATCTGCTCTCTCTAAAGCAAGGTTCAACTCTGTGAGTTGAATACACACAACACAAAAAAGTTACTGAGAACTCTTCTTAGTCTAGCATGAAAGGAAGAAACCCCGTTTGCAACGAAGGCCTCAAAGAGGTCCAAATATCCACTTGCAGACATAACAAGCAGAGTGTTTCTAAACTGCTCTAAGAAAAGAAAGGTTAAACTCTGTGAGTTGAAGGCACACATCACAAAGTAGTTTCTGAGAATGATTCTGTCTAGTTTTTATTTGAAGATATTTCCTTTTCTACTGTTGGCATCAAATCGCTTGAAATCTCCACTTGCAAACTCCACAAAAAGAGTGTTTCAAATCTGCTCTGTGCAAAGGGACGTTCCACTCTGTGAGTTGAATACACACAGCACAAAGAAGTTACTGAGAATTCTTCTGTCTAGCATGAAATGAAGAAATCCCGTTTCCAACGAAGGCCTCAATGCGGTCCATATATCCACTTGCAGACTTTACAAACAGAGTGTTTCCAAACTGCTCTATGAAAAGAAAGGTTAAACTATGTGAGTTGAACGCACACATCACAAAGAATTTTCTGAGAATGATTCTGTCTGGTTTTTATTTGAAGATATTTCCCTTTCTACTGCTGGCATCAAATGGCTAGAAATCTCCACTTGCAAATTCCGCAAAAAGAGTGTTTCAAATCTGCTCTGTCTAAAGGGACGTTCCACTCTGTGAGTTGAATGCACACAACACAAAGAATTTACTGAGAATTCTTCCGTCTAGCATTCAATGAAGAAATCCCGTTTCCAACGAAGGTCTCAAACAGGTCCATATATCCACTTGCAGACTTTACAAACAGTGTGTTTCCAAACTCCTCTATGAAAAGAAAGGTTAAACTCTGTGAGTGGAACGCACACATCACAAAGCACTTTCTGAGAATGATTCTGTCTGGTTATTATACGAAGATATTTCCTTTTCTGCAATTGTCCTCAAATCGCTTGAAATCTCCACCTGAAAATGCCACAGCAAGAGTGTTTCAAATCTGCTCTCTCTAAAGCAAGGTTCAACTCTGTGAGTTGAATACACACAACACAAAAAAGTTACTGAGAACTCTTCTTAGTCTAGCATGAAAGGAAGAAACCCCGTTTGCAACGAAGGCCTCAAAGAGGTCCAAATATCCACTTGCAGACATAACAAGCAGAGTGTTTCTAAACTGCTCTAAGAAAAGAAAGGTTAAACTCTGTGAGTTGAAGGCACACATCACAAAGTAGTTTCTGAGAATGATTCTGTCTAGTTTTTATTTGAAGATATTTCCTTTTCTACTGTTGGCATCAAATCGCTTGAAATCTCCACTTGCAAATTCCACAAAAAGAGTGTTTCAAATCTGCTCTGTGCAAAGGGACGTTCCACTCTGTGAGTTGAATACACACAGCACAAAGAAGTTACTGAGAATTCTTCTGTCTAGCATGAAATGAAGAAATCCCGTTTCCAACGAAGGCCTCAATGCGGTCCATATATCCACTTGCAGACTTTACAAACAGAGTGTTTCCAAACTGCTCTATGAAAAGAAAGGTTAAACTATGTGAGTTGAACGCACACATCACAAAGAATTTTCTGAGAATGATTCTGTCTGGTTTTTATTTGAAGATATTTCCCTTTCTACTGTTGGCATCAAATGGCTAGAAATCTCCACTTGCAAATTCCGCAAAAAGAGTGTTTCAAATCTGCTCTGTCTAAAGGGACGTTCCACTCTGTCAGTTGAATGCACACAACACAAAGAATTTACTGAGAATTCTTCCGTCTAGCATTCAATGAAGAAATCCCGTTTCCAACGAAGGCCTCAAACAGGTCCATATATCCAATTGCAGACTTTACAAACAGTGTGTTTCCAAACTCCTCTATGAAAAGAAAGGTTAAACTCTGTGAGTGGAACGTACACATCACAAAGCACTTTCTGAGAATGATTCTGTCTGGTTGTTATACGAAGATATTTCCTTTTCTGCAATTGTCCTCAAATCGCTTGAAATCTCCACCTGAAAATGTCACAGCAAGAGTGTTTCAAATCTGCTCTCTCTAAAGCAAGGTTCAACTCTGTGAGTTGAATACACACAACACAGAAAAGTTACTGAGAACTCTTCTTAGTCTAGCATGAAAGGAAGAAACCCCGTTTGCAACGAAGGCCTCAAAGAGGTCCAAATATCCACTTGCAGACATAACAAGCAGAGTGTTTCTAAACTGCTCTAAGAAAAGAAAGGTTAAACTCTGTGAGTTGAAGGCACACATCACAAAGTAGTTTCTGAGAATGATTCTGTCTAGTTTTTATTTGAAGATATTTCCTTTTCTACTGTTGGCATCAAATCGCTTGAAATCTCCACTTGCAAACTCCACAAAAAGAGTGTTTCAAATCTGCTCTGTGTAAAAGGACGTTCCACTCTGTGAGTTGAATACACACAGCACAAAGAAGTTACTGAGAATTCTTCTGTCTAGCATGAAATGAAGAAATCCCGTTTCCAACGAAGGCCTCAATGCGGTCCATATATCCACTTGCAGACTTTACAAACAGAGTGTTTCCAAACTGCTCTATGAAAAGAAAGGTTAAACTATGTGAGTTGAACGCACACATCACAAAGAATTTTCTGAGAATGATTCTGTCTGGTTTTTATTTGAAGATATTTCCCTTTCTACTGTTGGCATCAAATGGCTAGAAATCTCCACTTGCAAATTCCGCAAAAAGAGTGTTTCAAATCTGCTCTGTCTAAAGGGACGTTCCACTCTGTCAGTTGAATGCACACAACACAAAGAATTTACTGAGAATTCTTCCGTCTAGCATTCAATGAAGAAATCCCGTTTCCAACGAAGGCCTCAAACAGGTCCATATATCCAATTGCAGACTTTACAAACAGTGTGTTTCCAAACTCCTCTATGAAAAGAAAGGTTAAACTCTGTGAGTTGAACGCACACATCACAAAGCACTTTCTGAGAATGATTCTGTCTGGTTATTATACGAAGATATTTCCTTTTCTGCAATTGTCCTCAAATCGCTTGAAATCTCCACCTGAAAATGCCACAGCAAGAGTGTTTCAAATCTGCTCTCTCTAAAGCAAGGTTCAACTCTGTGAGTTGAATACACACAACACAAAAAAGTTACTGAGAACTCTTCTTAGTCTAGCATGAAAGGAAGAAACCCCGTTTGCAACGAAGGCCTCAAAGAGGTCCAAATATCCACTTGCAGACATAACAAGCAGAGTGTTTCTAAACTGCTCTAAGAAAAGAAAGGTTAAACTCTGTGAGTTGAAGGCACACATCACAAAGTAGTTTCTGAGAATGATTCTGTCTAGTTTTTATTTGAAGATATTTCCTTTTCTACTGTTGGCATCAAATCGCTTGAAATCTCCACTTGCAAATTCCACAAAAAGAGTGTTTCAAATCTGCTCTGTGCAAAGGGACGTTCCACTCTGTGAGTTGAATACACACAGCACAAAGAAGTTGCTGAGAATTCTTCTGTCTAGCATGAAATGAAGAAATCCCGTTTCCAACGAAGGCCTCATTGCGGTCCATATATCCACTTGCAGACTTTACAAACAGAGTGTTTCCAAACTGCTCTATGAAAAGAAAGGTTAAACTATGTGAGTTGAACGCACACATCACAAAGAATTTTCTGAGAATGATTCTGTCTGGTTTTTATTTGAAGATATTTCCCTTTCTACTGTTGGCATCAAATGGCTAGAAATCTCCACTTGCAAATTCCGCAAAAAGAGTGTTTCAAATCTGCTCTGTCTAAAGGGACGTTCCACTCTGTGAGTTGAATGCACACAACACAAAGAATTTACTGAGAATTCTTCCGTCTAGCATTCAATGAAGAAATTCCGTTTCCAACGAAGGCCTCAAACAGGTCCATATATCCAATTGCAGACTTTACAAACAGTGTGTTTCCAAACTCCTCTATGAAAAGAAAGGTTAAACTCTGTGAGTGGAACGCACACATCACAAAGCACTTTCTGAGAATGATTCTGTCTGGTTGTTATACCGAAGATATTTCCTTTTCTGCAATTGTCCTCAAATCGCTTGAAATCTCCACCTGAAAATGCCACAGCAAGAGTGTTTCTAATCTGCTCTCTCTAAAGCAAGGTTCAACTCTGTGAGTTGAATACACACAACACAAAAAAGTTACTGAGAACTCTTCTTAGTCTAGCATTAAAGGAAGAAACCCCGTTTGCAACGAAGGCCTCAAAGAGGTCCAAATATCCACTTGCAGACATAACAAGCAGAGTGTTTCTAAACTGCTCTAAGAAAAGAAAGGTTAAACTCTGTGAGTTGAAGGCACACATCACAAAGTAGTTTCTGAGAATGATTCTGTCTAGTTTTTATTTGAAGATATTTCCTTTTCTACTGTTGGCATCAAATCGCTTGAAATCTCCACTTGCAAACTCCACAAAAAGAGTGTTTCAAATCTGCTCTGTGCAAAGGGACGTTCCACTCTGTGAGTTGAATACACACAGCACAAAGAAGTTACTGAGAATTCTTCTGTCTAGCATGAAATGAAGAAATCCCGTTTCCAACGAAGGCCTCAATGCGGTCCATATATCCACTTGCAGACTTTACAAACAGAGTGTTTCCAAACTGCTCTATGAAAAGAAAGGTTAAACTATGTGAGTTGAACGCACACATCACAAAGAATTTTCTGAGAATGATTCTGTCTGGTTTTTATTTGAAGATATTTCCCTTTCTACTGTTGGCATCAAATGGCTAGAAATCTCCACTTGCAAATTCCGCAAAAAGAGTGTTTCAAATCTGCTCTGTCTAAAGGGACGTTCCACTCTGTGAGTTGAATGCACACAACACAAAGAATTTACTGAGAATTCTTCCGTCTAGCATTCAATGAAGAAATCCCGTTTCCAACGAAGGCCTCAAACAGGTCCATATATCCACTTGCAGACTTTACAAACAGTGTGTTTCCAAACTCCTCTATGAAAAGAAAGGTTAAACTCTGTGAGTTGAACGCACACATCACAAAGCACTTTCTGAGAATGATTCTGTCTGGTTATTATACGAAGATATTTCCTTTTCTGCAATTGTCCTCAAATCGCTTGAAATCTCCACCTGAAAATGCCACAGCAAGAGTGTTTCAAATCTGCTCTCTCTAAAGCAAGGTTCAACTCTGTGAGTTGAATACACACAACACAAAAAAGTTACTGAGAACTCTTCTTAGTCTAGCATGAAAGGAAGAAACCCCGTTTGCAACGAAGGCCTCAAAGAGGTCCAAAAATCCACTTGCAGACATAACAAGCAGAGTGTTTCTAAACTGCTCTAAGAAAAGAAAGGTTAAACTCTGAGAGTTGAAGGCACACATCACAAAGTAGTTTCTGAGAATGATTCTGTCTAGTTTTTATTTGAAGATACTTCCTTTTCTACTGTTGGCATCAAATCGCTTGAAATCTCCACTTGCAATCTCCACAAAAAGAGTGTTTCAAATCCGCTCTGTGCAAAGGGACGTTCCACTCTGTGAGTTGAATACACACAGCACAAAGAAGTTACTGAGAATTCTTCTGTCTAGCATGAAATGAAGAAATCCCGTTTCCAACGAAGGCCTCAATGCGGTCCATATATCCACTTGCAGACTTTACAAACAGAGTGTTTCCAAACTGCTCTATGAAAAGAAAGGTTAAACTATGTGAGTTGAACGCACACATCACAAAGAATTTTCTGAGAATGATTCTGTCTGGTTTTTATTTGAAGATATTTCCCTTTCTACTGTTGGCATCAAATGGCTAGAAATCTCCACTGGCAAATTCCGCCAAAAAGTGTTTCAAATCTGCTCTGTCTAAAGGGACGTTCCACTCTGTGAGTTGAATGCACACAACACAAAGAATTTACTGAGAATTCTTCCGTCTAGCATTCAATGAAGAAATCCCGTTTCCAACGAAGGCCTCAAACAGGTCCATATATCCACTTGCAGACTTTACAAACAGTGTGTTTCCAAACTCCTCTATGAAAAGAAAGGTTAAACTCTGTGAGTTGAACGCACACATCACAAAGCACTTTCTGAGAATGATTCTGTCTGGTTATTATACGAAGATATTTCCTTTTCTGCAATTGTCCTCAAATCGCTTGAAATCTCCACCTGAAAATGCCACAGCAAGAGTGTTTCAAATCTGCTCTCTCTAAAGCAAGGTTCAACTCTGTGAGTTGAATACACACAACACAAAAAAGTTACTGAGAACTCTTCTTAGTCTAGCAGTAAAGGAAGAAACGCCGTTTGCAACGAAGGCCTCAAAGAGGTCCAAATATCCACTTGCAGACATAACAAGCAGAGTGTTTCTAAACTGCTCTAAGAAAAGAAAGGTTAAACTCTGTGAGTTGAAGGCACACATCACAAAGTAGTTTCTGAGAATGATTCTGTCTAGTTTTTATTTGAAGATATTTCCTTTTCTACTGTTGGCATCAAATCGCTTGAAATCTCCACTTGCAAACTCCACAAAAAGAGTGTTTTAAATCTGCTCTGTGCAAAGGGACGTTCCACTCTGTGAGTTGAATACACACAGCACAAAGAAGTTACTGAGAATTCTTCTGTCTAGCATGAAATGAAGAAATCCCGTTTCCAACGAAGGCCTCAATGCGGTCCATATATCCACTTGCAGACTTTACAAACAGAGTGTTTCCAAACTGCTCTATGAAAAGAAAGGTTAAACTATGTGAGTTGAACGCACACATCACAAAGAATTTTCTGAGAATGATTCTGCCTGGTTTTTATTTGAAGATATTTCCCTTTCTACTGTTGGCATCAAATGGCTAGAAATCTCCACTTGCAAATTCCGCAAAAAGAGTGTTTCAAATCTGCTCTGTCTAAAGGGACGTTCCACTCTGTGAGTTGAATGCACACAACACAAAGAATTTACTGAGAATTCTTCCGTCTAGCATTCAATGAAGAAATCCCGTTTCCAACGAAGGCCTCAAACAGGTCCATATATCCACTTGCAGACTTTACAAACAGTGTGTTTCCAAACTCCTCTATGAAAAGAAAGGTTAAACTCTGTGAGTGGAACGCACACATCACAAAGCACTTTCTGAGAATGATTCTGTCTGGTTATTATACGAAGATATTTCCTTTTCTGCAATTGTCCTCAAATCGCTTGAAATCTCCACCTGAAAATGCCACAGCAAGAGTGTTTCAAATCTGCTCTCTCTAAAGCAAGGTTCAACTCTGTGAGTTGAATACACACAACACAAAAAAGTTACTGAGAACTCTTCTTAGTCTAGCATGAAAGGAAGAAACCCCGTTTGCAACGAAGGCCTCAAAGAGGTCCAAATATCCACTTGCAGACATAACAAGCAGAGTGTTTCTAAACTGCTCTAAGAAAAGAAAGGTAAAACTCTGTGAGTTGAAGGCACACATCACAAAGTAGTTTCTGAGAATGATTCTGTCTAGTTTTTATTTGAAGATATTTCCTTTTCTACTGTTGGCATCAAATCGCTTGAAATCTCCACTTGCAAACTCCACAAAAAGAGTGTTTCAAATCTGCTCTGTGCAAAGGGACGTTCCACTCTGTGAGTTGAATACACACAGCACAAAGAAGTTACTGAGAATTCTTCTGTCTAGCATGAAATGAAGAAATCCCGTTTCCAACGAAGGCCTCAATGCGGTCCATATATCCACTTGCAGACTTTACAAACAGAGTGTTTCCAAACTGCTCTATGAAAAGAAAGGTTAAACTATGTGAGTTGAACGCACACATCACAAAGAATTTTCTGAGAATGATTCTGTCTGGTTTTTATTTGAAGATATTTCCCTTTCTACTGTTGGCATCAAATGGCTAGAAATCTCCACTTGCAAATTCCGCAAAAAGAGTGTTTCAAATCTGCTCTGTCTAAAGGGACGTTCCACTCTGTGAGTTGAATGCACACAACACAAAGAATTTACTGAGAATTCTTTCCGTCTAGCATTCAATGAAGAAATCCCGTTTCCAACGAAGGCCTCAAACAGGTCCATATATCCAATTGCAGACGTTACAAACAGTGTGTTTCCAAACTCCTCTATGAAAAGAAAGGTTAAACTCTGTGAGTTGAACGCACACATCACAAAGCACTTTCTGAGAATGATTCTGTCTGGTTATTATACGAAGATATTTCCTTTTCTGCAATTGTCCTCAAATCGCTTGAAATCTCCACCTGAAAATGCCACAGCAAGAGTGTTTCAAATCTGCTCTCTCTAAAGCAAGGTTCAACTCTGTGAGTTGAATACACACAACACAAAAAAGTTACTGAGAACTCTTCTTAGTCTAGCATGAAAGGAAGAAACCCCGTTTGCAACGAAGGCCTCAAAGAGGTCCAAATATCCACTTGCAGACATAACAAGCAGAGTGTTTCTAAACTGCTCTAAGAAAAGAAAGGTTAAACTCTGTGAGTTGAAGGCACACATCACAAAGTAGTTTCTGAGAATGATTCTGTCTAGTTTTTATTTGAAGATATTTCCTTTTCTACGGTTGGCATCAAATCGCTTGAAATCTCCACTTGCAAACTCCACAAAAAGAGTGTTTCAAATCTGCTCTGTGTAAAGGGACGTTCCACTCTGTGAGTTGAATACACACAGCACAAAGAAGTTACTGAGTATTCTTCTGTCTAGCATGAAATGAAGAAATCCCGTTTCCAACGAAGGCCTCAATGCGGTCCATATATCCACTTGCAGACTTTACAAACAGAGTGTTTCCAAACTGCTCTATGAAAAGAAAGGTTAAACTATGTGAGTTGAACGCACACATCACAAATAATTTTCTGAGAATGATTCTGTCTGGTTTTTATTTGAAGATATTTCCCTTTCTACTGTTGGCATCAAATGGCTAGAAATCTCCACTTGCAAATTCCGCAAAAAGAGTGTTTCAAATCTGCTCTGTCTAAAGGGACGTTCCACTCTGTGAGTTGAATGCACACAACACAAAGAATTTACTGAGAATTCTTCCGTCTAGCATTCAATGAAGAAATCCCGTTTCCAACGAAGGCCTCAAACAGGTCCATATATCCACTTGCAGACTTTACAAACAGTGTGTTTCCAAACTCCTCTATGAAAAGAAAGGTTAAACTCTGTGAGTGGAACGCACACATCACAAAGCACTTTCTGAGAATGATTTTGTCTGGTTATTATACGAAGATATTTCCTTTTCTGCAATTGTCCTCAAATCGCTTGAAATCTCCACCTGAAAATGCCACAGCAAGAGTGTTTCAAATCTGCTCTCTCTAAAGCAAGGTTCAACTCTGTGAGTTGAATACACACAACACAAAAAAGTTACTGAGAACTCTTCTTAGTCTAGCATGAAAGGAAGAAACCCCGTTTGCAACGAAGGCCTCAAAGAGGTCCAAATACCCACTTGCAGACATAACAAGCAGAGTGTTTCTAAACTGCTCTAAGAAAAGAAAGGTTAAACTCTGTGAGTTGAAGGCACACATCACAAAGTAGTTTCTGAGAATGATTCTGTCTAGTTTTTATTTGAAGATATTTCCTTTTCTACTGTTGGCATCAAATCGCTTGAAATCTCCACTTGCAAATTCCACAAAAAGAGTGTTTCAAATCTGCTCTGTGCAAAGGGACGTTCCACTCTGTGAGTTGAATACACACAGCACAAAGAAGTTACTGAGAATTCTTCTGTCTAGCATGAAATGAAGAAATCCCGTTTCCAACGAAGGCCTCAATGCGGTCCATATATCCACTTGCAGACTTTACAAACAGAGTGTTTCCAAACTGCTCTATGAAAAGAAAGGTTAAACTATGTGAGTTGAACGCACACATCACAAAGAATTTTCTGAGAATGATTCTGTCTGGTTTTTATTTGAAGATGTTTCCCTTTCTACTGTTGGCATCAAATGGCTAGAAATCTCCACTTGCAAATTCCGCAAAAAGAGTGTTTCAAATCTGCTCTGTCTAAAGGGACGTTCCACTCTGTCAGTTGAATGCACACAACACAAAGAATTTACTGAGAATTCTTCCGTCTAGCATTCAATGAAGAAATGCCGTTTCCAACGAAGGCCTCAAACAGGTCCATATATCCACTTGCAGACTTTACAAACAGTGTGTTTCCAAACTCCTCTATGAAAAGAAAGGTTCAACTCTGTGAGTTGAACCGAACACATCACAAAGCACTTTCTGAGAATGATTCTGTCTGGTTATTATACGGAAGATATTTCCTTTTCTGCAATTGTCCTCAAATCGCTTGAAATCTCCACCTGAAAATGCCACAGCAAGAGTGTTTCAAATCTGCTCTCTCTAAAGCAAGGTTCAACTCTGTGAGTTGAATACACACAACACAAAAAAGTTACTGAGAACTCTTCTTAGTCTAGCATGAAAGGAAGAAACCCCGTTTGCAACGAAGGCCTCAAAGAGGTCCAAATATCCACTTGCAGACATAACAAGCAGAGTGTTTCTAAACTGCTCTAAGAAAAGAAAGGTTAAACTCTGTGAGTTGAAGGCACACATCACAAAGTAGTTTCTGAGAATGATTCTGTCTAGTTTTTATTTGAAGATATTTCCTTTTCTACGGTTGGCATCAAATCGCTTGAAATCTCCACTTGCAAACTCCACAAAAAGAGTGTTTCAAATCTGCTCTGTGTAAAGGGACGTTCCACTCTGTGAGTTGAATACACACAGCACAAAGAAGTTACTGAGTATTCTTCTGTCTAGCATGAAATGAAGAAATCCCGTTTCCAACGAAGGCCTCAATGCGGTCCATATATCCACTTGCAGACTTTACAAACAGAGTGTTTCCAAACTGCTCTATGAAAAGAAAGGTTAAACTATGTGAGTTGAACGCACACATCACAAAGAATTTTCTGAGAATGATTCTGTCTGGTTTTTATTTGAAGATATTTCCCTTTCTACTGTTGGCATCAAATGGCTAGAAATCTCCACTTGCAAATTCCGCAAAAAGAGTGTTTCAAATCTGCTCTGTCTAAAGGGACGTTCCACTCTGTGAGTTGAATGCACACAACACAAAGAATTTCCTGAGAATTCTTCCGTCTAGCATTCAATGAAGAAATCCCGTTTCCAACGAAGGCCTCAAAGAGGTCCATATATCCACTTGCAGACTTTACAAACAGTGTGTTTCCAAACTCCTCTATGAAAAGAAAGGTTAAACTCTGTGAGTTGAACGCACACATCACAAAGCACTTTCTGAGAATGATTCTGTCTGGTTATTATACGAAGATATTTCCTTTTCTGCAATTGTCCTCAAATCGCTTGAAATCTCCACCTGAAAATGCCACAGCAAGAGTGTTTCAAATCTGCTCTCTCTAAAGCAAGGTTCAACTCTGTCAGTTGAATACACACAACACAAAAAAGTTACTGAGAACTCTTCTTAGTCTAGCATGAAAGGAAGAAACCCCGTTTGCAACGAAGGCCTCAAAGAGGTCCAAATATCCACTTGCAGACATAACAAGCAGAGTGTTTCTAAACTGCTCTATGAAAAGAAAGGTTAAACTCTGTGAGTTGAAAGCACACATCACAAAGTAGTTTCTGAGAATGATTCTGTCTAGTTTTTATTTGAAGATATTTCCTTTTCTACTGTTGGCATCAAATCGCTTGAAATCTCCACTTGCAAACTCCACAAAAAGAGTGTTTCAAATCTGCTCTGTGTAAAGGGACGTTCCACTCTGTGAGTTGAATACACACAGCACAAAGAAGTTACTGAGAATTCTTCTGTCTAGCATGAAATGAAGAAATCCCGTTTCCAACGAAGGCCTCAATGCGGTCCATATATCCACTTGCAGACTTTACAAACAGAGTGTTTCCAAACTGCTCTATGAAAAGAAAGGTTAAACTATGTGAGTTGAACGCACACATCACAAAGAATTTTCTGAGAATGATTCTGTCTGGTTTTTATTTGAAGATATTTCCCTTTCTACTGTTGGCATCAAATGGCTAGAAATCTCCACTTGCAAATTCCGCAAAAAGAGTGTTTCAAATCTGCTCTGTCTAAAGGGACGTTCCACTCTGTGAGTTGAATGCACACAACACAAAGAATTTACTGAGAATTCTTCCGTCTAGAATTCAATGAAGAAATCCCGTTTCCAACGAAGGCCTCAAACAGGTCCATATATCCAATTGCAGACTTTACAAACAGTGTGTTTCCAAACTCCTCTATGAAAAGAAAGGTTAAACTCTGTGAGTTGAACGCACACATCACAAAGCACTTTCTGAGAATGATTCTGTCTGGTTATTATACGAAGATATTTCCTTTTCTGCAATTGTCCTCAAATCGCTTGAAATCTCCACCTGAAAATTCCACAGCGAGAGTGTTTCAAATCTGCTCTCTCTAAAGCAAGGTTCAACTCTGTGAGTTGAATACACACAACACAAAAAAGTTACTGAGAACTCTTCTTAGTCTAGCATTAAAGGAAGAAACCCCGTTTGCAACGAAGGCCTCAAAGAGGTCCAAATATCCACTTGCAGACATAACAAGCAGAGTGTTTCTAAACTGCTCTAAGAAAAGAAAGATTAAACTCTGTGAGTTGAAGGCACACATCACAAAGTAGTTTCTGAGAATGATTCTGTCTAGTTTTTATTTGAAGATATTTCCTTTTCTACTGTTGGCATCAAATCGCTTGAAATCTCCACTTGCAAACTCCACAAAAAGAGTGTTTCAAATCTGCTCTGTGCAATGGGACGTTCCACTCTGTGAGTTGAATACACACAGCACAAAGAAGTTACTGAGAATTCTTCTGTCTAGCATGAAATGAAGAAATCCCGTTTCCAACGAAGGCCTCAATGCGGTCCATATATCCACTTGCAGACTTTACAAACAGAGTGTTTCCAAACTGCTCTATGAAAAGAAAGGTTAAACTATGTGAGTTGAACGCACACATCACAAAGAATTTTCTGAGAATGATTCTGTCTGGTTTTTATTTGAAGATATTTCCCTTTCTACTGTTGGCATCAAATGGCTAGAAATCTCCACTTGCAAATTCCGCAAAAAGAGTGTTTCAAATCTGCTCTGTCTAAAGGGACGTTCCACTCTGTGAGTTGAATGCACACAACACAAAGAATTTACTGAGATTTCTTCCGTCTGGCATTCAATGAAGAAATCCCGTTTCCAACGGAAGCCTCAAACAGGTCCATATATCCACTTGCAGACTTTACAAACAGTGTGTTTCCAAGCTCCTCTATGAAAAGAAAGGTTAAACTCTGTGAGTTGAACGCACACATCACAAAGCACTTTCTGAGAATGATTCTGTCTGGTTATTATACGAAGATATTTCCTTTTCTGCAATTGTCCTCAAATCGCTTGAAATCTCCACCTGAAAATTCCACAGCAAGAGTGTTTCAAATCTGCTCTCTCTAAAGCAAGGTTCAACTCTGTGAGTTGAATACACACAACACAAAAAAGTTACTGAGAACTCTTCTTAGTCTAGCATGAAAGGAAGAAACCCCGTTTGCAACGAAGGCCTCAAAGAGGTCCAAATATCCACTTGCAGACATAACAAGCAGAGTGTTTCTAAACTGCTCTAAGAAAAGAAAGGTTAAACTCTGTGAGTTGAAGGCACACATCACAAAGTAGTTTCTGAGAATGATTCTGTCTAGTTTTTATTTGAAGATATTTCCTTTTCTACTGTTGGCATCAAATCGCTTGAAATCTCCAATTGCAAACTCCACAAAAAGAGTGTTTCAAATCTGCTCTGTGCAAAGGGACGTTCCACTCTGTGAGTTGAATACACACAGCACAAAGAAGTCACTGAGAATTCTTCTGTCTAGCATGAAATGAAGAAATCCCGTTTCCAACGAAGGCCTCAATGCGGTCCATATATCCACTTGCAGACTTTACAAACAGAGTGTTTCCAAACTGCTCTATGAAAAGAAAGGTTAAACTATGTGAGTTGAACGCACACATCACAAAGAATTTTCTGAGAATGATTCTGTCTGGTTTTTATTTGAAGATATTTCCCTTTCTACTGTTGGCATCAAATAGCTAGAAATCTCCACTTGCAAATTCCGCAAAAAGAGTGTTTCAAATCTGCTCTGTCTAAAGGGACGTTCCACTCTGTGAGTTGAATGCACACAACACAAAGAATTTACTGAGAATTCTTCCGTCTAGCATTCAATGAAGAAATCCCGTTTCCAACGAAGGCCTCAAACAGGTCCATATATCCACTTGCAGACTTTACAAACATTGTGTTTCCAAACTCCTCTATGAAAAGAAAGGTTAAACTCTGTGAGTTGAACGCACACATCACAAAGCACTTTCTGAGAATGATTCTGTCTGGTTATTATACGAAGATATTTCCTTTTCTGCAATTGTCCTCAAATCGCTTGAAATCTCCACCTGAAAATGCCACAGCAAGAGTGTTTCAAATCTGCTCTCTCTAAAGCAAGGTTCAACTCTGTGAGTTGAATACACACAACACAAAAAAGTTACTGAGAACTCTTCTTAGTCTAGCATGAAAGGAAGAAACCCCGTTTGCAACGAAGGCCTCAAAGAGGTCCAAATATCCACTTGCAGACATAACAAGCAGAGTGTTTCTAAACTGCTCTAAGAAAAGAAAGGTTAAACTCTGTGAGTTGAAGGCACACATCACAAAGTAGTTTCTGAGAATGATTCTGTCTAGTTTTTATTTGAAGATATTTCCTTTTCTACTGTTGGCATCAAATCGCTTGAAATCTCCACTTGCAAACTCCACAAAAAGAGTGTTTCAAATCTGCTCTGTGCAAAGGGACGTTCCACTCTGTGAGTTGAATACACACAGCACAAAGAAGTTACTGAGAATTCTTCTGTCTAGCATGAAATGAAGAAATCCCGTTTCCAACGAAGGCCTCAATGCGGTCCATATATCCACTTGCAGACTTTACAAACAGAGTGTTTCCAAACTGCTCTATGAAAAGAAAGGTTAAACTATGTGAGTTGAACGCACACATCACAAAGAATTTTCTGAGAATGATTCTGTCTGGTTTTTATTTGAAGATATTTCCCTTTCTACTGTTGGCATCAAATGGCTAGAAATCTCCACTTGCAAATTCCGCAAAAAGAGTGTTTCAAATCTGCTCTGTCTAAAGGGACGTTCCACTCTGTGAGTTGAATGCACACAACACAAAGAATTTACTGAGAATTCTTCCGTCTAGCATTCAATGAAGAAATCCCGTTTCCAACGAAGGCCTCAAACAGGTCCATATATCCAATTGCAGACTTTACAAACAGTGTGTTTCCAAACTCCTCTATGAAAAGAAAGGTTAAACTCTGTGAGTTGAACGCACACATCACAAAGCACTTTCTGAGAATGATTCTGTCTGGTTATTATACGAAGATATTTCCTTTTCTGCAATTGTCCTCAAATCGCTTGAAATCTCCACCTGAAAATGCCACAGCAAGAGTATTTCAAATCTGCTCTCTCTAAAGCAAGGTTCAACTCTGTGAGTTGAATACACACAACACAAAAAAGTTACTGAGAACTCTTCTTAGTCTAGCATGAAAGGAAGAAACCCCGTTTGCAACGAAGGCCTCAAAGAGGTCCAAATATCCACTTGCAGACATAACAAGCAGAGTGTTTCTAAACTGCTCTAAGAAAAGAAAGGTTAAACTCTGTGAGTTGAAGGCACACATCACAAAGTAGTTTCTGAGAATGATTCTGTCTAGTTTTTATTTGAAGATACTTCCTTTTCTACTGTTGGCATCAAATCGCTTGAAATCTCCTCTTGCAAACTCCACAAAAAGAGTGTTTCAAATCTGCTCTGTGCAAAGGGACGTTCCACTCTGTGAGTTGAATACACACAGCACAAAGAAGTTACTGAGAATTCTTCTGTCTAGCATGAAATGAAGAAATCCCGTTTCCAACGAAGGCCTCAATGCGGTCCATATATCCACTTGCAGACTTTACAAACAGAGTGTTTCCAAACTGCTCTATGAAAAGAAAGGTTAAACTATGTGAGTTGAACGCACACATCACAAACAATTTTCTGAGAATGATTCTGTCTGGTTTTTATTTGAAGATATTTCCCTTTCTACTGTTGGCATCAAATGGCTAGAAATCTCCACTTGCAAATTCCGCAAAAAGAGTGTTTCAAATCTGCTCTGTCTAAAGGGACGTTCCACTCTGTCAGTTGAATGCACACAACACAAAGAATTTACTGAGAATTCTTCCGTCTAGCATTCAATGAAGAAATCCCGTTTCCAACGAAGGCCTCAAACAGGTCCATATATCCAATTGCAGACTTTACAAACAGTGTGTTTCCAAACTCCTCAATGAAAAGAAAGGTTAAACTCTGTGAGTTGAACGCACACATCACAAAGCACTTTCTGAGAATGATTCTGTCTGGTTGTTATACGAAGATATTTCCTTTTCTGCAATTGTCCTCAAATCGCTTGAAATCTCCACCTGAAAATGCCACAGCAAGAGTGTTTCAAATCTGCTCTCTCTAAAGCAAGGTTCAACTCTGTGAGTTGAATACACACAACACAAAATGTTACTGAGAACTCTTCTTAGTCTAGCATGAAAGGAAGAAACCCCGTTTGCAACGAAGGCCTCAAAGAGGTCCAAATATCCACTTGCAGACATAACAAGCAGAGTGTTTCTAAACTGCTCTAAGAAAAGAAAGGTTAAACTCTGTGAGTTGAAGGCACACATCACAAAGTAGTTTCTGAGAATGATTCTGTCTAGTTTTTATTTGAAGATATTTCCTTTTCTACTGCTGGCATCAAATCGCTTGAAATCTCCACTTGCAAACTCCACAAAAAGAGTGTTTCAAATCTGCTCTGTGTAAAGGGACGTTCCATTCTGTGAGTTGAATACACACAGCACAAAGAAGTTACTGAGAATTCTTCTGTCTCGCATGAAATGAAGAAATCCCGTTTCCAACGAAGGCCTCAATGCGGTCCATATATCCACTTGCAGACTTTACAAACAGAGTGTTTCCAAACTGCTCTATGAAAAGAAAGGTTAAACTATGTGAGTTGAACGCACACATCACAAAGAATTTTCTGAGAATGATTCTGTCTGGTTTTTATTTGAAGATATTTCACTTTCTACTGTTGGAATCAAATGGCTAGAAATCTCCACTTGCAAATTCCGCAAAAAGAGTGTTTCAAATCTGCTCTGTCTAAAGGGACGTTCCACTCTGTCAGTTGAATGCACACAACACAAAGAATTTACTGAGAATTCTTCCGTCTAGCATTCAATGAAGAAATCCCGTTTCCAACGAAGGCCTCAAACAGGTCCATATATCCACTTGCAGAGTTTACACACAGTGTGTTTCCAAACTCCTCTATGAAAAGAAAGGTTAAACTCTGTGAGTGGAACGCACACATCACAAAGCACTTTCTGAGAATGATTCTGTCTGGTTATTATACGAAGATATTTCCTTTTCTGCAATTATCCTCAAATCGCTTGAAATCTCCACCTGAAAATGCCACAGCAAGAGTGTTTCAAATCTGCTCTCTCTAAAGCAAGGTTCAACTCTGTGAGTTGAATACACACAACACAAAAAAGTTACTGAGAACTCTTCTTAGTCTAGCATGAAAGGAAGAAACCCCGTTTGCAACGAAGGCCTCAAAGAGGTCCAAATATCCACTTGCAGACATAACAAGCAGAGTGTTTCTAAACTGCTCTAAGAAAAGAAAGGTTAAACTCTGTGAGTTGAAGGCACACATCACAAAGTAGTTTCTGAGAATGATTCTGTCTAGTTTTTATTTGAAGATATTTCCTTTTCTACTGTTGGCATCAAATCGCTTGAAATCTCCACTTGCAAACTCCACAAAAAGAGTGTTTCAAATCTGCTCTGTGTAAAGGGACGTTCCACTCTGTGAGTTGAATACACACAGCACAAAGAAGTTACTGAGAATTCTTCTGTCTAGCATGAAATGAAGAAATCCCGTTTCCAACGAAGGCCTCAATGCGGTCCATATATCCACTTGCAGACTTTACAAACAGAGTGTTTCCAAACTGCTCTATGAATAGAAAGGTTAAACTATGTGAGTTGAACGCACACATCACAAAGAATTTTCTGAGAATGATTCTGTCTGGTTTTTATTTGAAGATATTTCCCTTTCTACTGTTGGCATCAAATGGCTAGAAATCTCCACTTGCAAATTCCGCAAAAAGAGTGTTTCAAATCTGCTCTGTCTAAAGGGACGTTCCACTCTGTGAGTTGAATGCACACAACACAAAGAATTTACTGAGAATTCTTCCGTCTAGCATTCAATGAAGAAATCCCGTTTCCAACGAAGGCCTCAAACAGGTCCATATATCCACTTGCAGAGTTTACAAACAGTGTGTTTCCAAACTCCTCTATGAAAAGAAAGGTTAAACTCTGTGAGTGGAACGCACACATCACAAAGCACTTTCTGAGAATGATTCTGTCTGGTTATTATACGAAGATATTTCCTTTTCTGCAATTGTCCTCAAAACGCTTGAAATCTCCGCCTGAAAATGCCACAGCAAGAGTGTTTCAAATCTGCTCTCTCTAAAGCAAGGTTCAACTCTGTGAGTTGAATACACACAACACAAAAAAGTTACTGAGAACTCTTCTTAGTCTAGCATTAAAGGAAGAAACCCCGTTTGCAACGAAGGCCTCAAAGAGGTCCAAATATCCACTTGCAGACATAACAAGCAGAGTGTTTCTAAACTGCTCTAAGAAAAGAAAGGTTAAACTCTGTGAGTTGAAGGCACACATCACAAAGTAGTTTCTGAGAATGATTCTGTCTAGTTTTTATTTGAAGATATTTCCTTTCCTACTGTTGGCATCAAATCGCTTGAAATCTCCACTTGCAAACTCCACAAAAAGAGTGTTTCAAATCTGCTCTGTGCAAAGGGACGTTCCACTCTGTGAGTTGAATACACACAGCACAAAGAAGTTACTGAGAATTCTTCTGTCTAGCATGAAATGAAGAAATCCCGTTTCCAACGAAGGCCTCAATGCGGTCCATATATCCACTTGCAGACTTTACAAACAGAGTGTTTCCAAACTGCTCTATGAAAAGAAAGGTTAAACTATGTGAGTTGAACGCACACATCACAAAGAATTTTCTGAGAATGATTCTGTCTGGTTTTTATTTGAAGATATTTCCCTTTCTACTGTTGGCATCAAATGGCTAGAAATCTCCACTTGCAAATTCCGCAAAAAGAGTGTTTCAAATCTGCTCTGTCTAAAGGGACGTTCCACTCTGTGAGTTGAATGCACACAACACAAAGAATTTACTGAGAATTCTTCCGTCTAGCATTCAATGAAGAAATCCCGTTTCCAACGAAGGCCTCAAACAGGTCCATATATCCACTTGCAGACTTTACAAACAGTGTGTTTCCAAACTCCTCTATGAAAAGAAAGGTTAAACTCTGTGAGTTGAACGCACACATCACAAAGCACTTTCTGAGAATGATTCTGTCTGGTTATTATACGAAGATATTTCCTTTTCTGCAATTGTCCTCAAATCGCTTGAAATCTCCACCTGAAAATGCCACAGCGAGAGTGTTTCAAATCTGCTCTCTCTAAAGCAAGGTTCAACTCTGTGAGGTGAATACACACAACACAAAAAAGTTAATGAGAACTCTTCTTAGTCTAGCATGAAAGGAAGAAACCCCGTTTGCAACGAAGGCCTCAAAGAGGTCCAAATATCCACTTGCAGACATAACAAGCAGAGTGTTTCTAAACTGCTCTAAGAAAAGAAAGGTTAAACTCTGTGAGTTGAAGGCACACATCACAAAGTAGTTTCTGAGAATGATTCTGTCTAGTTTTTATTTGAAGATATTTCCTTTTCTACTGTTGGCATCAAATCGCTTGAAATCTCCACTTGCAAACTCCACAAAAAGAGTGTTTCAAATCTGCTCTGTGTAAAGGGACATTCCACTCTGTGAGTTGAATACACACAGCACAAAGAAGTTACTGAGAATTCTTCTGTCTAGCATGAAATGAAGAAATCCCGTTTCCAACGAAGGCCTCAATGCGGTCCATATATCCACTTGCAGACTTTACAAACAGAGTGTTTCCAAACTGCTCTATGAAAAGAAAGGTTAAACTATGTGAGTTGAACGCACACATCACAAAGAATTTTCTGAGAACGATTCTGTCTGGTTTTTATTTGAAGATATTTCCCTTTCTACTGTTGGCATCAAATGGCTAGAAATCTCCACTTGCAAATTCCGCAAAAAGAGTGTTTCAAATCTGCTCTGTCTAAAGGGACGTCCACTCTGTGAGTTGAATGCACACAACACAAAGAATTTACTGAGAATTCTTCCGTCTAGCATTCAATGAAGAAATCCCGTTTCCAACGAAGGCCTCAAACAGGTCCATATATCCACTTGCAGACTTTACAAACAGTGTGTTTCCAAACTCCTCTATGAAAAGAAAGGTTAAACTCTGTGAGTTGAACGCACACATCACAAAGCACTTTCTGAGAATGATTCTGTCTGGTTATTATACGAAGATATTTCCTTTTCTGCAATTGTCCTCAAATCGCTTGAAATCTCCACCTGAAAATGCCACAGCAAGAGTGTTTCAAATCTGCTCTCTCTAAAGCAAGGTTCAACTCTGTGAGTTGAATACACACAACACAAAAAAGTTACTGAGAACTCTTCTTAGTCTAGCATGAAAGGAAGAAACCCCGTTTGCAACGAAGGCCTCAAAGAGGTCCAAATATCCACTTGCAGACATAACAAGCAGAGTGTTTCTAAACTGCTCTAAGAAAAGAAAGGTTAAACTCTGTGAGTTGAAGGCACACATCACAAAGTAGTTTCTGAGAATGATTCTGTCTAGTTTTTATTTGAAGATATCTCCTTTTCTACTGTTGGCATCAAATCGCTTGAAATCTCCACTTGCAAATTCCACAAAAAGAGTGTTTCAAATCTGCTCTGTGTAAAGGGACGTTCCCACTCTGTGAGTTGAATACACACAGCACAAAGAAGTTACTGAGAATTCTTCCGTCTAGCATTATATGAAAAAATCTCTTTTCCAACAAAGGCCTCAAACACGTCCAAATATCCACGTGCAGACTTTACAAACAGTGTGTTTCAAAACTGCTATATGAACATAAAGGTTAAGCTCTGTGAGTTGAACGCACGCATCACAAAGCACTTTCTGAGAATGATTCTGTCTGGTTTTTATACGAAGATATTTCCTTTTCTGCAATTGTCCTCAAATCGCTTGAAATCTCCACCTGAAAATGCCACAGCAAGAGTGTTTCAAATCTGCTCTCTCTAAAGCAAGGTTCAACACTGTGAGTTGAATACACACAACACAAAGAAGTTACTGAGAACTCTTCTTAGGCTAGCATTAAATGAAGAAATCCCGTTTGCAACGAAGGCCTCAAAGAGGTCCAAATATCCATTTGGAGACATAACAAGCAGAGTGTTTCTAAACTGCTATAAGAAAGGAAAGGTTAAACTCTGTGAGTTGAAGGCACACATCACAAAGTAATTTCTGAGAATGATTCTGTGTAGTTTTTATTTGACGATATTACCTTTTCTACTGTTGGCATCAAATCGCTTGAAATCTCCACTTGCAAATTCCACAAAAAGACTTTTTCCATATGCTCTGTGTAAAGGGATGTTCCACTCTGTGAGTTGAATACACACAACACAAAGAAGTTACTGAGAATTCTTCTGTCTAGCATGAAATGAAGAAATCCCGTTTCCAAAGAAGGCCTCAAAGCGATCCATATATCCACTTGCAGACATTTCAAACAGAGTGTTTCCAAACTGCTCTATGAAAGGAAAGGTAAAACTATGTGAGTTGAACGCACACATCACAAAGAATTTTCTGAGAATGATTCTGTCTGGTTTTTATTTGAAGATATTTCCCTTTCTAATGTTGGCATCAAATGGCTTGAAATCTCCACTTGCAAATTCCGCAAAAAGAGTGTTTCAAATCTGCTCTGTCTAAAGGGACGTTCCACTCTGTGAGTTGAATGCACACAACACCAAGAATTTACTGAGAATTCTTCGGTCTAGCATTAAATGAAGAAATCCCGTTTCCAACGAATGCCTCAAAGCAGTCCACATATCCACTTGCAGATTTTACCAACAGTGTGTTTCCAAACTGCTCTATGAAAAGAGAGGTTAAACTATGTGAGCTGAACGCACACATCACAAAGAATTTTCTGAGAATGATTCTGTCTGGTTTTTATTTGAAGATATTTCCCTTTCTACTGTTGGCATCAAATGGCTAGAAATCTCCACTTGCAAATTCCGCAAAAAGAGTGTTTCAAATCTGCTCTGTCTAAAGGCACGTTCCACTCTGTGAGTTGAATGCACACAACACAAAGAATTTACTGAGATTTCTTCCGTCTAGCATTCAATGAAGAAATCCCGTTTCCAACAAAGGCCTCAAACAGGTCCATATATCCACTTGCAGAGTTTACAAACAGTGTGTTTCCAAACTCCTCTATGAAAAGAAAGGTTAAACTCTGTGAGTGGAACGCACACATCACAAAGCACTTTCTGAGAATGATTCTGTCTGGTTGTTATACGAAGATATTTCCTTTTCTGTAATTGTCCTCAAATCGCTTGAAATCTCCACCTGAAAATGCCACAGCAAGAGTGTTTCAAATCTGCTCTCTCTAAAGCAAGGTTCAACTCTGTGAGTTGAATACACACAACACAAAAAAGTTACTGAGAACTCTTCTTAGTCTAGCATGAAAGGAAGAAACCCCGTTTGCAACGAAGGCCTCAAAGAGGTCCAAATATCCACTTGCAGACATAACAAGCAGAGTGTTTCTAAACTGCTCTAAGAAAAGAAAGGTTAAACTCTGTGAGTTGAAGGCACACATCACAAAGTAGTTTCTGAGAATGATTCTGTCTAGTTTTTATTTGAAGATATTTCCTTTTCTACTGTTGGCATCAAATCGCTTGAAATCTCCACTTGCAAATTGCACAAAAAGAGTGTTTCAAATCTGCTCTGTGCAAAGGGACGTTCCACTCTGTGAGTTGAATACACACAGCACAAAGAAGTTACTGAGAATTCTTCTGTCTAGCATGAAATGAAGAAATCCCGTTTCCAACGAAGGCCTCAATGCGGTCCATATATCCACTTGCAGACTTTACAAACAGAGTGTTTCCAAACTGCTCTATGAAAAGAAAGGTTAAATTATGTGAGTTGAACGCACACATCACAAAGAATTTTCTGAGAATGATTCTGTCTGGTTTTTATTTGAAGATATTTCCCTTTCTACTGTTGGCATCAAATGGCTAGAAATCTCCACTTGCAAATTCCGCAAAAAGAGTGTTTCAAATCTGCTCTGTCTAAAGGGACGTTCCACTCTGTGAGTTGAATGCACACAACACGAAAGAATTTACTGAGAATTCTTCCGTCTAGCATTCAATGAAGAAATCCCGTTTCCAACGAAGGCCTCAAACAGGTCCATATATCCACTTGCAGACTTTACAAACAGTGTGTTTCCAAACTCCTCTATGAAAAGAAAGGTTAAACTCTGTGAGTGGAACGCACACATCACAAAGCACTTTCTGAGAATGATTCTGTCTGGTTATTATACGAAGATATTTCCTTTTCTGCAATTGTCCTCAAATCGCTTGAAATCTCCACCTGAAAATGCCACAGCAAGAGTGTTTCAAATCTGCTCTCTCTAAAGCAAGGTTCAACTCTGTGAGTTGAATACACACAACACAAAAAAGTTACTGAGAACTCTTCTTAGTCTAGCATGAAAGGAAGAAACCCCGTTTGCAACGAAGGCCTCAAAGAGGTCCAAATATCCACTTGCAGACATAACAAGCAGAGTGTTTCTAAACTGCTCTATGAAAAGAAAGGTTAAACTCTGTGAGTTGAAGGCACACATCACAAAGTAGTTTCTGAGAATGATTCTGTCTAGTTTTTATTTGAAGATATTTCCTTTTCTACTGTTGGCATCAAATCGCTTGAAATCTCCACTTGCAAACTCCACAAAAAGAGTGTTTCAAATCTGCTCTGTGTAAAGGGACGTTCCACTCTGTGAGTTGAATACACACAGCACAAAGAAGTTACTGAGAATTCTTCTGTCTAGCATGAAATGAAGAAATCCCGTTTCCAACGAAGGCCTCAATGCGGTCCATATATCCACTTGCAGACTTTACAAACAGAGTGTTTCCAAACTGCTCTATGAAAAGAAAGGTTAAACTATGTGAGTTGAATGCACACATCACAAAGAATTTTCTGAGAATGATTCTGTCTGGTTTTTATTTGAAGATATTTCCCTTTCTACTGTTGGCATCAAATGGCTAGAAATCTCCACTTGCAAATTCCGCAAAAAGAGTGTTTCAAATCTGCTCTGTCTAAAGGGACGTTCCACTCTGTGAGTTGAATGCACACAACACAAAGAATTTACTGAGAATTCTTCCGTCTAGCATTCAATGAAGAAATCCCGTTTCCAACGAAGGCCTCAAAGAGGTCCATATATCCACTTGCAGACTTTACAAACAGAGTGTTTCCAAACTGCTCTATGAAAAGAAAGGTTAAACTATGTGAGTTGAACGCACACATCACAAAGAATTTTCTGAGAATGATTCTGTCTGGTTTTTATTTGAAGATATTTCCCTTTCTACTGTTGGCATCAAATGGCTAGAAATCTCCACTTGCAAATTCCGCAAAAAGAGTGTTTCAAATCTGCTCTGTCTAAAGGGACGTTCCACTCTGTCAGTTGAATGCGCACAACACAAACTATTTACTGAGAATTCTTCCGTCTAGCATGCAATGAAGAAATCCCGTTTCCAACGAAGGCCTCAAACAGGTCCATATATCCAATTGCAGACTTTACAAACAGTGTGTTTCCAAACTCCTCTATGAAAAGAAAGGTTAAACTCTGTGAGTTGAACGCACACATCACAAAGCACTTTCTGAGAATGATTCTGTCTGGTTGTTATACGAAGATATTTCCTTTTCTGCAATTGTCCTCAAATCACTTGAAATCTCCACCTGAAAATGCCACAGCAAGAGTGTTTCAAATCTGCTCTCTCTAAAGCAAGGTTCAGCTCTGTGAGTTGAATGCACACAACACAAAAAAGTTACTGAGAACTCTTCTTAGTCTAGCATGAAAGGAAGAAACCCCGTTTGCAACGAAGGCCTCAAAGAGGTCCAAATATCCACTTGCAGACATAACAAGCAGAGTGTTTCTAAACTGCTCTAAGAAAAGAAAGGTTAAACTCTGTGAGTTGAAGGCACACATCACAAAGTAGTTTCTGAGAATGATTCTGTCTAGTTTTTATTTGAAGATATTTCCTTTTCTACTGTTGGCATCAAATCGCTTGAAATCTCCACTTGCAAACTCCACAAAAAGAGTGTTTCAAATCTGCTCTGTGCAAAGGGACGTTCCACTCTGTGAGTTGAATACACACAGCACAAAGAAGTTACTGAGAATTCTTCTGTCTAGCATGAAATGAAGAAATCCCGTTTCCAACGAAGGCCTCAATGCGGTCCATATATCCACTTGCAGACTTTACAAACAGAGTGTTTCCAAACTGCTCTATGAAAAGAAAGGTTAAACTATGTGAGTTGAACGCACACATCACAAAGAATTTTCTGAGAATGATTCTGTCTGGTTTTTATTTGAAGATATTTCCCTTTCTACTGTTGGCATCAAATGGCTAGAAATCTCCACTTGCAAATTCCGCAAAAAGAGTGTTTCAAATCTGCTCTGTCTAAAGGGACGTTCCACTCTGTGAGTTGAATGCACACAACACAAAGAATTTACTGAGAATTCTTCCGTCTAGCATTCAATGAAGAAATCCCGTTTCCAACGAAGGCCTCAAAGAGGTCCATATATCCACTTGCAGACTTTACAAACAGTGTGTTTCCAAACTCCTCTATGAAAAGAAAGGTTAAACTCTGTGAGTTGAACGCACACATCACAAAGCACTTTCTGAGAATGATTCTGTCTGGTTATTATACGAAGATATTTCCTTTTCTGCAATTGTCCTCAAATCGCTTGAAATCTCCACCTGAAAATGCCACAGCAAGAGTGTTTCAAATCTGCTCTCTCTAAAGCAAGGTTCAACTCTGTGAGTTGAATACACACAACACAAAAAAGTTACTGAGAACTCTTCTTAGTCTAGCATGAAAGGAAGAAACCCCGTTTGCAACGAAGGCCTCAAAGAGGTCCAAATATCCACTTGCAGACATAACAAGCAGAGTGTTTCTAAACTGCTCTAAGAAAAGAAAGGTTAAACTCTGTGAGTTGAAGGCACACATCACAAAGTAGTTTCTGAGAATGATTCTGTCTAGTTTTTATTTGAAGATATTTCCTTTTCTACTGTTGGCATCAAATCGCTTGAAATCTCCACTTGCAAACTCCACAAAAAGAGTGTTTCAAATCTGCTCTATGTAAAGGGACGTTCCACTCTGTGAGTTGAATACACACAGCACAAAGAAGGTACTGAGAATTCTTCTGTCTAGCATGAAATGAAGAAATCCCGTTTCCAACGAAGGCCTCAATGCGGTCCATATATCCACTTGCAGACTTTACAAACAGAGTGTTTCCAAACTGCTCTATGAAAAGAAAGGTTAAACTATGTGAGTTGAACGCACACATCACAAAGAATTTTCTGAGAATGATTCTGTCTGGTTTTTATTTGAAGATATTTCCCTTTCTACTGTTGGCATCAAATGGCTAGAAATCTCCACTTGCAAATTCCGCAAAAAGAGTGTTTCAAATCTGCTCTGTCTAAAGGGACGTTCCACTCTGTCAGTTGAATGCACACAACACAAAGAATTTACTGAGAATTCTTCCGTCTAGCATTCAATGAAGAAATCCCGTTTCCAACGAAGGCCTCAAACAGGTCCATATATCCACTTGCAGACTTTACAAACAGTGTGTTTCCAAACTCCTCTATGGAAAGAAAGGTTAAACTCTGTGAGTTGAACGCACACATCACAAAGCACTTTCTGAGAATGATTCTGTCTGGTTATTATACGAAGATATTTCCTTTTCTGCAATTGTCCTCAAATCGCTTGAAATCTCCACCTGAAAATGCCACAGCAAGAGTGTTTCAAATCTCCTCTCTCTAAAGCAAGGTTCAACTCTGTGAGTTGAATACACACAACACAAAAAAGTTACTGAGAACTCTTCTTAGTCTAGCATGAAAGGAAGAAACCCCGTTTGCAACGAAGGCCTCAAAGAGGTCCAAATATCCACTTGCAGACATAACAAGCAGAGTGTTTCTAAACTGCTCTAAGAAAAGAAAGGTTAAACTCTGTGAGTTGAAGACACACATCACAAAGTAGTTTCTGAGAATGATTCTGTCTAGTTTTTATTTGAAGATATTTCCTTTTCTACTGTTGGCATCAAATCGCTTGAAATCTCCACTTGCAAACTCCAGAAAAAGAGTGTTTCAAATCTGCTCTGTGCAAAGGGATGTTCCACTCTGTGAGTTGAATACACACAGCACAAAGAAGTTACTGAGAATTCTTCTGTCTAGCATGAAATGAAGAAATCCCGCTTCCAACGAAGGCCTCAATGCGGTCCATATATCCACTTGCAGACTTTACAAACAGAGTGTTTCCAAACTGCTCTATGAAAAGTAAGGTTAAACTATGTGAGTTGAATGCACACATCACAAAGAATTTTCTGAGAATGATTCTGTCTGGTTTTTATTTGAAGATATTTCCCTTTCTACTGTTGGCATCAAATGGCTAGAAATCTCCACTTGCAAATTCCGCAAAAAGAGTGTTTCAAATCTGCTCTGTCTAAAGGGACGTTCCACTCTGTGAGTTGAATGCACACAACACAAAGAATTTACTGAGAATTCTTCCGTCTAGCATTCAATGAAGAAATCCCGTTTCCAACGAAGGCCTCAAACAGGTCCATATATCCACTTGCAGACTTTACAAACAGTGTGTTTCCAAACTCCTCTATGAAAAGAAAGGTTAAACTCTGTGAGTTGAACGCACACATCACAAAGCACTTTCTGAGAATGATTCTTTCTGGTTATTATACGAAGATATTTCCTTTTCTGCAATTGTCCTCAAATCGCTTGAAATCTCCACCTGAAAATGTCACAGCAAGAGTGTTTCAAATCTGCTCTCTCTAAAGCAAGGTTCAACTCTGTGAGTTGAATACACACAACACAAAAAAGTTACTGAGAACTCTTCTTAGTCTAGCATGAATGGAAGAAACCCCGTTTGCAACGAAGGCCTCAAAGAGGTCCAAATATCCACTTGCAGACATAACAAGCAGAGTGTTTCTAAACTGCTCTAAGAAAAGAAAGGTTAAACTCTGTGAGTTGAAGGCACACATCTCAAAGTAGTTTCTGAGAATGATTCTGTCTAGTTTTTATTTGAAGATATTTCCTTTTCTACTGTTGGCATCAAATCGCTTGAAATCTCCACTTGCAAACTCCACAAAAAGAGTGTTTCAAATCTGCTCTGTGCAAAGGGACGTTCCACTCTGTGAGTTGAATACACACAGCACAAAGAAGTTACTGAGAATTCTTCTGTCTAGCATGAAATGAAGAAATCCCGTTTCCAACGAAGGCCTCAATGCGGTCCATATATCCACTTGCAGACTTTACAAACAGAGTGTTTCCAAACTGCTCTATGAAAAGAAAGGTTAAACTATGTGAGTTGAACGCACACATCACAAAGAATTTTCTGAGAATGATTCTGTCTGGTTTTTATTTGAAGATATTTCCCTTTCTACTGTTGGCATCAAATGGCTAGAAATCTCCACTTGCAAATTCCGCAAAAAGAGTGTTTCAAATCTGCTCTGTCTAAAGGGACGTTCCACTCTGTGAGTTGAATGCACACCACACAAAGAATTTACTGAGAATTCTTCCGTCTAGCATTCAATGAAGAAATCCCGTTTCCAATGAAGGCCTCAAACAGGTCCATATATCCAATTGCAGACTTTACAAACAGTGTGTTTCCAAACTCCTCTATGAAAAGAAAGGTTAAACTCTGTGAGTTGAACGCACACATCACAAAGCACTTTCTGAGAATGATTCTGTCTAGTTTTTATTTGAAGATATTTCCCTTTGTACTGTTGGCATCAAATGGCTAGAAATCTCCACTTGCAACTTCCGCAAAAAGAGTGTTTCAAATCTGCTCTGTCTAAAGGGACGTTCCACTCTGTGAGTTGAATGCACACAACACAAAAAAGTTACTGAGAACTCTTCTTAGTCTAGCATTAAAGGAAGAAACCCCGTTTGCAACGAAGGCCTCAAAGAGGTCCAAATATCCACTTGCAGACATAACAAGCAGAGTGTTTCTAAACTGCTCTAAGAAAAGAAAGGTTAAACTCTGTGAGTTGAAGGCACACATCACAAAGTAGTTTCTGAGAATGATTCTGTCTAGTTTTTATTTGAAGATATTTCCTTTTCTACTGTTGGCATCAAATCGCTTGAAATCTCCACTTGCAAACTCCACAAAAAGAGTGTTTCAAATCTGCTCTGTGTAAAGGGACGTTCCACTCTGTGAGTTGAATACACACAGCACAAAGAAGTTACTGAGTATTCTTCTGTCTAGCATGAAATGAAGAAATCCCGTTTCCAACGAAGGCCTCAATGCGGTCCATATATCCACTTGCAGACTTTACAAACAGAGTGTTTCCAAACTGCTCTATGAAAAGAAAGGTTAAACTATGTGAGTTGAACGCACACATCACAAAGAATTTTCTGAGAATGATTCTGTCTGGTTTTTATTTGAAGATATTTCCCTTTCTACTGTTGGCATCAAATGGCTAGAAATCTCCACTTGCAAATTCCGCAAAAAGAGTGTTTCAAATCTGCTCTGTCTAAAGGGACGTTCCACTCTGTGAGTTGAATGCACACAACACAAAGAATTTACTGAGAATTCTTCCGTCTAGCATTCAATGAAGAAATCCCGTTTCCAACGAAGGCCTCAAACAGGTCCATATATCCACTTGCAGAGTTTACAAACAGTGTGTTTCCAAACTCCTCTATGAAAAGAAAGGTTAAACTCTGTGAGTGGAACGCACACATCACAAAGCACTTTCTGAGAATGATTCTGTCTGGTTATTATACGAAGATATTTCCTTTTCTGCAATTGTCCTCAAATCGCTTGAAATCTCCACCTGAAAATGCCACAGCAAGAGTGTTTCAAATCTGCTCTCTCTAAAGCAAGGTTCAACTCTGTGAGTTGAATACACACAACACAAAAAAGTTACTGAGAACTCTTCTTAGTCTAGCATGAAAGGAAGAAACCCCGTTTGCAACGAAGGCCTCAAAGAGGTCCAAATATCCACTTGCAGACATAACAAGCAGAGTGTTTCTAACCTGCTCTAAGAAAAGAAAGGTTAAACTCTGTGAGTTGAAGGCACACATCACAAAGTAGTTTCTGAGAATGATTCTGTCTAGTTTTTATTTGAAGATATTTCCTTTTCTACTGTTGGCATCAAATCGCTTGAAATCTCCACTTGCAAACTCCACAAAAAGAGTGTTTCAAATCTGCTCTGTGCAAAGGGACGTTCCACTCTGTGAGTTGAATACACACAGCACAAAGAAGTTACTGAGAATTCTTCTGTCTAGCATGAAATGAAGAATCCCGTTTCCAACGAAGGCCTCAATGCGGTCCATATATCCACTTGCAGACTTTACAAACAGAGTGTTTCCAAACTGCTCTATGAAAAGAAAGGTTAAACTATGTGAGTTGAACGCACACATCACAAAGAATTTTCTGAGAATGATTCTGTCTGGTTTTTATTTGAAGATATTTCCCTTTCTACTGTTGGCATCAAATGGCTAGAAATCTCCACTTGCAAATTCCGCAAAAAGAGTGTTTCAAATCTGCTCTGTCTAAAGGGACGTTCCACTCTGTGAGTTGAATGCACACCACACAAAGAATTTACTGAGAATTCTTCCGTCTAGCATTCAATGAAGAAATCCCGTTTCCAACGAAGGCCTCAAACAGGTCCATATATCCAATTGCAGACTTTACAAACAGTGTGTTTCCAAACTCCTCTATGAAAAGAAAGGTTAAACTCTGTGAGTTGAACGCACACATCACAAAGCACTTTCTGAGAATGATTCTGTCTGGTTGTTATACGAAGATATTTCCTTTTCTGCAATTGTCCTCAAATCGCTTGAAATCTCCACCTGAAAATGCCACAGCAAGAGTGTTTCAAATCTGCTCTCTCTAAAGCAAGGTTCAGCTCTGTGAGTTGAATACACACAACACAAAAAAGTTACTGAGAACTCTTCTTAGTCTAGCATGAAAGGAAGAAACCCCGTTTGCAACGAAGGCCTCAAAGAGGTCCAAATATCCACTTGCAGACATAACAAGCAGAGTGTTTCTAAACTGCTCTAAGAAAAGAAAGGTTAAACTCTGTGAGTTGAAGGCACACATCACAAAGTAGTTTCTGAGAATGATTCTGTCTAGTTTTTATTTGAAGATATTTCCTTTTCTACTGTTGGCATCAAATCGCTTGAAATCTCCACTTGCAAATTCCACAAAAAGAGTGTTTCAAATCTGCTCTGTGCAAAGGGACGTTCCACTCTGTGAGTTGAATACACACAGCACAAAGAAGTTACTGAGAATTCTTCTGTCTAGCATGAAATGAAGAAATCCCGTTTCCAACGAAGGCCTCAATGCGGTCCATATATGCACTTGCAGACTTTACAAACAGAGTGTTTCCAAACTGCTCTATGAAAAGAAAGGTTAAACTATGTGAGTTGAACGCACACATCACAAAGAATTTTCTGAGAATGATTCTGTCTGGTTTTTATTTGAAGATATTTCCCTTTCTACTGTTGGCATCAAATGGCTAGAAATCTCCACTTGCAAATTCCGCAAAAAGAGTGTTTCAAATCTGCTCTGTCTTAAGGGACGTTCCACTCTGTCAGTTGAATGCACACAACACAAAGAATTTACTGAGAATTCTTCCGTCTAGCATTCAATGAAGAAATCCCGTTTCCAACGAAGGCCTCAAACAGGTCCATATATCCAATTGCAGACTTTACAAACAGTGTGTTTCCAAACTCCTCAATGAAAAGAAAGGTTAAACTCTGTGAGTTGAACGCACACATCACAAAGCACTTTCTGAGAATGATTCTGTCTGGTTGTTATACGAAGATATTTCCTTTTCTGCAATTGTCCTCAAATCGCTTGAAATCTCCACCTGAAAATGCCACAGCAAGAGTGTTTCAAATCTGCTCTCTCTAAAGCAAGGTTCAACTCTGTGAGTTGAATACACACAACACAAAAAAGTTACTGAGAACTCTTCTTAGTCTAGCATTAAAGGAAGAAACCCCGTTTGCAACGAAGGCCTCAAAGAGGTCCAAATATCCACTTGCAGACATAACAAGCAGAGTGTTTCTAAACTGCTCTAAGAAAAGAAAGGTTAAACTCTGTGAGTTGAAGGCACACATCACAAAGTAGTTTCTGAGAATGATTCTGTCTAGTTTTTATTTGAAGATATTTCCTTTTCTACTGTTGGCATCAAATCGCTTGAAATCTCCACTTGCAAATTCCACAAAAAGAGTGTTTCAAATCTGCTCTGTGCAAAGGGACGTTCCACTCTGTGAGTTGAATACACACAGCACAAAGAAGTTACTGAGAATTCTTCTGTCTAGCATGAAATGAAGAAATCCCGTTTCCAACGAAGGCCTCAATGCGGTCCATATATCCACTTGCAGACTTTACAAACAGAGTGTTTCCAAACTGCTCTATGAAAAGAAAGGTTAAACTATGTGAGTTGAACGCACACATCACAAAGAATTTTCTGAGAATGATTCTGTCTGGTTTTTATTTGAAGATGTTTCCCTTTCTACTGTTGGCATCAAATGGCTAGAAATCTCCACTTGCAGATTCCGCAAAAAGAGTGTTTCAAATCTGCTCTGTCTAAAGGGACGTTCCACTCTGTGAGTTGAATGCACACAATACAAAGAATTTACTGAGAATTCTTCCGTCTAGCATTCAATGAAGAAATCCCGTTTCCAACGAAGGCCTCAAACAGGTCCATATATCCAATTGCAGACTTTACAAACAGTGTGTTTCCAAACTCCTCTATGGAAAGAAAGGTTAAACTCTGTGAGTTGAACGCACACATCACAAAGCACTTTCTGAGAATGATTCTGTCTGGTTATTATACGAAGATATTTCCTTTTCTGCAATTGTCCTCAAATCGCTTGAAATCTCCACCTGAAAATGCCACAGCAAGAGTGTTTCAAATCTGCTCTCTCTAAAGCAAGGTTCAACTCTGTGAGTTGAATACACACAACACAAAAAAGTTACTGAGAACTCTTCTTAGTCTAGCATGAAAGGAAGAAACCCCGTTTGCAACGAAGGCCTCAAAGAGGTCCAAATATCCACTTGCAGACATAACAAGCAGAGTGTTTCTAAACTGCTCTAAGAAAAGAAAGGTTAAACTCTGTGAGTTGAAGGCACACATCACAAAGTAGTTTCTGAGAATGATTCTGTCTAGTTTTTATTTGAAGATATTTCCTTTTCTACTGTTGGCATCAAATCGCTTGAAATCTCCACTTGCAAACTCCACAAAAAGAGTGTTTCAAATCTGCTCTGTGTAAAGGGACGTTCCACTCTGTGAGTTGAATACACACAGCACAAAGAAGTTACTGAGAATTCTTCTGTCTAGCATGAAATGAAGAAATCCCGTTTCCAACGAAGGCCTCAATGCGGTCCATATATCCACTTGCAGACTTTACAAACAGAGTGTTTCCAAACTGCTCTATGAAAAGAAAGGTTAAACTATGTGAGTTGAACGCACACATCACAAAGAATTTTCTGAGAATGATTCTGTCTGGTTTTTATTTGAAGATATTTCCCTTTCTACTGTTGGCATCAAATGGCTAGAAATCTCCACTTGCAAATTCCGCAAAAAGAGTGTTTCAAATCTGCTCTGTCTAAAGGGACGTTCCACTCTGTGAGTTGAATGCACACAACACAAAGAATTTACTGAGAATTCTTCCGTCTAGCATTCAATGAAGAAATCCCTTTTCCAAAGAAGGCCTCAAACAGGTCCATATATCCAATTGCAGACTTTACAAACAGTGTGTTTCCAAACTCCTCTATGAAAAGAAAGGTTAAACTCTGTGAGTTGAACGCACACATCACAAAGCACTTTCTGAGAATGATTCTGTCTGGTTATTATACGAAGATATTTCCTTTTCTGCAATTGTCCTCAAATCGCTTGAAATCTCCACCTGAAAATGCCACAGCAAGAGTGTTTCAAATCTGCTCTCTCTAAAGCAAGGTTCAACTCTGTGAGTTGAATACACACAACACAAAAAAGTTACTGAGAACTCTTCTTAGTCTAGCATGAAAGGAAGAAACCCCGTTTGCAACGAAGGCCTCAAAGAGGTCCAAATATCCACTTGCAGACATAACAAGCAGAGTGTTTCTAAACTGCTCTAAGAAAAGAAAGGTTAAACTCTGTGAGTTGAAGGCACACATCATAAAGTAGTTTCTGAGAATGATTCTGTCTAGTTTTTATTTGAAGATATTTCCTTTTCTACTGTTGGCATCAAATCGCTTGAAATCTCCACTTGCAAACTCCACAAAAAGAGTGTTTCAAATCTGCTCTGTGTAAAGGGACGTTCCACTCTGTGAGTTGAATACACACAGCACAAAGAAGTTACTGAGAATTCTTCTGTCTAGCATGAAATGAAGAAATCCCGTTTCCAACGAAGGCCTCAATGCGGTCCATATATCCACTTGCAGACTTTACAAACAGAGTGTTTCCAAACTGCTCTATGAAAAGAAAGGTTAAACTATGTGAGTTGAACGCACACATCACAAAGAATTTTCTGAGAATGATTCTGTCTGGTTTTTATTTGAAGATATTTCCCTTTCTACTGTTGGCATCAAATGGCTAGAAATCTCCACTTGCAAATTCCGCAAAAAGAGTGTTTCAAATCTGCTCTGTCTAAAGGGACGTTCCACTCTGTGAGTTGAATGCACACAACACAAAGAATTTACTGAGAATTCTTCCGTCTAGCATGCAATGAAGAAATCCCGTTTCCAACGAAGGCCTCAAACAGGTCCATATATCCAATTGCAGACTTTACAAACAGTGTGTTTCCAAACTCCTCTATGAAAAGAAAGGTTAAACTCTGTGAGTTGAACGCACACATCACAAAGCACTTTCTGAGAATGATTCTGTCTGGTTATTATACGAAGATATTTCCTTTTCTGCAATTGTCCTCAAATCGCTTGAAATCTCCACCTGAAAATGCCACAGCAAGAGTGTTTCAAATCTGCTCTCTCTAAAGCAAGGTTCAACTCTGTGAGTTGAATACACACAACACAAAAAAGTTACTGAGAACTCTTCTTAGTCTAGCATGAAAGGAAGAAACCCCGTTTGCAACGAAGGCCTCAAAGAGGTCCAAATATCCACTTGCAGACATAACAAGCAGAGTGTTTCTAAACTGCTCTAAGAAAAGAAAGGTTAAACTCTGTGAGTTAAAGGCACACATCACAAAGTAGTTTCTGAGAATGATTCTGTCTAGTTTTTATTTGAAGATATTTCCTTTTCTACTGTTGGCATCAAATCGCTTGAAATCTCCACTAGCAAACTCCACAAAAAGAGTGTTCCAAATCTGCTCTGTGCAAAGGGACGTTCCACTCTGTGAGTTGAATACACACAGCACAAAGAAGTTACTGAGAATTCTTCTGTCTAGCATGAAATGAAGAAATCCCGTTTCCAACGAAGGCCTCAATGCGGTCCATATATCCACTTGCAGACTTTACAAACAGAGTGTTTCCAAACTGCTCTATGAAAAGAAAGGTTAAACTATGTGAGTTGAACGCACACATCACAAAGAATTTTCTGAGAATGATTCTGTCTGGTTTTTATTTGAAGATATTTCCCTTTCTACTGTTGGCATCAAATGGCTAGAAATCTCCACTTGCAAATTCCGCAAAAAGAGTGTTTCAAATCTGCTCTGTCTAAAGGGACGTTCCACTCTGTGAGTTGAATGCACACAACACAAAGAATTTACTGAGAATTCTTCCGTCTAGCATTCAATGAAGAAATCCCGTTTCCAACGAAGGCCTCAAACAGGTCCATATATCCACTTGCAGAGTTTACAAACAGTGTGTTTCCAAACTCCTCTATGAAAAGAAAGGTTAAACTCTGTGAGTGGAACGCACACATCACAAAGCACTTTCTGAGAATGATTCTGTCTGGTTATTATACGAAGATATTTCCTTTTCTGCAATTGTCCTCAAAACGCTTGAAATCTCCACCTGAAAATGCCACAGCAAGAGTGTTTCAAATCTGCTCTCTCTAAAGCAAGGTTCAACTCTGTGAGTTGAATACACACAACACAAAAAAGTTACTGAGAACTCTTCTTAGTCTAGCATTAAAGGAAGAAACGCCGTTTGCAATGAAGGCCTCAAAGAGGTCCAAATATCCACTTGCAGACATAACAAGCAGAGGTGTTTCTAAACTGCTCTAAGAAAGAGAAAGGTTAAACTCTGTGAGTTGAAGGCACACATCACAAAGTAGTTTCTGAGAATGATTCTGTCTAGTTTTTATTTGAAGATATTTCCTTTTCTACTGTTGGCATCAAATCGCTTGAAATCTCCACTTGCAAACTCCACAAAAAGAGTGTTTCAAATCTGCTCTGTGTAAAGGGACGTTCCACTCTGTGAGTTGAATACACACAGCACAAAGAAGTTACTGAGAATTCTTCTGTCTAGCATGAAATGAAGAAATCCCGTTTCCAACGAAGGCCTCAATGCGGTCCATATATCCACTTGCAGACTTTACAAACAGAGTGTTTCCAAACTGCTCTATGAAAAGAAAGGTTAAACTATGTGAGTTGAACGCACACATCACAAAGAATTTTCTGAGAATGATTCTGTCTGGTTTTTATTTGAAGATATTTCCCTTTCTACTGTTGGCATCAAATGGCTAGAAATCTCCACTTGCAAATTCCGCAAAAAGAGTGTTTCAAATCTGCTCTGTCTAAAGGGACGTTCCACTCTGTGAGTTGAATGCACACCACACAAAGAATTTACTGAGAATTCTTCCGTCTAGCATTCAATGAAGAAATCCCGTTTCCAACGAAGGCCTCAAACAGGTCCATATATCCAATTGCAGACTTTACAAACAGTGTGTTTCCAAACTCCTCTATGAAAAGAAAGGTTAAACTCTGTAAGTTGAACGCACACATCACAAAGCACTTTCTGAGAATGATTCTATCTGGTTGTTATACGAAGATATTTCCTTTTCTGCAATTGTCCTCAAATCGCTTGAAATCTCCACCTGAAAATGCCACAGCAAGAGTGTTTCAAATCTGCTCTCTCTAAAGCAAGGTTCAACTCTGTGAGTTGAATACACACAACACAAAAAAGTTACTGAGAACTCTTCTTAGTCTAGCATGAAAGGAAGAAACCCCGTTTGCAACGAAGGCCTCAAAGAGGTCCAAATATCCACTTGCAGACATAACAAGCAGAGTGTTTCTAAACTGCTCTAAGAAAAGAAAGGTTAAACTCTGTGAGTTGAAGGCACACATCACAAAGTAGTTTCTGAGAATGATTCTGTCTAGTTTTTATTTGAAGATATTTCCTTTTCTACTGTTGGCATCAAATCGCTTGAAATCTCCAATTGCAAACTCCACAAAAAGAGTGTTTCAAATCTGCTCTGTGTAAAGGGACGTTCCACTCTGTGAGTTGAATACACACAGCACAAAGAAGTTACTGAGAATTCTTCTGTCTAGCATGAAATGAAGAAATCCCGTTTCCAACGAAGGCCTCAATGCGGTCCATATATCCACTTGCAGACTTTACAAACAGAGTGTTTCCAAACTGCTCTATGAAAAGAAAGGTTAAACTATGTGAGTTGAACGCACACATCACAAAGAATTTTCTGAGAATGATTCTGTCTGGTTTTTATTTGAAGATATTTCCCTTTCTACTGTTGGCATCAAATGGCTAGAAATCTCCACTTGCAAATTCCGCAAAAAGAGTGTTTCAAATCTGCTCTGTCTAAAGGGACGTTCCACTCTGTGAGTTGAATGCACACCACACAAAGAATTTACTGAGAATTCTTCCGTCTAGCATGCAATGAAGAAATCCCGTTTCCAACGAAGGCCTCAAACAGGTCCATATATCCAATTGCAGACTTTACAAACAGTGTGTTTCCAAACTCCTCTATGAAAAGAAAGGTTAAACTCTGTGAGTTGAACGCACACATCACAAAGCACTTTCTGAGAATGATTCTGTCTAGTTTTTATTTGAAGATATTTCCCTTTCTACTGTTGGCATCAAATGGCTAGAAATCTCCACTTGCAACTTCCGCAAAAAGAGTGTTTCAAATCTGCTCTGTCTAAAGGGACGTTCCACTGTGTGAGTTGAATGCACACAACACAAAGAATTTACTGAGAATTCTTCCGTCTAGCATTCAATGAAGAAATCTCGTTTCCAACGAAGGCCTCAAACAGGTCCATATATCCACTTGCAGACTTTACAAACAGTGTGTTTCCAAACTCCTCTATGAAAAGAAAGGTTAAACTCTGTGAGTTGAACGCACACATCACAAAGCACTTTCTGAGAATGATTCTGTCTGGTTATTATACGAAGATATTTCCTTTTCTGAAATTGTCCTCAAATCGCTTGAAATCTCCACCTGAAAATGCCACAGCAAGAGTGTTTCAAATCTGCTCTCTCTAAAGCAAGGTTCAACTCTGTGAGTTGAATACACGCAACACAAAAAAGTTACTGAGAACTCTTCTTAGTCTAGCATGAAAGGAAGAAACCCCGTTTGCAACGAAGGCCTCAAAGAGGTCCAAATATCCACTTGCAGACATAACAAGCAGAGTGTTTCTAAACTGCTCTAAGAAAAGAAAGGTTAAACTCTGTGAGTTGAGGGCACACATCACAAAGAAGTTTCTGAGAATGATTCTGTCTAGTTTTTATTTGAAGATATTTCCTTTTCTACTGTTGGCATCAAATCGCTTGAAATCTCCACTTGCAATTTCCACAAAAAGAGTGTTTCAAATCTGCTCTGTGTAAAGGAACGTTCCACTCTGTGAGGTGAATACACACAGCACAAAGTAGTTACTGAGAATTCTTCTGTCTAGCATGAAATGAAGAAATCCCGTTTCCAACGAAGGCCTCAATGCGGTCCATATATCCACTTGCAGACTTTACCAACAGAGTGTTTCCAAACTGCTCTATGAAAAGAAAGGTTAAACTATGTGAGTTGAACGCACACATCACAAAGAATTTTCTGAGGATGATTCTGTCTAGTTCTTATTTGAAGATATTTCCCTTTCTACTGTTGGCATCAAATGGCTAGAAATCTCCACTTGCAAATTCCGCAAAAAGAGTGTTTCAAATCTGCTCTGTCTGAAGGGACGTTCCACTCTGTGAGTTGAATGCACACAACACAAAGAATTTACTGAGAATTCTTCCGTCTAGCATTCAATGAAGAAATCCCGTTTCCAACGAAGGATTCAAACAGGTCCATATATCCAATTGCAGACTTTAGAAACAGTGTGTTTCCAAACTCCTCTATGAAAAGAAAAGTTAAACTCTGTGAGTTGAACGCACACATCACAAAGCACTTTCTGAGAATGATTCTGTCTGGTTATTATACGAAGATATTTCCTTTTCTGCAATTGTCCTCAAATCGCTTGAAATCTCCACCTGAAAATGCCACAGCAAGAGTGTTTCAAATCTGCTCTCTCTAAAGCAAGGTTCAACTCTGTGAGTTGAATACACACAACACAAAAAAGTTACTGAGAACTCTTCTTAGTCTAGCATGAAAGGAAGAAACCCCGTTTGCAACGAAGGCCTCAAAGAGGTCCAAATATCCACTTGCAGACATAACAAGCAGAGTGTTTCTAAACTGCTCTAAGAAAAGAAAGGTTAAACTCTGTGAGTTGAAGGCACACATCACAAAGTAGTTTCTGAGAATGATTCTGTCTAGTTTTTATTTGAAGATATTTCCTTTTCTACTGTTGGCATCAAATCGCTTGAAATCTCCACTTGCAAATTCCACAAAAAGAGTGTTTCAAATCTGCTCTGTGCAAAGGGACGTTCCACTCTGTGAGTTGAATACACACAGCACAAAGAAGTTACTGAGAATTCTTCTGTCTAGCATGAAATGAAGAAATCCCGTTTCCAACGAAGGCCTCAATGCGGTCCATATATCCACTTGCAGACTTTACAAACAGAGTGTTTCCAAACTGCTCTATGAAAAGAAAGGTTAAACTATGTGAGTTGAACGCACACATCACAAAGAATTTTCTGAGAATGATTCTGTCTGGTTTTTATTTGAAGATATTTCCCTTTCTACTGTTGGCATCAAATGGCTAGAAATCTCCACTTGCAAATTCCGCAAAAAGAGTGTTTCAAATCTGCTCTGTCTAAAGGGACGTTCCACTCTGTGAGTTGAATGCACACAACACAAAGAATTTACTGAGAATTCTTCCGCCTAGCATTCAATGAAGAAATCCCGTTTCCAACGAAGGCCTCAAACAGGTCCATATATCCAATTGCAGACTTTACAAACAGTGTGTTTCCAAACTCCTCTATGAAAAGAAAGGTTAAACTCTGTGAGTTGAACGCACACATCACAAAGCACTTTCTGAGAATGATTCTGTCTGGTTGTTATACGAAGATATTTCCTTTTCTGCAATTGTCCTCAAATCGCTTGAAATCTCCACCTGAAAATGCCACAGCAAGAGTGTTTCAAATCTGCTCTCTCTAAAGCAAGGTTCAACTCTGTGAGTTGAATACACACAACACAAAAAAGTTACTGAGAACTCTTCTTACTCTAGCATGAACGGAAGAAACCCCGTTTGCAACGAAGGCCTCAAAGAGGTCCAAATATCCACTTGCAGACATAACAAGCAGAGTGTTTCTAAACTGCTCTAAGAAAAGAAAGGTTAAACTCTGTGAGTTGAAGGCACACATCACAAAGTAGTTTCTGAGAATGATTCTGTCTAGTTTTTATTTGAAGATATTTCCTTTTCTACTGTTGGCATCAAATCGCTTGAAATCTCCACTTGCAAACTCCACAAAAAGAGTGTTTCAAATCTGCTCTGTGTAAAGGGACGTTCCACTCTGTGAGTTGAATACACACAGCACAAAGAAGTTACTGAGAATTCTTCTGTCTAGCATGAAATGAAGAAATCCCGTTTCCAACGAAGGCCTCAATGCGGTCCATATATCCACTTGCAGACTTTACAAACAGAGTGTTTCCAAACTGCTCTATGAAAAGAAAGGTTAAACTATGTGAGTTGAACGCACACATCACAAAGAATTTTCTGAGAATGATTCTGTCTGGTTTTTATTTGAAGATATTTCCCTTTCTACTGTTGGCATCAAATGGCTAGAAATCTCCACTTGCAAATTCCGCAAAAAGAGTGTTTCAAATCTGCTCTGTCTAAAGGGACGTTCCACTCTGTGAGTTGAATGCACACAACACAAAGAATTTACTGAGAATTCTTCCGTCTAGCATTCAATGAAGAAATCCCGTTTCCAACGAAGGCCTCAAACAGGTCCATATATCCACTTGCAGAGTTTACAAACAGTGTGTTTCCAAACTCCTCTATGAAAAGAAAGGTTAATCTCTGTGAGTGGAACGCACACATCACAAAGCACTTTCTGAGAATGATTCTGTCTGGTTGTTATACGAAGATATTTCCTTTTCTGTAATTGTCCTCAAATCGCTTGAAATCTCCACCTGAAAATGCCACAGCAAGAGTGTTTCAAATCTGCTCTCTCTAAAGCAAGGTTCAACTCTGTGAGTTGAATACACACAACACAAAAAAGTTACTGAGAACTCTTCTTAGTCTAGCATGAAAGGAAGAAACCCCGTTTGCAACGAAGGCCTCAAAGAGGTCCAAATATCCACTTGCAGACATAACAAGCAGAGTGTTTCTAAACTGCTCTAAGAAAAGAAAGGTTAAACTCTGTGAGTTGAAGGCACACATCACAAAGTAGTTTCTGAGAATGATTCTGTCTAGTTTTTATTTGAAGATATTTCCTTTTCTACTGTTGGCATCAAATCGCTTGAAATCTCCACTTGCAAACTCCACAAAAAGAGTGTTTCAAATCTGCTCTGTGCAAAGGGACGTTCCACTCTGTGAGTTGAATACACACAGCACAAAGAAGTTACTGAGAATTCTTCTGTCTAGCATGAAATGAAGAAATCCCGTTTCCAACGAAGGCCTCAATGCGGTCCATATATCCACTTGCAGACTTTACAAACAGAGTGTTTCCAAACTGCTCTATGAAAAGAAAGGTTAAACTATGTGAGTTGAACGCACACATCACAAAGAATTTTCTGAGAATGATTCTGTCTGGTTTTTATTTGAAGATATTTCCCTTTCTACTGTTGGCATCAAATGGCTAGAAATCTCCACTTGCAAATTCCGCAAAAAGAGTGTTTCAAATCTGCTCTGTCTAAAGGGACGTTCCACTCTGTGAGTTGAATGCACACAACACAAAGAATTTACTGAGAATTCTTCCGTCTAGCATTCAATGAAGAAATCCCGTTTCCAACGAAGGACTCAAACAGGTCCATATATCCACCTGCAGACTTTACAAACAGTGTGTTTCCAAACTCCTCTATGAAAAGAAAGGTTAAACTACTGTGAGTTGAACGCACACATCACAAAGCACTTTCTGAGAATGATTCTGTCTGGTTATTATACGAAGATATTTCCTTTTCTGCAATTGTCCTCAAATCGCTTGAAATCTCCACCTGAAAATTCCACAGCGAGAGTGTTTCAAATCTGCTCTCTCTAAAGTAAGGTTCAACTCTGTGAGTTGAATACACACAACACAAAAAAGTTACTGAGAACTCTTCTTAGTCTAGCATTAAAGGAAGAAACCCCGTTTGCAACGAAGGCCTCAAAGAGGTCCAAATATCCACTTGCAGACATAACAAGCAGAGTGATTCTAAACTGCTCTAAGAAAAGAAAGGTTAAACTCTGTGAGTTGAAGGCACACATCACAAAGTAGTTTCTGAGAATGATTCTGTCTAGTTTTTATTTGAAGATATTTCCTTTTCTACTGTTGGCATCAAATCGCTTGAAATCTCCACTTGCAAACTCCACAAAAAGAGTGTTTCAAATCTGCTCTGTGTAAAGGGACGTTCCACTCTGTGAGTTGAATACACACAGCACAAAGAAGTTACTGAGAATTCTTCTGTCTAGCATGAAATGAAGAAATCCCGTTTCCAACGAAGGCCTCAATGCGGTCCATATATCCACTTGCAGACTTTACAAACAGAGTGTTTCCAAACTGCTCTATGAAAAGAAAGGTTAAACTATGTGAGTTGAACGCACACATCACAAAGAATTTTCTGAGAATGATTCTGTCTGGTTTTTATTTGAAGATATTTCCCTTTCTACTGTTGGCATCAAATGGCTAGAAATCTCTACTTGCAAATTCCGCAAAAAGAGTGTTTCAAATCTGCTCTGTCTAAAGGGACGTTCCACTCTGTGAGTTGAATGCACACAACACAAAGAATTTACTGAGAATTCTTCCGTCTAGCATTCAATGAAGAAATCCCGTTTCCAACGAAGGCCTCAAACAGGTCCATATATCCACTTGCAGAGTTTACAAACAGTGTGTTTCCAAACTCCTCTATGAAAAGAAAGGTTAAACTCTGTGAGTGGAACGCACACATCACAAAGCACTTTCTGAGAATGATTCTGTCTGGTTGTTATACGAAGATATTTCCTTTTCTGTTATTGTTCTCAAATCGCTTGAAATCTCCACCTGAAAATGCCACAGCAAGAGTGTTTCAAATCTGCTCTCTCTAAAGCAAGGTTCAACTCTGTGAGTTGAATACACACAACACAAAAAAGTTACTGAGAACTCTTCTTAGTCTAGCATGAAAGGAAGAAACCCCGTTTGCAACGAAGGCCTCAAAGAGGTCCAAATATCCACTTGCAGACATAACAAGCAGAGTGTTTCTAAACTGCTCTAAGAAAAGAAAGGTTAAACTCTGTGAGTTGAAGGCACACATCACAAAGTAGTTTCTGAGAATGATTCTGTCTAGTTTTTATTTGAAGATATTTCCTTTTCTACTGTTGGCATCAAATCGCTTGAAATCTCCACTTGCAAATTCCACAAAAAGAGTGTTTCAAATCTGCTCTGTGCAAAGGGACGTTCCACTCTGTGAGTTGAATACACACAGCACAAAGAAGTTACTGAGAATTCTTCTGTCTAGCATGAAATGAAGAAATCCCGTTTCCAACGAAGGCCTCAATGCGGTCCATATATCCACTTGCAGACTTTACAAACAGAGTGTTTCCAAACTGCTCTATGAAAAGAAAGGTTAAACTATGTGAGTTGAACGCACACATCACAAAGAATTTTCTGAGAATGATTCTGTCTGGTTTTTATTTGAAGATGTTTCCCTTTCTACTGTTGGCATCAAATGGCTAGAAATCTCCACTTGCAAATTCCGCAAAAAGAGTGTTTCAAATCTGCTCTGTCTAAAGGGACGTTCCACTCTGTGAGTTGAATGCACACAACACAAAGAATTTACTGAGAATTCTTCCGTCTAGCATTCAATGAAGAAATCCCGTTTCCAACGAAGGCCTCAAACAGGTCCATATATCCAATTGCAGACTTTACAAACAGTGTGTTTCCAAACTCCTCTATGGAAAGAAAGGTTAAACTCTGTGAGTTGAACGCACACATCACAAAGCACTTTCTGAGAATGATTCTGTCTGGTTATTATACGAAGATATTTCCTTTTCTGCAATTATCCTCAAATCGCTTGAAATCTCCACCTGAAAATGCCACAGCAAGAGTGTTTCAAATCTGCTCTCTCTAAAGCAAGGTTCAACTCTGTGAGTTGAATACACACAACACAAAAAAGTTACTGAGAACTCTTCTTAGTCTAGCATGAAAGGAAGAATCCCCGTTTGCAACCGAAGGCCTCAAAGAGGTCCAAATATCCACTTGCAGACATAACAAGCAGAGTGTTTCTAAACTGCTCTAAGAAAAGAAAGGTTAAACTCTGTGAGTTGAAGGCACACATCACAAAGTAGTTTCTGAGAATGATTCTGTCTAGTTTTTATTTGAAGATATTTCCTTTTCTACTGTTGGCATCAAATCGCTTGAAATCTCCACTTGCAAACTCCACAAAAAGAGTGTTTCAAATCTGCTCTGTGCAAAGGGACGTTCCACTCTGTGAGTTGAATACACACAGCACAAAGAAGTTACTGAGAATTCTTCTGTCTAGCATGAAATGAAGAAATCCCGTTTCCAACGAAGGCCTCAATGCGGTCCATATATCCACTTGCAGACTTTACAAACAGAGTGTTTCCAAACTGCTCTATGAAAAGAAAGGTTAAACTATGTGAGTTGAACGCACACATCACAAAGAATTTTCTGAGAATGATTCTGTCTGGTTTTTATTTGAAGATATTTCCCTTTCTACTGTTGGCATCAAATGGCTAGAAATCTCCACTTGCAAATTCCGCAAAAAGAGTGTTTCAAATCTGCTCTGTCTAAAGGGACGTTCCACTCTGTGAGTTGAATGCACACAACACAAAGAATTTACTGAGAATTCTTCCGTCTAGCATTCAATGAAGAAATCCCGTTTCCAACGAAGGCCTCAAACAGGTCCATATATCCAATTGCAGACTTTACAAACAGTGTGTTTCCAAACTCCTCTATGAAAAGAAAGGTTAAACTCTGTGAGTTGAACGCACACATCACAAAGCACTTTCTGAGAATGATTCTGTCTGGTTATTATACGAAGATATTTCCTTTTCTGCAATTGTCCTCAAATCGCTTGAAATCTCCACCTGAAAATGCCACAGCAAGAGTGTTTCAAATCTGCTCTCTCTAAAGCAAGGTTCAACTCTGTGAGTTGAATACACACAACACAAAAAAGTTACTGAGAACTCTTCTTAGTCTAGCATGAAAGGAAGAAACCCCGTTTGCAACGAAGGCCTCAAAGAGGTCCAAATATCCACTTGCAGACATAACAAGCAGAGTGTTTCTAAACTGCTCTAAGAAAAGAAAGGTTAAACTCTGTGAGTTGAAGGCACACATCACAAAGTAGTTTCTGAGAATGATTCTGTCTAGTTTTTATTTGAAGATATTTCCTTTTCTACTGTTGGCATCAAATCGCTTGAAATCTCCAATTGCAAACTCCACAAAAAGAGTGTTTCAAATCTGCTCTGTGCAAAGGGACGTTCCACTCTGTGAGTTGAATACACACAGCACAAAGAAGTTACTGAGAATTGCTTCTGTCTAGCATGAAATGAAGAAATCCCGTTTCCAACGAAGGCCTCAATGCCGTCCATATATCCACTTGCAGACATTACAAACAGAGTGTTTCCAAACTGCTCTATGAAAAGAAAGGTTAAACTATGTGAGTTGAACGCACACATCACAAAGAATTTTCTGAGAATGATTCTGTCTGGTTTTTATTTGAAGATATTTCCCTTTCTACTGTTGGCATCAAATGGCTAGAAATCTCCACTTGCAAATTCCGCAAAAAGAGTGTTTCAAATCTGCTCTGTCTAAAGGGACGTTCCACTCTGTGAGTTGAATGCACACAACACAAAGAATTTACTGAGATTTCTCCGTCTAGCATTCAATGAAGAAATCCCGTTTCCAAAGAAGGCCTCAAACAGGTCCATATATCCAATTGCAGACTTTACAAACAGTGTGTTTCCAAACTCCTCTATGAAAAGAAAGGTTAAACTCTGTGAGTTGAACGCACACATCACAAAGCACTTTCTGAGAATGATTCTGTCTGGTTATTATACGAAGATATTTCCTTTTCTGCAATTGTCCTCAAATCGCTTGAAATCTCCACCTGAAAATGCCACAGCAAGAGTGTTTCAAATCTGCTCTCTCTAAAGCAAGGTTCAACTCTGTGAGTTGAATACACACAACACAAAAAAGTTACTGAGAACTCTTCTTAGTCTAGCATGAAAGGAAGAAACCCCGTTTGCAACGAAGGCCTCAAAGAGGTCCAAATATCCACTTGCAGACATAACAAGCAGAGTGTTTCTAAACTGCTCTAAGAAAAGAAAGGTTAAACTCTGTGAGTTGAAGGCACACATCACAAAGTAGTTTTTGAGAATGATTCTGTCTAGTTTTTATTTGAAGATATTTCCTTTTCTACTGTTGGCATCAAATCGCTTGAAATCTCCACTTGCAAACTCCACAAAAAGAGTGTTTCAAATCTGCTCTGTGCAAAGGGACGTTCCACTCTGTGAGTTGAATACACACAGCACAAAGAAGTTACTGAGAATTCTTCTGTCTAGCATGAAATGAAGAAATCCCGTTTCCAACGAAGGCCTCAATGCGGTCCATAGATCCACTTGCAGACTTTACAAACAGAGTGTTTCCAAACTGCTCTATGAAAAGAAAGGTTAAACTATGTGAGTTGAACGCACACATCACAAAGAATTTTCTGAGAATGATTCTGTCTGGTTTTTATTTGAAGATATTTCCCTTTCTACTGTTGGCATCAAATGGCTAGAAATCTCCACTTGCAAATTCCGCAAAAAGAGTGTTTCAAATCTGCTCTGTCTAAAGGGACGTTCCACTCTGTGAGTTGAATACACACAGCACAAAGAAGTTACTGAGAATTCTTCTGTCTAGCATGAAATGAAGAAATCCCGTTTCCAACGAAGGCCTCAATGCGGTCCATATATCCACTTGCAGACTTTACAAACAGAGTGTTTCCAAACTGCTCTATGAAAAGAAAGGTTAAACTATGTGAGTTGAACGCACACATCACAAAGAATTTTCTGAGAATGATTCTGTCTGGTTTTTATTTGAAGATATTTCCCTTTCTACTGTTGGCATCAAATGGCTAGAAATCTCCACTTGCAAATTCCGCAAAAAGAGTGTTTCAAATCTGCTCTGTCTAAAGGGACGTTCCACTCTGTGAGTTGAATGCACACAACACAAAGAATTTACTGAGAATTCTTCCGTCTAGCATTCAATGAAGAAATCCCGTTTCCAACGAAGGCCTCAAACAGGTCCATATATCCAATTGCAGACTTTACAAACAGTGTGTTTCCAAACTCCTCTATGAAAAGAAAGGTTAAACTCTGTGAGTTGAACGCACACATCACAAAGCACTTTCTGAGAATGATTCTGTCTGGTTATTATACGAAGATATTTCCTTTTCTGCAATTGTCCTCAAATCGCTTGAAATCTCCACCTGAAAATGCCACAGCAAGAGTGTTTCACATCTGCTCTCTCTAAAGCAAGGTTCAACTCTGTGAGTTGAATACACACAACACAAAAAAGTTACTGAGAACTCTTCTTAGTCTAGCATGAAAGGAAGAAACCCCGTTTGCAACGAAGGCCTCAAAGAGGTCCAAATATCCACTTGCAGACATAACAAGCAGAGTGTTTCTAAACTGCTCTAAGAAAAGAAAGGTTAAACTCTGTGAGTTGAAGGCACACATCACAAAGAAGTTTCTGAGAATGATTCTGTCTAGTTTTTATTTGAAGATATTTCCTTTTCTACTGTTGGCATCAAATCGCTTGAAATCTCCACTTGCAAATTCCACAAAAAGAGTGTTTCAAATCTGCTCTGTCTAAAGGGACGTTCCACTCTGTGAGTTGAATACACACAGCACAAAGAAGTTACTGAGAATTCTTGTGTCTAGCATGAAATGAAGAAATCCCGTTTCCAACGAAGGCCTCAATGCGGTCCATATATGCACTTGCAGAATTTACAAACAGAGTGTTTCCAAACTGCTCTATGAAAAGAAAGGTTAAACTATGTGAGTTGAACGCACACATCACAATGAATTTTCTGAGAATGATTCTGTCTGGTTTTTATTTGAAGATATTTCCCTTTCTACTGTTGGCATCAAATGGCTAGAAATCTCCACTTGCAAATTCCGCAAAAAGAGTGTTTCAAATCTGCTCTGTCTAAAGGGACGTTCCACTCTGTGAGTTGAATGCACACAACACAAAGAATTTACTGAGAATTCTTCCGTCTAGCATTCAATGAAGAAATCCCGTTTCCAACGAAGGCCTCAAACAGGTCCATATATCCACTTGCAGACTTTACAAACAGTGTGTTTCCAAACTCCTCTATGAAAAGAAAGGTTAAACTCTGTGAGTTGAACGCACACATCACAAAGCACTTTCTGAGAATGATTCTGTCTGGTTATTATACGAAGATATTTCCTTTTCTGCAATTGTCCTCAAATCGCTTGAAATCTCCACCTGAAAATGCCACAGCAAGAGTGTTTCAAATCTGCTCTCTCTAAAGCAAGGTTCAACTCTGTGAGTTGAATACACACAACACAAAAAAGTTACTGCGAACTCTTCTTAGTCTAGCATTAAAGGAAGAAACCCCGTTTGCAACGAAGGCCTCAAAGAGGTCCAAATATCCACTTGCAGACATAACAAGCAGAGTGTTTCTAAACTGCTCTAAGAAAAGAAAGGTTAAACTCTGTGAGTTGAAGGCACACATCACAAAGTAGTTTCTGAGAATGATTCTGTCTAGTTTTTATTTGAAGATATTTCCTTTTCTACTGTTGGCATCAAATCGCTTGAAATCTCCACTTGCAAACTCCACAAAAAGAGTGTTTCAAATCTGCTCTGTGTAAAGGGACGTTCCACTCTGTGAGTTGAATACACACAGCACAAAGAAGTTACTGAGAATTCTTCTGTCTAGCATGAAATTAAGAAATCCCGTTTCCAACGAAGTCCTCAAAGCGGTCCATATATCCACTTGCAGACATTACCAACAGAGTGTTTCCAAACTGGTCTATGAAAAGAAAGGTTAAACTATGTGAGTTGAACGCACACATCACAAAGAATTTTCTGAGGATAATTCTGTCTAGTTTTTATTTGAAGATATTTCCCTTTCTACCGTTGGCATCAAATGGCTAGAAATCTCCACTTGCAAATTCTGCAAAAAGAGTGTTTCAAATCTGCTCTGTCTAAAGGGACGTTCCACTCTGTGAGTTGAATGCACACAACACAAAGAATTTACTGAGAATTCTTCCGTCTAGCATTCAATGAAGAAATCCCGTTTCCAACGAAGGCCTCAAACAGGTCCATATATCCACATGCAGACTTTACAAACAGTGTGTTTCCAAACTCCTCTATGAAAAGAAAGGTTAAACTCTGTGAGTTGAACGCACACATCACAAAGCACTTTCTGAGAATGATTCTGTCTGGTTATTATACGAAGATATTTCCTTTTCTGCAATTGTCCTCAAATCGCTTGAAATCTCCACCTGAAAATGCCACAGCAAGAGTGTTTCAAATCTGCTCTCTCTAAAGCAAGGTTCAACTCTGTGAGTTGAATACACACAACACAAAAAAGTTACTGAGAACTCTTCTTAGTCTAGCATTAAAGGAAGAAATCCCGTTTGCAACGAAGGCCTCAAAGAGGTCCAAATATCCACTTGCAGACATAACAAGCAGAGTGTTTCTAAACTGCTCTAAGAAAAGAAAGGTTAAACTCTGCGAGTTGAAGGCACACATCACAAAGTAGTTTCTGAGAATGATTCTGTCTAGTTTTTATTTGAAGATATTTCCTCTTCTACTGTTGGCATCAAATCGCTTGAAATCTCCACTTGCAAATTCCACAAAAAGAGTGTTTCAAATCTGCTCTGTGTAAAGGGACGTTGCACTCTGTGAGTTGAATACACACAGCACAAAGAAGTTACTGAGAATTCTTCTGTCTAGCATGAAATGAAGAAATCCCGTTTCCAACGAAGGCCTCAATGCGGTCCATATATCCACTTGCAGACTTTACAAACAGAGTGTTTCCAAACTGCTCTATGAAAAGAAAGGTTAAACTATGTGAGTTGAACGCACACATCACAAAGAATTTTCTGAGAATGATTCTGTCTGGTTTTTATTTGAAGATATTTCCCTTTCTACTGTTGGCATCAAATGGCTAGAAATCTCCACTTGCAAATTCCGCAAAAAGAGTGTTTCAAATCTGCTCTGTCTAAAGGGACGTTCCACTCTGTGAGTTGAATGCACACAACACAAAGAATTTACTGAGAATTCTTCCGTCTAGCATTCAATGAAGAAATCCCGTTTACAACGAAGGCCTCAAACAGGTCCATGTATCCACTTGCAGACTTTACAAACAGTGTGTTTCCAAACTCCTCTATGAAAAGAAAGGTTAAACTCTGTGAGTTGAACGCACACATCACAAAGCACTTTCTGAGAATGATTCTGTCTGGTTATTATACGAAGATATTTCCTTTTCTGCAATTGTCCTCAAATCGCTTGAAATCTCCACCTGAAAATGCCACAGCAAGAGTGTTTCAAATCTGCTCTCTCTAAAGCAAGGTTCAACTCTGTGAGTTGAATACACACAACACAAAAAAGTTACTGAGAACTCTTCTTAGTCTAGCATGAAAGGAAGAAACCCCGTTTGCAACGAAGGCCTCAAAGAGGTCCAAATATCCACTTGCAGACATAACAAGCAGAGTGTTTCTAAACTGCTCTAAGAAAAGAAAGGTTAAACTCTGTGAGTTGAAGGCACACATCACAAAGTAGTTTCTGAGAATGATTCTGTCTAGTTTTTATTTGAAGATATTTCCTTTTCTACTGTTGGCATCAAATCGCTTGAAATCTCCACTTGCAAACTCCACAAAAAGAGTGTTTCAAATCTGCTCTGTGCAAAGGGACGTTCCACTCTGTGAGTTGAATACACACAGCACAAAGAAGTTACTGAGAATTCTTCTGTCTAGCATGAAATGAAGAAATCCCGTTTCCAACGAAGGCCTCAATGCGGTCCATATATCCACTTGCAGACTTTACAAACAGAGTGTTTCCAAACTGCTCTATGAAAAGAAAGGTTAAACTATGTGAGTTGAACGCACACATCACAAAGAATTTTCTGAGAATGATTCTGTCTGGTTTTTATTTGAAGATATTTCCCTTTCTACTGTTGGCATCAAATGGCTAGAAATCTCCACTTGCAAATTCCGCAAAAAGAGTGTTTCAAATCTGCTCTGTCTAAAGGGACGTTCCACTCTGTGAGTTGAATGCACACAACACAAAGAATTTACTGAGAATTCTTCCGTCTAGCATTCAATGAAGAAATCCCGTTTCCAACGAAGGCCTCAAAGAGGTCCATATATCCACTTGCAGACTTTACAAACAGTGTGTTTCCAAACTCCTCTATGAAAAGAAAGGTTAAACTCTGTGAGTGGAACGCACACATCACAAAGCACTTTCTGAGAATGATTCTGTCTGGTTATTATACGAAGATATTTCCTTTTCTGCAATTGTCCTCAAATCGCTTGAAATCTCCACCTGAAAATGCCACAGCAAGAGTGTTTCAAATCTGCTCTCTCTAAAGCAAGGTTCAACTCTGTGAGTTGAATACACACAACACAAAAAAGTTACTGAGAACTCTTCTTAGTCTAGCATGAAAGGAAGAAACCCCGTTTGCAACGAAGGCCTCAAAGAGGTCCAAATATCCACTTGCAGACATAACAAGCAGAGTGTTTCTAAACTGCTCTAAGAAAAGAAAGGTTAAACTCTGTGAGTTGAAGGCACACATCACAAAGTAGTTTCTGAGAATGATTCTGTCTAGTTTTTATTTGAAGATATTTCCTTTTCTACTGTTGGCATCAAATCGCTTGAAATCTCCACTTGCAAACTCCACAAAAAGAGTGTTTCAAATCTGCTCTCTGTAAAGGGACGTTCCACTCTGTGAGTTGAATACACACAGCACAAAGAAGTTACTGAGAATTCTTCTGTCTAGCATGAAATGAAGAAATCCCGTTTCCAACGAAGGCCTCAATGCGGTCCATATATCCACTTGCAGACTTTACAAACAGAGTGTTTCCAAACTGCTCTATGAAAAGAAAGGTTAAACTATGTGAGTTGAACGCACACATCACAAAGAATTTTCTGAGAATGATTCTGTCTGGTTTTTATTTGAAGATATTTCCCTTTCTACTGTTGGCATCAAATGGCTAGAAATCTCCACTTGCAAATTCCGCAAAAAGAGTGTTTCAAATCTGCTCTGTCTAAAGGGACGTTCCACTCTGTCAGTTGAATGCACACAACACAAAGAATTTACTGAGAATTCTTCCGTCTAGCATTCAATGAAGAAATCCCGTTTCCAACGAAGGCCTCAAACAGGTCCATATATCCAATTGCAGACTTTACAAACAGTGTGTTTCCAAACTCCTCTATGAAAAGAAAGGTTAAACTCTGTGAGTTGAACGCACACATCACAAAGCACTTTCTGAGAATGATTCTGTCTAGTTTTTATTTGAAGATATTTCCCTTTGTATTGTTGGCATCAAATGGCTAGAAATCTCCACTTGCAACTTCCGCAAAAAGAGTGTTTCAAATCTGCTCTGTCTAAAGGGACGTTCCACTCTGTGAGTTGAATGCACACAACACAAAAAAGTTACTGAGAACTCTTCTTAGTCTAGCATTAAAGGAAGAAACCCCGTTTGCAACGAAGTCCTCAAAGAGGTCCAAATATCCACTTGCAGACATAACAAGCAGAGTGTTTCTAAACTGCTCTAAGAAAAGAAAGGTTAAACTCTGTGAGTTGAAGGCACACATCACAAAGTAGTTTCTGAGAATGATTCTGTCTAGTTTTTATTTGAAGATATTTCCTTTTCTACTGTTGGCATCAAATCGCTTGAAATCTCCACTTGCAAATTCCACAAAAAGAGTGTTTCAAATCTGCTCTGTGTAAAGGGACGTTCCACTCTGTGAGTTGAATACACACAGCACAAAGAAGTTACTGAGAATTCTTCTGTCTAGCATGAAATGAAGAAATCCCGTTTCCAACGAAGGCCTCAATGCGGTCCATATATCCACTTGCAGACTTTACAAACAGAGTGTTTCCAAACTGCTCTATGAAAAGAAAGGTTAAACTATGTGAGTTGAACGCACACATCACAAAGAATTTTCTGAGAATGATTCTGTCTGGTTTTTATTTGAAGATATTTCCCTTTCTACTGTTGGCATCAAATGGCTAGAAATCTCCACTTGCAAATTCCGCAAAAAGAGTGTTTCAAATCTGCTCTGTCTAAAGGGACGTTCCACTCTGTCAGTTGAATGCACACAACACAAAGAATTTACTGAGAATTCTTCCGTCTAGCATTCAATGAAGAAATCCCGTTTCCAACGAAGGCCTCAAACAGGTCCATATATCCAATTGCAGACTTTACAAACAGTGTGTTTCCAAACTCCTCTATGAAAAGAAAGGTTAAACTCTGTGAGTTGAACGCACACATCACAAAGCACTTTCTGAGAATGATTCTGTCTGGTTATTATACGAAGATATTTCCTTTTCTGCAATTGTCCTCAAATCGCTTGAAATCTCCACCTGAAAATGCCACAGCAAGAGTGTTTCAAATCTGCTCTCTCTAAAGCAAGGTTCAACTCTGTGAGTTGAATACACACAACACAAAAAAGTTACTGAGAACTCTTCTTAGTCTAGCATTAAAGGAAGAAACCCCGTTTGCAACGAAGGCCTCAAAGAGGTCCAAATATCCACTTGCAGACATAACAAGCAGAGTGTTTCTAAACTGCTCTAAGAAAAGAAAGGTTAAACTCTGTGAGTTGAAGGCACACATCACAAAGTAGTTTCTGAGAATGATTCTGTCTAGTTTTTATTTGAAGATATTTCCTTTTCTACTGTTGGCATCAAATCGCTTGAAATCTCCACTTGCAAACTCCACAAAAAGAGTGTTTCAAATCTGCTCTGTGCAAAGGGACGTTCCACTCTGTGAGTTGAATACACACAGCACAAAGAAGATACTGAGAATTCTTCTGTCTAGTATGAAATGAAGAAATCCCGTTTCCAACGAAGGCCTCAATGCGGTCCATATATCCACTTGCAGACTTTACAAACAGAGTGTTTCCAAACTGCTCTATGAAAAGAAAGGTTAAACTATGTCAGTTGAACGCACACATCACAAAGAATTTTCTGAGAATGATTCTGTCTGGTTTTTATTTGAAGATATTTCCCTTTCTACTGTTGGCATCAAATGGCTAGAAATCTCCACTTGCAAATTCCGCAAAAAGAGTGTTTCAAATCTGCTCTGTCTAAAGGGACGTTCCACTCTGTGAGTTGAATGCACTCAACACAAAGAATTTACTGAGAATCCTTCCGTCTAGCATTCAATGAAGAAATCCCGTTTCCAACGAAGGCCTCAAACAGGTCCATATATCCAATTGCAGACTTTACAAACAGTGTGTTTCCAAACTCCTCTATGAAAAGAAAGGTTAAACTCTGTGAGTTGAACGCACACATCACAAAGCACTTTCTGAGAATGATTCTGTCTGGTTATTATACGAAGATATTTCCTTTTCTGCAATTGTCCTCAAATCGCTTGAAATCTCCACCTGAAAATGCCACAGCAAGAGTGTTTCAAATCTGCTCTCTCTAAAGCAAGGTTCAACTCTGTGAGTTGAATACACACAACACAAAAAAGTTACTGAGAACTCTTCTTAGTCTAGCATTAAAGGAAGAAACCCCGTTTGCAACGAAGGCCTCAAAGAGGTCCAAATATCAACTTGCAGACATAACAAGCAGAGTGTTTCTAAACTGCTCTAAGAAAAGAAAGGTTAAACTCTGTGAGTTGAAGGCACACATCACAAAGTAGTTTCTGAGAATGATTCTGTCTAGTTTTTATTTGAAGATATTTCCTTTTCTACTGTTGGCATCAAATCGCTTGAAATCTCCACTTGCAAACTCCACAAAAAGAGTGTTTCAAATCTGCTCTGTGCAAAGGGACGTTCCACTCTGTGAGTTGAATACACACAGCACAAAGAAGTTACTGAGAATTCTTCTGTCTAGCATGAAATGAAGAAATCCCGTTTCCAACGAAGGCCTCAATGCGGTCCATATATCCACTTGCAGACTTTACAAACAGAGTGTTTCCAAACTGCTCTATGAAAAGAAAGGTTAAACTATGTGAGTTGAACGCACACATCACAAAGAATTTTCTGAGAATGATTCTGTCTGGTTTTTATTTGAAGATATTTCCCTTTCTACTGTTGGCATCAAATGGCTAGAAATCTCCACTTGCAAATTCCGCAAAAAGAGTGTTTCAAATCTGCTCTGTCTAAAGGGACGTTCCACTCTGTGAGTTGAATGCACACAACACAAAGAATTTACTGAGAATTCTTCCGTCTAGCATTCAATGAAAAAATCCCCTTTCCAACGAAGGCCTCAAACAGGTCCATATATCCACTTGCAGACTTTACAAACAGTGTGTTTCCAAACTCCTGTATGAAAAGAAAGGTTAAACTCTGTGAGTGGAACGCACACATCACAAAGCACTTTCTGAGAATGATTCTGTCTGGTTATTATACGAAGATATTTCTTTTTCTGCAATTGTCCTCAAATCGCTTGAAATCTCCACCTGAAAATGCCACAGCAAGAGTGTTTCAAATCTGCTCTCTCTAAAGCAAGGTTCAACTCTGTGAGTTGAATACACACAACACAAAAAAGTTACTGAGAACTCTTCTTAGTCTAGCATGAAAGGAAGAAACCCCGTTTGCAACGAAGGCCTCAAAGAGGTCCAAATATCCACTTGCAGACATAACAAGCAGAGTGTTTCTAAACTGCTCTAAGAAAAGAAAGGTTAAACTCTGTGAGTTGAAGGCACACATCACAAAGTAGTTTCTGAGAATGATTCTGTCTAGTTTTTATTTGAAGATATTTCCTTTTCTACTGTTGGCATCAAATCGCTTGAAATCTCCACTTGCAAACTCCACAAAAAGAGTGTTTCAAATCTGCTCTGTGTAAAGGGACGTTCCACTCTGTGAGTTGAATACACACAGCACAAAGAAGTTACTGAGAATTCTTCTGTCTAGCATGAAATGAAGAAATCCCGTTTCCAACGAAGGCCTCAATGCAGTCCATATATCCACTTGCAGACTTTACAAACAGAGTGTTTCCAAACTGCTCTATGAAAAGAAAGGTTAAACTATGTGAGTTGAACGCACACATCACAAAGAATTTTCTGAGAATGATTCTGTCTGGTTTTTATTTGAAGATATTTCCCTTTCTACTGTTGGCATCAAATGGCTAGAAATCTCCACTTGCAAATTCCGCAAAAAGAGTGTTTCAAATCTGCTCTGTCTAAAGGGACGTTCCACTCTGTCAGTTGAATGCACACAACACAAAGAATTTACTGAGAATTCTTCCGTCTAGCATTCAATGAAGAAATCCCGTTTCCAACGAAGGCCTCAAACAGGTCCATATATCCACTTGCAGACTTTACAAACAGTGTGTTTCCAAACTCCTCTATGAAAAGAAAGGTTAAACTCTGTGAGTGGAACGCACACATCACAAAGCACTTTCTGAGAATGATTCTCTCTGGTTATTATACGAAGATATTTCCTTTTCTGCAATTGTCCTCAAATCGCTTGAAATCTCCACCTGAAAATGCCACAGCAAGAGTGTTTCAAATCTGCTCTCTCTAAAGCAAGGTTCAACTCTGTGAGTTGAATACACACAACACAAAAAAGTTACTGAGAACTCTTCTTAGTCTAGCATGAAAGGAAGAAACCCCGTTTGCAACGAAGGCCTCAAAGAGGTCCAAATATCCACTTGCAGACATAACAAGCAGAGTGTTTCTAAACTGCTCTAAGAAAAGAAAGGTTAAACTCTGTGAGTTGAAGGCACACATCACAAAGCACTTTCTGAGAATGATTCTGTCTAGTTTTTATTTGAAGATATTTCCTTTTCTACTGTTGGCATCAAATCGCTTGAAATATCCACTTGCAAACTCCACAAAAAGAGTGTTTCAAATCTGCTCTGTGCAAAGGGACGTTCCACTCTGTGAGTTGAATACACACAGCACAAAGAAGTTACTGAGAATTCTTCTGTCTAGCATGAAATGAAGAAATCCCGTTTCCAACGAAGGCCTCAATGCGGTCTATATATCCACTTGCAGACTTCACAAACAGAGTGTTTCCAAACTGCTCTATGAAAAGAAAGGTTAAACTATGTGAGTTGAACGCACACATCACAAAGAATTTTCTGAGAATGATTCTGTCTGGTTTTTATTTGAAGATATTTCCCTTTCTACTGTTGGCATCAAATGGCTAGAAATCTCCACTTGCAAATTCCGCAAAAAGAGTGTTTCAAATCTGCTCTGTCTAAAGGGACGTTCCACTCTGTGAGTTGAATGCACACAACACAAAGAATTTACTGAGAATTCTTCCGCCTAGCATTCAATGAAGAAATCCCGTTTCCAACGAAGGCCTCAAACAGGTCCATATATCCAATTGCAGACTTTACAAACAGTGTGTTTCCAAACTCCTCTATGAAAAGAAAGGTTAAACTCTGTGAGTTGAACGCACACATCACAAAGCACTTTCTGAGAATGATTCTGTCTGGTTATTATACGAAGATATTTCCTTTTCTGCAATTGTCCTCAAATCGCTTGAAATCTCCACCTGAAAATGCCACAGCAAGAGTGTTTCAAATCTGCTCTCTCTAAAGCAAGGTTCAACTCTGTGAGTTGAATACACACAACACAAAAAAGTTACTGAGAACTCTTCTTAGTCTAGCATTAAAGGAAGAAACCCTGTTTGCAACGAAGGCCTCAAAGAGGTCCAAATATCCACTTGGAAACATAACAAGCAGAGTGTTTCTAAACTGCTCTAAGAAAAGAAAGGTTAAACTCTGTGAGTTGAAGGCACACATCACAAAGTAGTTTCTGAGAATGATTCTGTCTAGTTTTTATTTGAAGATATTTCCTTTTCTACTGTTGGCATCAAATCGCTTGAAATCTCCACTTGCAAACTCCACAAAAAGAGTGTTTCAAATCCGCTCTGTGCAAAGGGACGTTCCACTCTATGAGTTGAATACACACAGCACAAAGAAGTTACTGAGAATTCTTCTGTCTAGCATGAAATGAAGAAATCCCGTTTCCAACGAAGGCCTCATTGCGGTCCATATATCCACTTGCAGACTTTACAAACAGAGTGTTTCCAAACTGCTCTATGAAAAGAAAGGTTAAACTATGTGAGTTGAACGCACACATCACAAAGAATTTTCTGAGAATGATTCTGTCTGGTTTTTATTTGAAGATATTTCCCTTTCTACTGTTGGCATCAAATGGCTAGAAATCTCCACTTGCAAATTCCGCAAAAAGAGTGTTTCAAATCTGCTCTGTCTAAAGGGACGTTCCACTCTGTGAGTTGAATGCACACAACACAAAGAATTTACTGAGAATTCTTCCGTCTAGCATTCAATGAAGAAATCCCGTTTCCAACGAAGGCCTCAAACAGGTCCATATATCCACTTGCAGACTTTACAAACAGTGTGTTTCCAAACTCCTCTATGAAAAGAAAGGTTAAACTCTGTGAGTTGAACGCACACATCACAAAGCACTTTCTGAGAATGATTCTGTCTGGTTATTATACGAAGATATTTCCTTTTCTGCAATTGTCCTCAAATCGCTTGAAATCTCCACCTGAAAATGCCACAGCAAGAGTGTTTCAAATCTGCTCTCTCTAAAGCAAGGTTCAACTCTGTGAGTTGAATACACACAACACAAAAAAGTTACTGAGAACTCTTCTTAGTCTAGCATGAAAGGAAGAAACCCCGTTTGCAACGAAGGCCTCAAAGAGGTCCAAATATCCACTTGCAGACATAACAAGCAGAGTGTTTCTAAACTGCTCTAAGAAAAGAAAGGTTAAACTCTGTGAGTTGAAGGCACACATCACAAAGTAGTTTCTGAGAATGATTCTGTCCAGTTTTTATTTGAAGATATTTCCTTTTCTACTGTTGGCATCAAATCGCTTGAAATCTCCACTTGCAAACTCCACAAAAAGAGTGTTTCAAATCTGCTCTGTGTAAAGGGACGTTCCACTCTGTGAGTTGAATACACACAGCACAAAGAAGTTACTGAGAATTCTTCTGTCTAGCATGAAATGAAGAAATCCCGTTTCCAACGAAGGCCTCAATGCGGTCCATATATCCACTTGCAGACTTTACAAACAGAGTGTTTCCAAACTGCTCTATGAAAAGAAAGGTTAAACTATGTGAGTTGAACGCACACATCACAAAGAATTTTCTGAGAATGATTCTGTCTGGTTTTTATTTGAAGATATTTCCCTTTCTACTGTTGGCATCAAATGGCTAGAAATCTCCACTTGCAAATTCCGCAAAAAGAGTGTTTCAAATCTGCTCTGTCTAAAGGGACGTTCCACTCTGTGAGTTGAATGCACACAACACAAAGAATTTACTGAGAATTCTTCCGTCTAGCATTCAATGAAGAAATCCCGTTTCCAAAGAAGGCCTCAAACAGGTCCATATATCCAATTGCAGACTTTACAAACAGTGTGTTTCCAAACTCCTCTATGAAAAGAAAGGTTAAACTCTGTGAGTTGAACGCACACATCACAAAGCACTTTCTGAGAATGATTCTGTCTGGTTATTATACGAAGATATTTCCTTTTCTGCAATTGTCCTCAAAACGCTTGAAATCTCCACCTGAAAATGCCACAGCAAGAGTGTTTCAAATCTGCTCTCTCTAAAGCAAGGTTCAACTCTGTGAGTTGAATACACACAACACAAAAAAGTTACTGAGAACTCTTCTTAGTCTAGCATGAAAGGAAGAAACCCGTTTGCAACGAAGGCATCAAAGAGGTCCAAATATCCACTTGCAGACATAACAAGCAGAGTGTTTCTAAACTGCTCTAAGAAAAGAAAGGTTAAACTCTGTGAGTTGAAGGCACACATCACAAAGTAGTTTCTGAGAATGATTCTGTCTAGTTTTTATTTGAAGATATTTCCTTTTCTACTGTTGGCATCAAATCGCTTGAAATCTCCACTTGCAAATTCCACAAAAAGAGTGTTTCAAATCTGCTCTGTGCAAAGGGACGTTCCACTCTGTGAGTTGAATACACACAGCACAAAGAAGTTACTGAGAATTCTTCTGTCTAGCATGAAATGAAGAAATCCCGTTTCCAACGAAGGCCTCAATGCGGTCCATATATCCACTTGCAGACTTTACAAACAGAGTGTTTCCAAACTGCTCTATGAAAAGAAAGGTTAAACTATGTGAGTTGAACGCACACATCACAAAGAATTTTCTGAGAATGATTCTGTCTGGTTTTTATTTGAAGATATTTCCCTTTCTACTGTTGGCATCAAATGGCTAGAAATCTCCACTTGCAAATTCCGCAAAAAGAGTGTTTCAAATCTGCTCTGTCTAAAGGGACGTTCCACTCTGTGAGTTGAATGCACACAACACAAAGAATTTACTGAGAATTCTTCCGTCTAGCATTCAATGAAGAAATCCCGTTTCCAACGAAGGCCTCAAACAGGTCCATATATCCACTTGCAGACTTTACAAACAGTGTGTTTCCAAACTCCTCTATGAAAAGAAAGGTTAAACTCTGTGAGTTGAACGCACACATCACAAAGCACTTTCTGAGAATGATTCTGTCTGGTTATTATACGAAGATATTTCCTTTTCTGCAATTGTCCTCAAATCGCTTGAAATCTCCACCTGAAAATGCCACAGCAAGAGTGTTTCAAATCTGCTCTCTCTAAAGCAAGGTTCAACTCTGTGAGTTGAATACACACAACACAAAAAAGTTACTGAGAACTCTTCTTAGTCTAGCATTAAAGGAAGAAACCCCGTTTGCAACGAAGGCCTCAAAGAGGTCCAAATATCCACTTGCAGACATAACAAGCAGAGTGTTTCTAAACTGCTCTAAGAAAAGAAAGGTTAAACTCTGTGAGTTGAAGGCACACATCACAAAGTAGTTTCTGAGAATGATTCTGTCTAGTTTTTATTTGAAGATATTTCCTTTTCTACTGTTGGCATCAAATCGCTTGAAATCTCCACTTGCAAATTCCACAAAAAGAGTGTTTCAAATCTGCTCTGTGCAAAGGGACGTTGACTCTGTGAGTTGAATACACACAGCACAAAGAAGTTACTGAGAATTCTTCTGTCTAGCATGAAATGAAGAAATCCCGTTTCCAACGAAGGCCTCAATGCGGTCCATATATCCACTTGCAGACTTTACAAACAGAGTGTTTCCAAACTGCTCTATGAAAAGAAAGGCTAAACTATGTGAGTTGAACGCACACATCACAAAGAATTTTCTGAGAATGATTCTGCCTGGTTTTTATTTGAAGATATTTCCCTTTCTACTGTTGGCATCAAATGGCTAGAAATCTCCACTTGCAAATTCCGCAAAAAGAGTGTTTCAAATCTGCTCTGTCTAAAGGGACGTTCCACTCTGTCAGTTGAATGCACACAACACAAAGAATTTACTGAGAATTCTTCCGTCTAGCATTCAATGAAGAAATCCCGTTTCCAACGAAGGCCTCAAACAGGTCCATATATCCACTTGCAGACTTTACAAACAGTGTGTTTCCAAACTCCTCTATGAAAAGAAAGGTTAAACTCTGTGAGTGGAACGCACACATCACAAAGCACTTTCTGAGAATGATTCTGTCTGGTTGTTATACGAAGATATTTCCTTTTCTGCAATTGTCCTCAAATCGCTTGAAATCTCCACCTGAAAATGCCACAGCAAGAGTGTTTCAAATCTGCTCTCTCTAAAGCAAGGTTCAACTCTGTGAGTTGAATACACACAACACAAAAAAGTTACTGAGAACTCTTCTTAGTCTAGCATGAAAGGAAGAAACCCCGTTTGCAACGAAGGCCTCAAAGAGGTCCAAATATCCACTTGCAGACATAACAAGCAGAGTGTTTCTAAACTGCTCTAAGAAAAGAAAGGTTAAACTCTGTGAGTTGAAGGCACATATCACAAAGTAGTTTCTGAGAATGATTCTGTCTAGTTTTTATTTGAAGATATTTCCTTTTCTACTGTTGGCATCAAATCGCTTGAAATCTCCACTTGCAAATTCCACAAAAAGAGTGTTTCAAATCTGCTCTGTGCAAAGGGACGTTCCACTCTGTGAGTTGAATACACACAGCACAAAGAAGTTACTGAGAATTCTTCTGTCTAGCATGAAATGAAGAAATCCCGTTTCCAACGAAGGCCTCAATGCGGTCCATATATCCACTTGCAGACTTTACAAACAGAGTGTTTCCAAACTGCTCTATGAAAAGAAAGGTTAAACTATGTGAGTTGAACGCACACATCACAAAGAATTTTCTGAGAATGATTCTGTCTGGTTTTTATTTGAAGATATTTCCCTTTCTACTGTTGGCATCAAATGGCTAGAAATCTCCACTTGCAAATTCCGCAAAAAGAGTGTTTCAAATCTGCTCTGTCTAAAGGGACGTTCCACTCTGTGAGTTGAATGCACACAACACAAAGAATTTACTGAGAATTCTTCCGTCTAGCATTCAATGAAGAAATCCCGTTTCCAACGAAGGCCTCAAAGAGGTCCATATATCCACTTGCAGACTTTACAAACAGTGTGTTTCCAAACTCCTCTATGAAAAAAAAGGTTAAACTCTGTGAGTTGAACGCACACATCACAAAGCACTTTCTGAGAATGATTCTGTCTGGTTATTATACGAAGATATTTCCTTTTCTGCAATTGTCCTCAAATCGCTTGAAATCTCCACCTGAAAATGCCACAGCAAGAGTGTTTCAAATCTGCTCTCTCTAAAGCAAGGTTCAACTCTGTGAGTTGAATACACACAACACAAAAAAGTTACTGAGAACTCTTCTTAGTCTAGCATGAAAGGAAGAAACCCCGTTTGCAACGAAGGCCTCAAAGAGGTCCAAATATCCACTTGCAGACATAACAAGCAGAGTGTTTCTAAACTGCTCTAAGAAAAGAAAGGTTAAACTCTGTGAGTTGAAGGCACACATCACAAAGTAGTTTCTGAGAATGATTCTGTCTAGTTTTTATTTGAAGATATTTCCTTTTCTACTGTTGGCATCAAATCGCTTGAAATCTCCACTTGCAAACTCCACAAAAAGAGTGTTTCAAATCTGCTCTGTGTAAAGGGACGTTCCACTCTGTGAGTTGAATACACACAGCACAAAGAAGTTACTGAGAATTCTTCTGTCTAGCATGAAATGAAGAAATCCCGTTTCCAACGAAGGCCTCAATGCGGTCCATATATCCACTTGCAGACTTTACAAACAGAGTGTTTCCAAACTGCTCTATGAAAAGAAAGGTTAAACTATGTGAGTTGAACGCACACATCACAAAGAATTTTCTGAGAATGATTCTGTCTGGTTTTTATTTGAAGATATTTCCCTTTCTACTGTTGGCATCAAATGGCTAGAAATCTCCACTTGCAAATTCCGCAAAAAGAGTGTTTCAAATCTGCTCTGTCTAAAGGGACGTTCCACTCTGTCAGTTGAATGCACACAACACAAAGAATTTACTGAGAATTCTTCCGTCTAGCATTCAATGAAGAAATCCCGTTTCCAACGAAGGCCTCAAACAGGTCCATATATCCACTTGCAGACTTTACAAACAGTGTGTTTCCAAACTCCTCTATGAAAAGAAAGGTTAAACTCTGTGAGTTGAACGCACACATCACAAAGCACTTTCTGAGAATGTTTCTGTCTGGTTATTATACGAAGATATTTCCTTTTCTGCAATTGTCCTCAAATCGCTTGAAATCTCCACCTGAAAATGCCACAGCAACAGTGTTTCAAATCTGCTCTCTCTAAAGCAAGGTTCAACTCTGTGAGTTGAATACACACAACACAAAAAAGTTACTGAGAACTCTTCTTAGTCTAGCATTAAAGGAAGAAACCCCGTTTGCAACGAAGGCCTAAAAGAGGTCGAAATATCCACTTGCAGACATAACAAGCAGAGTGTTTCTAAACTGCTCTAAGAAAAGAAAGGTTAAACTCTGTGAGTTGAAGCCACACATCACAAAGAAGTTTCTGTGAATGATTCTGTCTAGTTTTTATTTGAAGATATTTCCTTTTCTACTGTTGGCATCAAATCGCTTGAAATCTCCACTTGCAAACTCCACAAAAAGAGTGTTTCAAATCTGCTCTGTGCAAAGGGACGTTCCACTCTGTGAGTTGAATACACACAGCACAAAGAAGTTACTGAGAATTCTTCTGTCTAGCATGAAATGAAGAAATCCCGTTTCCAACGAAGGCCTCAATGCGGTCCATATATCCACTTGCAGACTTTACAAACAGAGTGTTTCCAAACTGCTCTATGAAAAGAAAGGTTAAACTATGTGAGTTGAACGCACACATCACAAAGAATTTTCTGAGAATGATTCTGTCTGGTTTTTATTTGAAGATATTTCCCTTTCTACTGTTGGCATCAAATGGCTAGAAATCTCCACTTGCAAATTCCGCAAAAAGAGTGTTTCAAATCTGCTCTGTCTAAAGGGACGTTCCACTCTGTGAGTTGAATGCACACCACAAAAGAATTTACTGAGAATTCCTCCGTCTAGCATTCAATGAAGAAATCCCGTTTCCAACGAAGGCCTCAAACAGGTCCATATATCCACTTGCAGACTTTACAAACAGTGTGTTTCCAAACTCCTCCATGAAAAGAAAGGTTAAACTCTGTGAGTTGAACGCACACATCACAAAGCACTTTCTGAGAATGATTCTGTCTGGTTATTATACGAAGATATTTCCTTTTCTGCAATTGTCCTCAAATCGCTTGAAATCTCCACCTGAACATGCCACAGCAAGAGTGTTTGAAATCTGCTCTCTCTAAAGCAAGGTTCAACTCTGTGAGTTGAATACACACAACACAAAAAAGTTACTGAGAACTCTTCTTAGTCTAGCATGAAAGGAAGAAACCCCGTTTGCAACGAAGGCCTCAAAGGAGGTCCAAATATCCAGTTGCAGACATAACAAGCAGAGTGTTTCTAAACTGCTCTAAGAAAAGAAAGGTTAAACTCTGTGAGTTGAAGGCACACATCACAAAGTAGTTTCTGAGAATGGTTCTGTCTAGTTTTTATTTGAAGATATTTCCTTTTCTACTGTTGGCATCAAATCGCTTGAAATCTCCACTTGCAAATTCCACAAAAAGAGTGTTTCAAATCTGCTCTGTGCAAACGGACGTTCCAGTCTGTGAGTTGAATACACACAGCACAGAGAAGTTACTGAGAATTCTTCTGTCTAGCATGAAATGAAGAAATCCCGTTTCCAACGAAGGCCTCAATGCGGTCCATATATCCACTTGCAGACTTTACAAACAGAGTGTTTCCAAACTGCTCTATGAAAAGAAAGGTTAAACTATGTGAGTTGAACGCACACATCACAAAGAATTTTCTGAGAATGATTCTGTCTGGTTTTTATTTGAAGATATTTCCCTTTCTACTGTTGGCATCAAATGGCTAGAAATCTCCACTTGCAAATTACGCAAAAAGAGTGTTTCAAATCTGCTCTGTCTAAAGGGACGTTCCACTCTGTGAGTTGAATGCACACAACACAAAGAATTTACTGAGAATTCTTCTGTCTAGCAGTCAATGAAGAAATCCCGTTTCCAACGAAGGCCTCAAACAGGTCCATATATCCAATTGCAGACTTTACAAACAGTGTGTTTCCAAACTCCTCTATGAAAAGAAAGGTTAAACTCTGTGAGTTGAACCCACACATCACAAAGCACTTTCTGAGAATGATTCTGTCTGGTTGTTATACGAAGATATTTCCTTTTCTGCAATTTTCCTCAAATCGCTTGAAATCTCCACCTGAAAATGCCACAGCAAGAGTGTTTCAAATCTGCTCTCTCTAAAGCAAGGTTCAACTCTGTGAGTTGAATACACACAGCACAAAGAAGTTACTGAGAATTCTTCTGTCTAGCATGAAATGAAGAAATCCCGTTTCCAACGAAGGCCTCAATGCGGTCCATATATCCACTTGCAGACTTTACAAACAGAGTGTTTCCAAACTGCTCTATGAAAAGAAAGGTTAAACTATGTGAGTTGAACGCACACATCACAAAGAATTTTCTGAGAATGATTCTGTCTGGTTTTTATTTGAAGATATTTCCCTTTCTACTGTTGGCATCAAATGGCTAGAAATCTCCACTTGCAAATTCCGCAAAAAGAGTGTTTCAAATCTGCTCTGTCTAAAGGGACGTTCCACTCTGTGAGTTGAATGCACACAACACAAAGAATTTACTGAGAATTCTTCTGTCTAGCAGTCAATGAAGAAATCCCGTTTCCAACGAAGGCCTCAAACAGGTCCATATATCCAATTGCAGACTTTACAAACAGTGTGTTTCCAAACTCCTCTATGAAAAGAAAGGTTAAACTCTGTGAGTTGAACCCACACATCACAAAGCACTTTCTGAGAATGATTCTGTCTGGTTGTTATACGAAGATATTTCCTTTTCTGCAATTGTCCTCAAATCGCTTGAAATCTCCACCTGAAAATGCCACAGCAAGAGTGTTTCAAATCTGCTCTCTCTAAAGCATGGTTCAACTCTGTGAGTTGAATACACACAACACAAAAAAGTTACTGAGAACTCTTCTTAGTCTAGCATGAAAGGAAGAAACCCCGTTTGCAACGAAGGCCTCAAAGAGGTCCAAATATCCACTTGCAGACATAACAAGCAGAGTGTTTCTAAACTGCTCTAAGAAAAGAAAGGTTAAACTATGTGAGTTGAACGCACACATCACAAAGAATTTTCTGAGAATGATTCTGTCTGGTTTTTATTTGAAGATATTTCCCTTTCTACTGTTGGCATCAAATGGCTAGAAATCTCCACTTGCAAATTCCGCAAAAAGAGTGTTTCAAATCTGCTCTGTCTAAAGGGACGTTCCACTCTGTGAGTTGAATGCACACAACACAAAGAATTTACTGAGAATTCTTCCGTCTAGCATGCAATGAAGAAATCCCGTTTCCAACGAAGGCCTCAAACAGGTCCATATATCCAATTGCAGACTTTACAAACAGTGTGTTTCCAAACTCCTCTATGAAAAGAAAGGTTAAACTCTGTGAGTTGAACGCACACATCACAAAGCACTTTCTGAGAATGATTCTGTCTGGTTATTATACGAAGATATTTCCTTTTCTGCAATTGTCCTCAAATCGCTTGAAATCTCCACCTGAAAATGCCACAGCAAGAGTGTTTCAAATCTGCTCTCTCTAAAGCAAGGTTCAACTCTGTGAGTTGAATACACACAACACAAAAAAGTTACTGAGAACTCTTCTTAGTCTAGCATGAAAGGAAGAAACCCCGTTTGCAACGAAGGCCTCAAAGAGGTCCAAATATCCACTTGCAGACATAACAAGCAGAGTGTTTCTAAACTGCTCTAAGAAAAGAAAGGTTAAACTCTGTGAGTTGAAGGCACACATCACAAAGTAGTTTCTGAGAATGATTCTGTCTAGTTTTTATTTGAAGATATTTCCTTTTCTACTGTTGGCATCAAATCGCTTGAAATCTGCACTTGCAAATTCCACAAAAAGAGTGTTTCAAATCTGCTCTGTGCAAAGGGACGTTCCACTCTGTGAGTTGAATACACACAGCACAAAGAAGTTACTGAGAATTCTTCTGTCTAGCATGAAATGAAGAAATCCCGTTTCCAACGAAGGCCTCAATGCGGTCCATATATCCACTTGCAGACTTTACAAACAGAGTGTTTCCAAACTGCTCTATGAAAAGAAAGGTTAAACTATGTGAGTTGAACGCACACATCACAAAGAATTTTCTGAGAATGATTCTGTCTGGTTTTTATTTGAAGATATTTCCCTTTCTACTGTTGGCATCAAATGGCTAGAAATCTCCACTTGCAAATTCCGCAAAAAGAGTGTTTCAAATCTGCTCTGTCTAAAGGGACCGTTCCACTCTGTGAGTTGAATGCACACAACACAAAGAATTTACTGAGAATTCTTCCGTCTAGCATTCAATGAAGAAATCCCGTTTCCAACGAAGACCTCAAACAGGTCCATATATCCAATTGCAGACATTACAAACAGTGTGTTTCCAAACTCCTCTATGAAAAGAAAGGTTAAACTCTGTGAGTTGAACGCACACATCACAAAGCACTTTCTGAGAATGATTCTGTCTGGTTATTATACGAAGATATTTCCTTTTCTGCAATTGTCCTCAAATCGCTTGAAATCTCCACCTGAAAATGCCACAGCAAGAGTGTTTCAAATCTGCTCTCTCTAAAGCAAGGTTCAACTCTGTGAGTTGAATACACACAACACAAAAAAGTTACTGAGAACTCTTCTTAGTCTAGCATGAAAGGAAGAAACCCCGTTTGCAACGAAGGCCTCAAAGAGGTCCAAATATCCACTTGCAGACATAACAAGCAGAGTGTTTCTAAACTGCTCTAAGAAAAGAAAGGTTAAACTCTGTGAGTTGAAGGCACACATCACAAAGTAGTTTCTGAGAATGATTCTGTCTAGTTTTTATTTGAAGATATTTCCTTTTCTACTGTTGGCATCAAATCGCTTGAAATCTCCACTTGCAAACTCCACAAAAAGAGTGTTTCAAATCTGCTCTGTGTAAAGGGACGTTCCACTCTGTGAGTTGAATACACACAGCACAAAGAAGTTACTGAGAATTCTTCTGTCTAGCATGAAATGAAGAAATCCCGTTTCCAACGAAGGCCTCAATGCGGTCCATATATCCACTTGCAGACTTTACAAACAGAGTGTTTCCAAACTGCTCTATGAAAAGAAAGGTTAAACTATGTGAGTTGAACGCACACATCACAAAGAATTTTCTGAGAATGATTCTGTCTGGTTTTTATTTGAAGATATTTCCCTTTCTACTGTTGGCATCAAATGGCTAGAAATCTCCACTTGCAAATTCCGCAAAAAGAGTGTTTCAAATCTGCTCTGTCTAAAGGGACGTTCCACTCTGTGAGTTGAATGCACACAACACAAAGAATTTACTGAGAATTCTTCCGTCTAGCATTCAATGAAGAAATCCCGTTTCCAACGAAGGCCTCAAACAGGTCCATATATCCACTTGCAGACTTTACAAACAGTGTGTTTCCAAACTCCTCTATGAAAAGAAAGGTTAAACTCTGTGAGTGGAACGCACACATCACAAAGCACTTTCTGAGAATGATTCTGTCTGGTTGTTATACGAAGATATTTCCTTTTCTGCAATTGTCCTCAAATCGCTTGAAATCTCCACCTGAAAATGCCACAGCAAGAGTGTTTCAAATCTGCTCTCTCTAAAGCAAGGTTCAACTCTGTGAGTTGAATACACACAACACAAAAATGTTACTGAGAACTCTTCTTAGTCTAGCATGAAAGGAAGAAACCCCGTTTGCAACGAAGGCCTCAAAGAGGTCCAAATATCCACTTGCAGACATAACAAGCAGAGTGTTTCTAAACTGCTCTAAGAAAAGAAAGGTTAAACTCTGTGAGTTGAAGGCACACATCACAAAGTAGTTTCTGAGAATGATTCTGTCTAGTTTTTATTTGAAGGTATTTCCTTTTCTACTGTTGACATCAAATCGTTTGAAATCTTCACTTGCAAACTCCACAAAAAGAGTGTTTCAAATCTGCTCTGTGTAAAGGGACGTTCCACTCTGTGAGTTGAATACACACAGCACAAAGAAGTTGCTGAGAATTCTTCTGTCTAGCATGAAATGAAGAAATCCCGTTTCCAACGAAGGCCTCAATGCGGTCCATATATCCACTTGCAGACTTTACAAACAGAGTGTTTCCAAACTGCTCTATGAAAAGAAAGGTTAAACTATGTGAGTTGAACGCACACATCACAAAGAATTTTCTGAGAATGATTCTGTCTGGTTTTTATTTGAAGATGTTTCCCTTTCTACTGTTGGCATCAAATGGCTAGAAATCTCCACTTGCAAATTCCGCAAAAAGAGTGTTTCAAATCTGCTCTGTCTAAAGGGACGTTCCACTCTGTGACTTGAATGCACACAACACAAAGAATTTACTGAGAATTCTTCCGTCTAGCATTCAATGAAGAAATCCCGTTTCCAACGAAGGCCTCAAACAGGTCCATATATCCACTTGCAGACTTTACAAACAGTGTGTTTCCAAACTCCTCTATGAAAAGAAAGGTTAAACTCTGTGAGTTGAACGCACACATCACAAAGCACTTTCTGAGAATGATTCTGTCTGGTTATTATACGAAGATATTTCCTTTTCTGCAATTGTCCTCAAATCGCTTGAAATCTCCACCTGAAAATGCCACAGCAAGAGTGTTTCAAATCTGCTCTCTCTAAAGCAAGGTTCAACTCTGTGAGTTGAATACACACAACACAAAAAAGTTACTGAGAACTCTTCTTAGTCTAGCATGAAAGGAAGAAACCCCGTTTGCAACGAAGGCCTCAAAGAGGTCCAAATATCCACTTGCAGACATAACAAGCAGAGTGTTTCTAAACTGCTCTAAGAAAAGAAAGGTTAAACTCTGTGAGTTGAAGGCACACATCACAAAGTAGTTTCTGAGAATGATTCTGTCTAGTTTTTATTTGAAGATATTTCCTTTTCTACTGTTGGCATCAAATCGCTTGAAATCTCCACTTGCAAACTCCACAAAAAGAGTGTTTCAAATCTGCTCTGTGTAAAGGGACGTTCCACTCTGTGAGTTGAATACACACAGCACAAAGAAGTTACTGGAGAATTCTTCTGTCTAGCATGAAATGAAGAAATCCCATTTCCAACGAAGGCCTCAATGCGGTCCATATATCCACTTGCAGACTTTACAAACAGAGTGTTTCCAAACTGCTCTATGAAAAGAAAGGTTAAACTATGTGAGTTGAACGCACACATCACAAAGAATTTTCTGAGAATGATTCTGTCTGGTTTTTATTTGAAGATATTTCCCTTTCTACTGTTGGCATCAAATGGCTAGAAATCTCCACATGCAAATTCCGCAAAAAGAGTGTTTCAAATCTGCTCTGTCTAAAGGGACGTTCCACTCTGTCAGTTGAATGCACACAACACAAAGAATTTACTGAGAATTCTTCCGCCTAGCATTCAATGAAGAAATCCCGTTTCCAACGAAGGCCTCAAACAGGTCCATATATCCAATTGCAGACTTTACAAACAGTGTGTTTCCAAACTCCTCTATGAAAAGAAAGGTTAAACTCTGTGAGTTGAACGCACACATCACAAAGCACTTTCTGAGAATGATTCTGTCTGGTTATTATACGAAGATATTTCCTTTTCTGCAATTGTCCTCAAATCGCTTGAAATCTCCACCTGAAAATGCCACAGCAAGAGTGTTTCAAATCTGCTCTCTCTAAAGCAAGGTTCAACTCTGTGAGTTGAATACACACAACACAAAAAAGTTACTGAGAACTCTTCTTAGTCTAGCATGAAAGGAAGAAACCCCGTTTGCAACGAAGGCCTCAAAGAGGTCCAAATATCCACTTGCAGACATAACAAGCAGAGTGTTTCTAAACTGCTCTAAGAAAAGAAAGGTTAAACTCTGTGAGTTGAAGGCACACATCACAAAGTAGTTTCTGAGAATGATTCTGTCTAGTTTTTATTTGAAGATATTTCCTTTTCTACTGTTGGCATCAAATCGCTTGAAATCTCCACTTGCAAATTCCACAAAAAGAGTGTTTCAAATCTGCTCTGTGTAAAGGGACGTTCCACTCTGTGAGTTGAATACACACAGCACAAAGAAGTTACTGAGAATTCTTCTGTCTAGCATGAAATGAAGAAATCCCGTTTCCAACGAAGGCCTCAATGCGGTCCATATATCCACTTGCAGACTTTACAAACAGAGTGTTTCCAAACTGCTCTATGAAAAGAAAGGTTAAACTATGTGAGTTGAACGCACACATCCCAAAGAATTTTCTGAGAATGATTCTGTCTGGATTTTATTTGAAGATATTTCCCTTTCTGCTGTTGGCATCAAATGGCTAGAAATCTCCACTTGCAAATTCCGCAAAAAGAGTGTTTCAAATCTGCTCTGTCTAAAGGGACGTTCCACTCTGTGAGTTGAATGCACACAACACAAAGAATTTACTGAGAATTCTTCCGTCTAGCATTCAATGAAGAAATCCCGTTTCCAACGAAGGCCTCAAACAGGTCCATATATCCAATTGCAGACTTTACAAACAGTGTGTTTCCAAACTCCTCTATGAATAGAAAGGTTAAACTCTGTGAGTTGAACGCACACATCACAAAGCACTTTCTGAGAATGATTCTGTCTGGTTATTATACGAAGATATTTCCTTTTCTGCAATTGTCCTCAAATCGCTTGAAATCTCCACCTGAAAATTCCACAGCGAGAGTGTTTCAAATCTGCTCTCTCTAAAGCAAGGTTCAACTCTGTGAGTTGAATACACACAACACAAAAAAGTTACTGAGAACTCTTCTTAGTCTAGCATTAAAGGACGAAACCCCGTTTGCAACGAAGGCCTCAAAGAGGTCCAAATATCCACTTGCAGACATAACAAGCAGAGTGTTTCTAAACTGCTCTAAGAAAAGAAAGGTTAAACTCTGTGAGTTGAAGGCACACATCACAAAGTAGTTTCTGAGAATGATTCTGTCTAGTTTTTATTTGAAGATATTTCCTTTTCTACTGTTGGCATCAAATCGCTTGAAATCTCCACTTGCAAACTCCACAAAAAGAGTGTTTCAAATCTGCTCTGTGTAAAGGGACGTTCCACTCTGTGAGTTGAATACACACAGCACAAAGAAGTTACTGAGAATTCTTCTGTCTAGCATGAAATGAAGAAATCCCGTTTCCAACGAAGGCCTCAATGCGGTCCATATATCCACTTGCAGACTTTACAAACAGAGTGTTTCCAAACTGCTCTATGAAAAGAAAGGTTAAACTATGTGAGTTGAACGCACACATCACAAAGAATTTTCTGAGAATGATTCTGCCTGGTTTTTATTTGAAGATATTTCCCTTTCTACTGTTGGCATCAAATGGCTAGAAATCTCCACTTGCAAATTCCGCAAAAAGAGTGTTTCAAATCTGCTCTGTCTAAAGGGACGTTCCACTCTGTGAGTTGAATGCACACAACACAAAGAATTTACTGAGAATTCTTCCGTCTAGCATTCAATGAAGAAATCCCGTTTCCAACGAAGGCCTCAAACAGGTCCATATATCCACTTGCAGACTTTACAAACAGTGTGTTTCCAAACTCCTCTATGAAAAGAAAGGTTAAACTCTGTGAGTGGAACGCACACATCACAAAGCACTTTCTGAGAATGATTCTGTCTGGTTATTATACGAAGATATTTCCTTTTCTGCAATTGTCCTCAAAACGCTTGAAATCTCCACCTGAAAATGCCACAGCAAGAGTGTTTCAAATCTGCTCTCTCTAAAGCAAGGTTCAACTCTGTGAGTTGAATACACACAACACAAAAAAGTTACTGAGAACTCTTCTTAGTCTAGCATGAAAGGAAGAAACCCCGTTTGCAACGAAGGCCTCAAAGAGGTCCAAATATCCACTTGCAGACATAACAAGCAGAGTGTTTCTAAACTGCTCTAAGAAAAGAAAGGTTAAACTCTGTGAGTTGAAGGCACACATCACAAAGTAGTTTCTGAGAATGATTCTGTCTAGTTTTTATTTGAAGATATTTCCTTTTCTACTGTTGGCATCAAATCGCTTGAAATCTCCACTTGCAAATTCCACAAAAAGAGTGTTTCAAATCTGCTCTGTGCAAAGGGACGTTCCACTCTGTGAGTTGAATACACACAGCACAAAGAAGTTACTGAGAATTCTTCTGTCTAGCATGAAATGAAGAAATCCCGTTTCCAACGAAGGCCTCAATGCGGTCCACATATCCACTTGCAGACTTTACAAACAGAGTGTTTCCAAACTGCTCTATGAAAAGAAAGGTTAAACTATGTGAGTTGAACGCACACATCACAAAGAATTTTCTGAGAATGATTCTGTCTGGTTTTTATTTGAAGATATGTCCCTTTCTACTGTTGGCATCAAATGGCTTGAAATCTCCACTTCCAAATTTCGCAAAAAGAGTGTTTCAAATCTGCTCTGTCTAAAGGGACGTTCCACTCGGTGAGTTGAAGGCACACAACACAAAGAATTTACTGAGAATTCTTCCGTCTAGCATTATATGATAAAATCCCGTTTGCAACGAAGGCCTCAAACAGGTCCATATATCCACTTGCAGACATTAGAAACAGTGTGTTTCCAAACTCCTCTATGAAAAGAAAGGTTAAACTCTGTGAGTTGAACGCACACATCACAAAGCATTTTCTGAGAATGATTCTGTCTAGTTTTTGTTTGCAGATATTTCCTTTTCTACTGTTGGCATCAAATCGCTTGAAATCTCCACTTGCAAATTCCACAAACAGAGTGTTTCAAATCTGCTCTGTGTAAATTGACGTTCCAATCTGTGAGTAGAATACACACAACACAAAGAAGTTACTGAGAATTCTTCTGTCTAGCATGAAATGAAGAAATTCCGTTTCCAACGAAGGCCTCAAAGCGGTCCATATATCCACTTGCAGACATTACAAACAGAGTGTTTCCAAACTGCTCTATGAAAAGAAAGGTGAAACTATGTGAGTTGAACGCACACATCACAAAGAATTTTCTGAGAATGATTCTGTCTGGTTTTTATTTGAAGATATTTCCCTTTCTACTGTTGGCATCAAATGGCTTGAAATCTCCACTTCCAAATTTCGCAAAAAGAGTGTTTCAAATCTGCTCTGTCTACAAGGACGTTCCTCTCGGTGAGATGAATGCACACAACACAAAGAATTTACTGAGAATTCTTCCGTCTAGCATTCAATGAAGAAATGCCGTTTCCAACGAAGGCCTCAAACAGGTCCATATATCCACTTGCAGACTTTACAAACAGTGTGTTTCCAAACTCCTCTATGAAAAGAAAGGTTCAACTCTGTGAGTTGAACCGAACACATCACAAAGCACTTTCTGAGAATGATTCTGTCTGGTTATTATACGGAAGATATTTCCTTTTCTGCAATTGTCCTCAAATCGCTTGAAATCTCCACCTGAAAATGCCACAGCAAGAGTGTTTCAAATCTGCTCTCTCTAAAGCAAGGTTCAACTCTGTGAGTTGAATACACACAACACAAAAAAGTTACTGAGAACTCTTCTTAGTCTAGCATGAAAGGAAGAAACCCCGTTTGCAACGAAGGCCTCAAAGAGGTCCAAATATCCACTTGCAGACATAACAAGCAGAGTGTTTCTAAACTGCTCTAAGAAAAGAAAGGTTAAACTCTGTGAGTTGAAGGCACACATCACAAAGTAGTTTCTGAGAATGATTCTGTCTAGTTTTTATTTGAAGATATTTCCTTTTCTACTGTTGGCATCAAATCGCTTGAAATCTCCACTTGCAAACTCCACAAAAAGAGTGTTTCAAATCTGCTCTGTGCAAAGGGACGTTCCACTCTGTGAGTTGAATACACACAGCACAAAGAAGTTACTGAGAATTCTTCTGTCTAGCATGAAATGAAGAAATCCCGTTTCCAACGAAGGCCTCAATGCGGTCCATATATCCACTTGCAGACTTTACAAACAGAGTGTTTCCAAACTGCTCTATGAAAAGAAAGGTTAAACTATGTGAGTTGAACGCACACATCACAAAGAATTTTCTGAGAATGATTCTGTCTGGTTTTTATTTGAAGATATTTCCCTTTCTACTGTTGACATCAAATGGGTAGAAATCTCCACTTGCAAATTCCGCAAAAAGAGTGTTTCAAATCTGCTCTGTCTAAAGGGACGTTCCACTCTGTGAGTTCAATGCACACAACACAAAGAATTTACTGAGAATTCTTCCCGTCTAGCATTCAATGAAGAAATCCCGTTTCCAACGAAGGCCTCAAACAGGTCCATATATCCACTTGCAGACTTTACAAACAGTGTGTTTCCAAACTCCTCTATGAAAAGAAAGGTTAAACTCTGTGAGTTGAACGCACACATCACAAAGCACTTTCTGAGAATGATTCTGTCTGGTTGTTATACGAAGATATTTCCTTTTCTGCAATTGTCCTCAAATCGCTTGAAATCTCCACCTGAAAATGCCACAGCAAGAGTGTTTCAAATCTGCTCTCTCTAAAGCAAGGTTCAACTCTGTGAGTTGAATACACACAACACAAAAAAGTTACTGAGAACTCTTCTTAGTCTAGCATGAAAGGAAGAAACCCCGTTTGCAACGAAGGCCTCAAAGAGGTCCAAATATCCACTTGCAGACATAACAAGCAGAGTGTTTCTAAACTGCTCTAAGAAAAGAAAGGTTAAACTCTGTGAGTTGAAGGCACACATCACAAAGTAGTTTCTGAGAATGATTCTGTCTAGTTTTTATTTGAAGATATTTCCTTTTCTACTGTTGGCATCAAATCGCTTGAAATCTCCACTTGCAAACTCCACAAAAAGAGTGTTTCAAATCTGCTCTGTGCAAAGGGACGTTCCACTCTGTGAGTTGAATACACACAGCACAAAGAAGTTACTGAGAATTCTTCTGTCTAGCATGAAATGAAGAAATCCCGTTTCCAACGAAGGCCTCAATGCGGTCCATATATCCACTTGCAGACTTTACAAACAGAGTGTTTCCAAACTGCTCTATGAAAAGAAAGGTTAAACTATGTGAGTTGAACGCACACATCACAAAGAATTTTCTGAGAATGATTCTGTCTGGTTTTTATTTGAAGATATTTCCCTTTCTACTGTTGGCATCAAATGGCTAGAAATCTCCACTTGCAAATTCCGCAAAAAGAGTGTTTCAAATCTGCTCTGTCTAAAGGGACGTTCCACTCTGTGAGTTGAATGCACACAACACAAAGAATTTACTGAGAATTCTTCCGTCTAGCATTCAATGAAGAAATCCCGTTTCCAACGAAGGCCTCAAACAGGTCCATATATCCACTTGCAGAGTTTACAAACAGTGTGTTTCCAAACTCCTCTATGAAAAGAAAGGTTAAACTCTGTGAGTGGAACGCACACATCACAAAGCACTTTCTGAGAATGATTCTGTCTGGTTGTTATACGAAGATATTTTCCTTTTCTGCAATTGTCCTCAAATCGCTTGAAATCTCCACCTGAAAATGCCACAGCAAGAGTGTTTCAAATCTGCTCTCTCTAAAGCAAGGTTCAACTCTGTGAGTTGAATACACACAACACAAAAAAGTTACTGAGAACTCTTCTTAGTCTAGCATGAAAGGAAGAAACCCCGTTTGCAACGAAGGCCTCAAAGAGGTCCAAATATCCACTTGCAGACATAACAAGCAGAGTGTTTCTAAACTGCTCTAAGAAAAGAAAGGTTAAACTCTGTGAGTTGAAGGCACACATCACAAAGTAGTTTCTGAGAATGATTCTGTCTAGTTTTTATTTGAAGATATTTCCTTTTCTACTGTTGGCATCAAATCGCTTGAAATCTCCACTTGCAAACTCCACAAAAAGAGTGTTTCAAATCTGCTCTGTGTAAAGGGACGTTCCACTCTGTGAGTTGAATACACACAGCACAAAGAAGTTACTGAGAATTCTTCTGTCTAGCATGAAATGAAGAAATCCCGTTTCCAATGAAGGCCTCAATGCGGTCCATATATCCACTTGCAGACTTTACAAACAGAGTGTTTCCAAACTGCTCTATGAAAAGAAAGGTTAAACTATGTGAGTTGAACGCACACATCACAAAGAATTTTCTGAGAATGATTCTGTCTGGTTTTTATTTGAAGATATTTCCCTTTCTACTGTTGGCATCAAATGGCTATAAATCTCCACTTGCAAATTCCGCAAAAAGAGTGTTTCAAATCTGCTCTGTCTAAAGGGACGTTCCACTCTGTGAGTTGAATGCACACAACACAAAGAATTTACTGAGAATTCTTCCGTCTAGCATTCAATGAAGAAATCCCGTTTCCAACGAAGGCCTCAAACAGGTCCATATATCCACTTGCAGACTTTACAAACAGTGTGTTTCCAAACTCCTCTATGAAAAGAAAGGTTAAACTCTGTGAGTGGAACGCACACATCACAAAGCACTTTCTGAGAATGATTCTGTCTGGTTATTATACGAAGATATTTCCTTTTCTGCAATTGTCCTCAAATCGCTTGAAATCTCCACCTGAAAATGCCACAGCAAGAGTGTTTCAAATCTGCTCTCTCTAAAGCAAGGTTCAACTCTGTGAGTTGAATACACACAACACAAAAAAGTTACTGAGAACTCTTCTTAGTCTAGCATGAAAGGAAGAAACCCCGTTTGCAACGAAGGCCTCAAAGAGGTCCAAATATCCACTTGCAGACATAACAAGCAGAGTGTTTCTAAACTGCTCTAAGAAAAGAAAGGTTAAACTCTGTGAGTTGAAGGCACACATCACAAAGTAGTTTCTGAGAATGATTCTGTCTAGTTTTTATTTGAAGATATTTCCTTTCATACTGTTGGCGTCAAATCGCTTGAAATCTCCACTTGCAAATTCCACAAAAAGAGTGTTTCAAATCTGCTCTGTGCAAAGGGACGTTCCACTCTGTGAGTTGAATACACACAGCACAAAGAAGTTACTGAGAATTCTTCTGTCTAGCATGAAATGAAGAAATCCCGTTTCCAACGAAGGCCTCAATGCGGTCCATATATCCACTTGCAGACTTTACAAACAGAGTGTTTCCAAACTGCTCTATGAAAAGAAAGGTTAAACTATGTGAGTTGAACGCACACATCACAAAGAATTTTCTGAGAATGATTCTGTCTGGTTTTTATTTGAAGATGTTTCCCTTTCTACTGTTGGCATCAAATGGCTAGAAATCTCCACTTGCAAATTCCGCAAAAAGAGTGTTTCAAATCTGCTCTGTCTAAAGGGACGTTCCACTCTGTGAGTTGAATGCACACAACACAAAGAATTTACTGAGAATTCTTCCGTCTAGCATTCAATGAAGAAATCCCGTTTCCAACGAAGGCCTCAAAGAGGTCCATATATCCACTTGCAGACTTTACAAACAGTGTGTTTCCAAACTCCTCTATGAAAAGAAAGGTTAAACTCTGTGAGTTGAACGCACACATCACAAAGCACTTTCTGAGAATGATTCTGTCTGGTTATTATACGAAGATATTTCCTTTTCTGCAATTGTCCTCAAATCGCTTGAAATCTCCACCTGAAAATGCCACAGCAAGAGTGTTTCAAATCTGCTCTCTCTAAAGCAAGGTTCAACTCTGTGAGTTGAATACACACAACACAAAAAAGTTACTGAGAACTCTTCTTAGTCTAGCATGAAAGGAAGAAACCCCATTTGCAACGAAGGCCTCAAAGAGGTCCAAATATCCACTTGCAGACATAACAAGCAGAGTGTTTCTAAACTGCTCTAAGAAAAGAAAGGTTAAACTCTGTGAGTTGAAGGCACACATCACAAAGTAGTTTCTGAGAATGATTCTGTCTAGTTTTTATTTGAAGATATTTCCTTTTCTACTGTTGGCATCAAATCGCTTGAAATCTCCACTTGCAAACTCCACAAAAAGAGTGTTTCAAATCTGCTCTGTGCAAAGGGACGTTCCACTCTGTGAGTTGAATACACACAGCACAAAGAAGTTACTGAGAATTCTTCTGTCTAGCATGAAATGAAGAAATCCCGTTTCCAACGAAGGCCTCAATGCGGTCCATATATCCACTTGCAGACTTTACAAACAGAGTGTTTCCAAACTGCTCTATGAAAAGAAAGGTTAAACTATGTGAGTTGAACGCACACATCACAAAGAATTTTCTGAGAATGATTCTGTCTGGTTTTTATTTGAAGATATTTCCCTTTCTACTGTTGGCATCAAATGGCTAGAAATCTCCACTTGCAAATTCCGCAAAAAGAGTGTTTCAAATCTGCTCTGTCTAAAGGGACGTTCCACTCTGTGAGTTGAATGCACACAACACAAAGAATTTACTGAGAATCCTTCCGTCTAGCATTCAATGAAGAAATCCCGTTTCCAACGAAGGCCTCAAACAGGTCCATATATCCAATTGCAGACTTTACAAACAGTGTGTTTCCAAACTCCTCTATGAAAAGAAAGGTTAAACTCTGTGAGTTGAACGCACACATCACAAAGCACTTTCTGAGAATGATTCTGTCTGGTTATTATACGAAGATATTTCCTTTTCTGCAATTGTCCTCAAATCGCTTGAAATCTCCACCTGAAAATGCCACAGCAAGAGTGTTTCAAATCTGCTCTCTCTAAAGCAAGGTTCAACTCTGTGAGTTGAATACACGCAACACAAAAAAGTTACTGAGAACTCTTCTTAGTCTAGCATGAAAGGAAGAAACCCCGTTTGCAACGAAGGCCTCAAAGTAGGTCCAAATATCCACTTGCAGACATAACAAGCAGAGTGTTTCTAAACTGCTCTAAGAAAAGAAAGGTTAAACTCTGTGAGTTGAAGGCACACATCACAAAGTAGTTTCTGAGAATGATTCTGTCTAGTTTTTATTTGAAGATATTTCCTTTTCTACTGTTGGCATCAAATCGCTTGAAATCTCCACTTGCAAATTCCACAAAAAGAGTGTTTCAAATCTGCTCTGTGTAAAGGGACGTTCCACTCTGTGAGTTGAATACACACAGCACAAAGAAGTTACTGAGAATTCTTCTGTCTAGCATGAAATGAAGAAATCCCGTTTCCAACGAAGGCCTCAATGCGGTCCATATATCCACTTGCAGACTTTACAAACAGAGTGTTTCCAAACTGCTCTATGAAAAGAAAGGTTAAACTATGTGAGTTGAACGCACACATCACAAAGAATTTTCTGAGAATGATTCTGTCTGGTTTTTATTTGAAGATATTTCCCTTTCTACTGTTGGCATCAAATGGCTAGAAATCTCCACTTGCAAATTCCGCAAAAAGAGTGTTTCAAATCTGCTCTGTCTAAAGGGACGTTCCACTCTGTCAGTTGAATGCACACAACACAAAGAATTTACTGAGAATTCTTCCGTCTAGCATTCAATGAAGAAATCCCGTTTCCAACGAAGGCCTCAAACACGTCCATATATCCACTTGCAGAGTTTACAAACAGTGTGTTTCCAAACTCCTCTATGAAAAGAAAGGTTAAACTCTGTGAGTGGAACGCACACATCACAAAGCACTTTCTGAGAATGATTCTGTCTGGTTATTATACGAAGATATTTCCTTTTCTGCAATTGTCCTCAAATCGCTTGAAATCTCCACCTGAAAATGCCACAGCAAGAGTGTTTCAAATCTGCTCTCTCTAAAGCAAGGTTCAACTCTGTGAGTTGAATACACACAACACAAAAAAGTTACTGAGAACTCTTCTTAGTCTAGCATGAAAGGAAGAAACCCCGTTTGCAACGAAGGCCTCAAAGAGGTCCAAATATCCACTTGCAGACATAACAAGCAGAGTGTTTCTAAACTGCTCTAAGAAAAGAAAGGTTAAACTCTGTGAGTTGAAGGCACACATCACAAAGTAGTTTCTGAGAATGATTCTGTCTAGTTTTTATTTGAAGATATTTCCTTTTCTACTGTTGGCATCAAATCGCTTGAAATCTCCACTTGCAAACTCCACAAAAAGAGTGTTTCAAATCTGCTCTGTGTAAAGGGACGTTCCACTCTGTGAGTTGAATACACACAGCACAAAGAAGTTACTGAGAATTCTTCTGTCTAGCATGAAATGAAGAAATCCCGTTTCCAACGAAGGCCTCAATGCGGTCCATATATCCACTTGCAGACTTTACAAACAGAGTGTTTCCAAACTGCTCCATGAAAGGAAAGGTTAAACTATGTGAGTTGAACGCACACATCACAAAGAATTTTCTGAGAATGATTCTCTCTGGTTTTTATTTGAAGATATTTCCCTTTCAACTGTTGGCATCAAATGGCTAGAAATCTCCACTTGCAAATTCCGCAAAAAGAGTGTTTCAAATCTGCTCTGTCTAAAGGGACGTTCCACTCTGTGAGTTGAATGCACACAACACAAAGAATTTACTGAGAATTCTTCTGTCTAGCATTCAATGAAGAAATCCCGTTTCCAACGAAGGCCTCAAACAGGTCCATATATCCACTTGCAGACTTTACAAACAGTGTGTTTCCAAACTCCTCTATGAAAAGAAAGGTTAAACTCTGTGAGTTGAACGCACACATCACAAAGCACTTTCTGAGAATGATTCTGTCTGGTTATTATACGAAGATATTTCCTTTTCTGCAATTGTCCTCAAATCGCTTGAAATCTCCACCTGAAAATGCCACAGCAAGAGTGTTTCAAATCTGCTCTCTCTAAAGCAAGGTTCAACTCTGTGAGTTGAATACACACAACACAAAAAAGTTACTGAGAACTCTTCTTAGTCTAGCATGAAAGGAAGAAACCCCGTTTGCAAGGAAGGCCTCAAAGAGGTCCAAATATCCACTTGCAGACATAACAAGCAGAGTGTTTCTAAACTGCTCTAAGAAAAGAAAGGTTAAACTCTGTGAGTTGAAGGCACACATCACAAAGTAGTTTCTGAGAATGATTCTGTCTAGTTTTTATTTGAAGATATTTCCTTTTCTACTGTTGGCATCAAATCGCTTGAAATCTCCACTTGCAAACTCCACAAAAAGAGTGTTTCAAATCTGCTCTGTGCAAAGGGACGTTCCACTCTGTGAGTTGAATACACACAGCACAAAGAAGTTACTGAGAATTCTTCTGTCTAGCATGAAATGAAGAAATCCCGTTTCCAACGAAGGCCTCAATGCGGTCCATATATCCACTTGCAGACTTTACAAACAGAGTGTTTCCAAACTGCTCTATGAAAAGAAAGGTTAAACTATGTGAGTTGAACGCACACATCACAAAGAATTTTCTGAGAATGATTCTGTCTGGTTTTTATTTGAAGATATTTCCCTTTCTACTGTTGGCATCAAATGGCTAGAAATCTCCACTTGCAAATTCCGCAAAAAGAGTGTTTCTAATCTGCTCTGTCTAAAGGGACGTTCCACTCTGTGAGTTGAATGCACACAACACAAAGAATTTACTGAGAATTCTTCCGTCTAGCATTCAATGAAGAAATCCCGTTTCCAACGAAGGCCTCAAACAGGTCCATATATCCAATTGCAGACTTTACAAACAGTGTGTTTCCAAACTCCTCTATGAAAGGAAAGGTTAAACTCTGTGAGTTGAACGCACACATCACAAAGCACTTTCTGAGAATGATTCTCTCTGGTTATTATACGAAGATATTTCCTTTTCTGCAATTGTCCTCAAATCGCTTGAAATCTCCACCTGAAAATGCCACAGCAAGAGTGTTTCAAATCTGCTCTCTCTAAAGCAAGGTTCAACTCTGTGAGTTGAATACACACAACACAAAAAAGTTACTGAGAACTCTTCTTAGTCTAGCATGAAAGGAAGAAACCCCGTTTGCAACGAAGGCCTCAAAGAGGTCCAAATATCCACTTGCAGACATAACAAGCAGAGTGTTTCTAAACTGCTCTAAGAAAAGAAAGGTTAAACTATGTGAGTTGAACGCACACATCACAAAGAATTTTCTGAGAATGATTCTGTCTGGTTTTTATTTGAAGATATTTCCCTTTCTACTGTTGGCATCAAATGGCTAGAAATCTCCACTTGCAAATTCCGCAAAAAGAGTGTTTCAAATCTGCTCTGTCTAAAGGGACGTTCCACTCTGTGAGTTGAATGCACACAACACAAAGAATTTACTGAGAATTCTTCCGTCTAGCATTCAATGAAGAAATCCCGTTTCCAACGAAGGCCTCAAACAGGTCCATATATCCACTTGCAGACTTTACAAACAGTGTGTTTCCAAACTCCTCTATGAAAAGAAAGGTTAAACTCTGTGAGTGGAACGCACACATCACAAAGCACTTTCTGAGAATGATTCTGTCTGGTTGTTATACGAAGATATTTCCTTTTCTGCAATTGTCCTCAAATCGCTTGAAATCTCCACCTTAAAATGCCACAGCAAGAGTGTTTCAAATCTGCTCTCTCTAAAGCAAGGTTCAGCTCTGTGAGTTGAATACACACAACACAAAAAAGTTACTGAGAACTCTTCTTAGTCTAGCATGAAAGGAAGAAACCCCGTTTGCAACGAAGGCCTCAAAGAGGTCCAAATATCCACTTGCAGACATAACAAGCAGAGTGTTTCTAAACTGCTCTAAGAAAAGAAAGGTTAAACTCTGTGAGTTGAAGGCAGACATCACAAAGTAGTTTCTGAGGATGATTCTGTCTAGTTTTTATTTGAAGATATTTCCTTTTCTACTGTTGGCATCAAATCGCTTGAAATCTCCACTTGCAAACTCCACAAAAAGAGTGTTTCAAATCTGCTCTGTGCAAAGGGACGTTCCACTCTGTGAGTTGAGTACACACAGCACAAAGAAGTTACTGAGAATTCTTCTGTCTAGCATGAAATGAAGAAATCCCGTTTCCAACGAAGGCCTCAATGCGGTCCATATATCCACTTGCAGACTTTACAAACAGAGTGTTTCCAAACTGCTCTATGAAAAGAAAGGTTAAACTATGTGAGTTGAACGCACACATCACAAAGAATTTTCTGAGAATGATTCTGTCTGGTTTTTATTTGAAGATATTTCCCTTTCTACTGTTGGCATCAAATGGCTAGAAATCTCCACTTGCAAATTCCGCAAAAAGAGTGTTTCAAATCTGCTCTGTCTAAAGGGACGTTCCACTCTGTCAGTTGAATGCACACAACACAAAGAATTTACTGAGAATTCTTCCGTCTAGCATTCAATGAAGAAATCCCGTTTCCAACGAAGGCCTCAAACAGGTCCATATATCCACTTGCAGACTTTACAAACAGTGTGTTTCCAAACTCCTCTATGAAAAGAAAGGTTAAACTCTGTGAGTGGAACGCACACATCACAAAGCACTTTCTGAGAATGATTCTGTCTGGTTATTATACGAAGATATTTCCTTTTCTGCAATTGTCCTCAAATCGCTTGAAATCTCCACCTGAAAATGCCACAGCAAGAGTGTTTCAAATCTGCTCTCTCTAAAGCAAGGTTCAACTCTGTGAGTTGAATACACACAACACAAAAAAGTTACTGAGAACTCTTCTTAGTCTAGCATGAAAGGAAGAAACCCCGTTTGCAACGAAGGCCTCAAAGAGGTCCAAATATCCACTTGCAGACATAACAAGCAGAGTGTTTCTAAACTGCTCTAAGAAAAGAAAGGTTAAACTCTGTGAGTTGAAGGCACACATCACAAAGTAGTTTCTGAGAATGATTCTGTCTAGTTTTTATTTGAAGATATTTCCTTTTCTACTGTTGGCATCAAATCGCTTGAAATCTCCACTTGCAAACTCCACAAAAAGAGTGTTTCAAATCTTCTCTGTGTAAAGGGACGTTCCACTCTGTGAGTTGAATACACACAGCACAAAGAAGTTACTGAGAATTCTTCTGTCTAGCATGAAATGAAGAAATCCCGTTTCCAACGAAGGCCTCAATGCGGTCCATATATCCACTTGCAGACTTTACAAACAGAGTGTTTCCAAACTGCTCTATGAAAAGAAAGGTTAAACTATGTGAGTTGAACGCACACATCACAAAGAATTTTCTGAGAATGATTCTGTCTGGTTTTTATTTGAATGATATTTCCCTTTCTACTGTTGGCATCAAATGGCTAGAAATCTCCACTTGCAAATTCCGCAAAAAGAGTGTTTCAAATCTGCTCTGTCTAAAGGGACGTTCCACTCTGTCAGTTGAATGCACACAACACAAAGAATTTACTGAGAATTCTTCCGTCTAGCATTCAATGAAGAAATCCCGTTTCCAACGAAGGCCTCAAACAGGTCCATATATCCACTTGCAGACTTTACAAACAGTGTGTTTCCAAACTCCTCTATGAAAAGAAAGGTTAAACTCTGTGAGTGGAACGCACACATCACAAAGCACTTTCTGAGAATGATTCTGTCTGGTTATTATACGAAGATATTTCCTTTTCTGCAATTGTCCTCAAAACGCTTGAAATCTCCACCTGAAAATGCCACAGCAAGAGTGTTTCAAATCTGCTCTCTCTAAAGCAAGGTTCAACTCTGTGAGTTGAATACACACAACACAAAAAAGTTACTGAGAACTCTTCTTAGTCTAGCATGAAAGGAAGAAACCCCGTTTGCAACGAAGGCCTCAAAGAGGTCCAAATATCCACTTGCAGACATAACAAGCAGAGTGTTTCTAAACTGCTCTAAGAAAAGAAAGGTTAAACTCTGTGAGTTGAAGGCACACATCACAAAGTAGTTTCTGAGAATGATTCTGTCTAGTTTTTATTTGAAGATATTTCCTTTTCTACTGTTGGCATCAAATCGCTTGAAATATCCACTTGCAAACTCCACAAAAAGAGTGTTTCAAATCTGCTCTGTGCAAAGGGACGTTCCACTCTGTGAGTTGAATACACACAGCACAAAGAAGTTACTGAGAATTCTTCTGTCTAGCATGAAATGAAGAAATCCCGTTTCCAACGAAGGCCTCAATGCGGTCCATATATCCACTTGCAGACTTTACAAACAGAGTGTTTCCAAACTGCTCTATGAAAAGAAAGGTTAAACTATGTGAGTTGAACGCACACATCACAAAGAATTTTCTGAGAATGATTCTGTCTGGTTTTTATTTGAAGATATTTCCCTTTCTACTGTTGGCATCAAATGGCTAGAAATCTCCACTTGCAAATTCCGCAAAAAGAGTGTTTCAAATCTGCTCTGTCTAAAGGGACGTTCCACTCTGTGAGTTGAATGCACACAACACAGAATTTACTGAGAATTCTTCCGTCTAGCATTCAATGAAGAAATCCCGTTTCCAACGAAGGCCTCAAACAGGTCCATATATCCACTTGCAGACTTTACAAACAGTGTGTTTCCAAACTCCTCTATGAAAAGAAAGGTTAAACTCTGTGAGTTGAACGCACACATCACAAAGCACTTTCTGAGAATGATTCTGTCTGGTTATTATACGAAGATATTTCCTTTTCTGCAATTGTCCTCAAATCGCTTGAAATCTCCACCTGAAAATGCCACAGCAAGAGTGTTTCAAATCTGCTCTCTCTAAAGCAAGGTTCAACTCTGTGAGTTGAATACACACAACACAAAAAAGTTACTGAGAACTCTTCTTAGTCTAGCATTAAAGGAAGAAACCCCGTTTGCAACGAAGGCCTCAAAGAGGTCCAAATATCCACTTGCAGACATAACAAGCAGAGTGTTTCTAAACTGCTCTAAGAAAAGAAAGGTTAAACTCTGTGAGTTGAAGGCACACGTCACAAAGTAGTTTCTGAGAATGATTCTGTCTAGTTTTTATTTGAAGATATTTCCTTTTCTACTGTTGGCATCAAATCGCTTGAAATCTCCACTTGCAAACTCCACAAAAAGAGTGTTTCAAATCTGCTCTGTGCAAAGGGACGTTCCACTCTGTGAGTTGAATACACACAGCACAAAGAAGTTACTGAGAATTCTTCTGTCTAGCATGAAATGAAGAAATCCCGTTTCCAACGAAGGCCTCAATGCGGTCCATATATCCACTTGCAGACTTTACAAACAGAGTGTTTCCAAACTGCTCTATGAAAAGAAAGGTTAAACTATGTGAGTTGAACGCACACATCACAAAGAATTTTCTGAGAATGTTTCTGTCTGGTTTTTATTTGAAGATATTTCCCTTTCTACTGTTGGCATCAAATGGCTAGAAATCTCCACTTGCAAATTCCGCAAAAAGAGTGTTTCAAATCTGCTCTGTCTAAAGGGACGTTCCACTCTGTCAGTTGAATGCACACAACACAAAGAATTTACTGAGAATTCTTCCGTCTAGCATTCAATGAAGAAATCCCGTATCCAACGAAGGCCTCAAACAGGTCCATATATCCACTTGCAGACTTTACAAACAGTGTGTTTCCAAACTCCTCTATGAAAAGAAAGGTTAAACTCTGTGAGTTGAACGCACACATCACAAAGCACTTTCTGAGAATGATTCTGTCTGGTTATTATACGAAGATATTTCCTTTTCTGCAATTGTCCTCAAATCGCTTGAAATCTCCACCTGAAAATGCCACAGCAAGAGTGTTTCAAATCTGCTCTCTCTAAAGCAAGGTTCAACTCTGTGAGTTGAATACACACAACACAAAAAAGTTACTGAGAACTCTTCTTAGTCTAGCATGAAAGGAAGAAACCCCGTTTGCAACGAAGGCTTCAAAGAGGTCCAAATATCCACTTGCAGACATAACAAGCAGAGTGTTTCTAAACTGCTCTAAGAAAAGAAAGGTTAAACTCTGTGAGTTGAAGGCACACATCACAAAGTAGTTTCTGAGAATGATTCTGTCTAGTTTTTATTTGAAGATATTTCCTTTTCTACTGTTGGCATCAAATCGCTTGAAATCTCCACTTGCAAACTCCACAAAAAGAGTGTTTCAAATCTGCTCTGTGTAAAGGGACGTTCCACTCTGTGAGTTGAATACACACAGCACAAAGAAGTTACTGAGAATTCTTCTGTCTAGCATGAAATGAAGAAATCCCGTTTCCAACGAAGGCCTCAATGCGGTCCATATATCCACTTGCAGACTTTACAAACAGAGTGTTTCCAAACTGCTCTATGAAAAGAAAGGTTAAACTATGTGAGTTGAACGCACACATCACAAAGAATTTTCTGAGAATGATTCTGTCTGGTTTTTATTTGAAGATATTTCCCTTTCTACTGTTGGCATCAAATGGCTAGAAATCTCCACTTGCAAATTCCGCAAAAAGAGTGTTTCAAATCTGCTCTGTCTAAAGGGACGTTCCACTCTGTGAGTTGAATGCACACAACACAAAGAATTTACTGAGAATTCTTCCGTCTAGCATTCAATGAAGAAATCCCGTTTCCAACGAAGGCCTCAAACAGGTCCATATATCCAATTGCAGACTTTACAAACAGTGTGTTTCCAAACTCCTCTATGAAAAGAAAGGTTAAACTCTGTGAGTTGAACGCACACATCACAAAGCACTTTCTGAGACTGATTCTGTCTGGTTATTATACGAAGATATTTCCTTTTCTGCAATTGTCCTCAAATCGCTTGAAATCTCCACCTGAAAATGCCACAGCAAGAGTGTTTCAAATCTGCTCTCTCTAAAGCAAGGTTCAACTCTGTGAGTTGAATACACACAACACAAAAAAGTTACTGAGAACTCTTCTTAGTCTAGCATGAAAGGAAGAAACCCCGTTTGCAACGAAGGCCTCAAAGAGGTCCAAATATCCACTTGCAGACATAACAAGCAGAGTGTTTCTAAACTGCTCTAAGAAAAGAAAGGTTAAACTCTGTGAGTTGAAGGCACACATCACAAAGTAGTTTCTGAGAATGATTCTGTCTAGTTTTTATTTGAAGATATTTCCTTTTCTACTGTTGGCATCAAATCGCTTGAAATCTCCACTTGCAAATTCCACAAAAAGAGTGTTTCAAATCTGCTCTGTGCAAAGGGACGTTCCACTCTGTGAGTTGAATACACACAGCACAAAGAAGTTACTGAGAATTCTTCTGTCTAGCATGAAATGAAGAAATCCCGTTTCCAACGAAGGCCTCAATGCGGTCCATATATCCACTTGCAGACTTTACAAACGAGTGTTTCCAAACTGCTCTATGAAAAGAAAGGTTAAACTATGTGAGTTGAACGCACACATCACAAAGAATTTTCTGAGAATGATTCTGTCTGGTTTTTATTTGAAGATATTTCCCTTTCTACTGTTGGCATCAAATGGCTAGAAATCTCCACTTGCAAATTCCACATAAAGAGTGTTTCAAATCTGCTCTGTCTAAAGGGACGTTCCACTCTGTGAGTTGAATGCACACAACACAAAGAATTTACTGAGAATTCTTCCGTCTAGCATTCAATGAAGAAATCCCGTTTCCAACGAAGGCCTCAAACAGGTCCATATATCCACTTGCAGACTTTACAAACAGTGTGTTTCCAAACTCCTCTATGAAAAGAAAGGTTAAACTCTGTGAGTTGAACGCACACATCACAAAGCACTTTCTGAGAATGATTCTGTCTGGTTATTATACGAAGATATTTCCTTTTCTGCAATTGTCCTCAAATCGCTTGAAATCTCCACCTGAAAATGCCACAGCAAGAGTGTTTCAAATCTGCTCTCTCTAAAGCAAGGTTCAACTCTGTGAGTTGAATACACACAACACAAAAAAGTTACTGAGAACTCTTCTTAGTCTAGCATGAAAGGAAGAAACCCCGTTTGCAACGAAGGCCTCAAAGAGGTCCAAATATCCACTTGCAGACATAACAAGCAGAGTGTTTCTAAACTGCTCTAAGAAAAGAAAGGTTAAACTCTGTGAGTTGAAGGCACACATCACAAAGTAGTTTCTGAGAATGATTCTGTCTAGTTTTTATTTGAAGATATTTCCTTTTCTACTGTTGGCATCAAATCGCTTGAAATCTCCACTTGCAAACTCCACAAAAAGAGTGTTTCAAATCTGCTCTGTGCAAAGGGACGTTCCACTCTGTGAGTTGAATACACACAGCACAAAGAAGTTACTGAGAATTCTTCTGTCTAGCATGAAATGAAGAAATCCCGTTTCCAACGAAGGCCTCAATGCGGTCCATATATCCACTTGCAGACTTTACAAACAGAGTGTTTCCAAACTGCTCTATGAAAAGAAAGGTTAAACTATGTGAGTTGAACGCACACATCACAAAGAATTTTCTGAGAATGATTCTGTCTGGTTTTTATTTGAAGATATTTCCCTTTCTACTGTTGGCATCAAATGGCTAGAAATCTCCACTTGCAAATTCCGCAAAAAGAGTGTTTCAAATCTGCTCTGTCTAAAGGGACGTTCCACTCTGTGAGTTGAATGCACACAACACAAAGAATTTACTGAGAATTCTTCCGTCTAGCATTCAATGAAGAAATCCCGTTTCCAACGAAGGCCTCAAACAGGTCCATATATCCACTTGCAGACTTTACAAACAGTGTGTTTCCAAACTCCTCTATGGAAAGAAAAGTTAAACTCTGTGAGTTGAACGCACACATCACAAAGCACTTTCTGAGAATGATTCTGTCTGGTTATTATACGAAGATATTTCCTTTTCTGCAATTGTCCTCAAATCGCTTGAAATCTCCACCTGAAAATGCCACAGCAAGAGTGTTTCAAATCTGCTCTCTCTAAAGCAAGGTTCAACTCTGTGAGTTGAATACACACAACACAAAAAAGTTACTGAGAACTCTTCTTAGTCTAGCATGAAAGGAAGAAACCCCGTTTGCAACGAAGGCCTCAAAGAGGTCCAAATATCCACTTGCAGACATAACAAGCAGAGTGTTTCTAAACTGCTCTAAGAAAAGAAAGGTTAAACTCTGTGAGTTGAAGGCACACATCACAAAGTAGTTTTTGAGAATGATTCTGTCTAGTTTTTATTTGAAGATATTTCCTTTTCTACTGTTGGCATCAAATCGCTTGAAATCTCCACTTGCAAACTCCACAAAAAGAGTGTTTCAAATCTGCTCTGTGCAAAGGGACGTTCCACTCTGTGAGTTGAATACACACAGCACAAAGAAGTTACTGAGAATTCTTCTGTCTAGCATGAAATGAAGAAATCCCGTTTCCAACGAAGGCCTCAATGCGGTCCATATATCCACTTGCAGACTTTACAAACAGAGTGTTTCCAAACTGCTCTATGAAAAGAAAGGTTAAACTATGTGAGTTGAACGCACACATCACAAAGAATTTTCTGAGAATGATTCTGTCTGGTTTTTATTTGAAGATATTTCCCTTTCTACTGTTGGCATCAAATGGCTAGAAATCTCCACTTGCAAATTCCGCAAAAAGAGTGTTTCAAATCTGCTCTGCCAAAAGGGACGTTCCACTCTGTGAGTTGAATGCACACAACACAAAGAATTTACTGAGAATTCTTCTGTCTAGCAGTCAATGAAGAAATCCCGTTTCCAACGAAGGCCTCAAACAGGTCCATATATCCAATTGCAGACTTTACAAACAGTGTGTTTCCAAACTCCTCTATGAAAAGAAAGGTTAAACTCTGTGAGTTGAACCCACACATCACAAAGCACTTTCTGAGAATGATTCTGTCTAGTTGTTATACGAAGATATTTCCTTTTCTGCAATTGTCCTCAAATCGCTTGAAATCTCCACCTGAAAATGCCACAGCAAGAGTGTTTCAAATCTGCTCTCTCTAAAGCAAGGTTCAACTCTGTGAGTTGAATACACACAACACAAAAAAGTTACTGAGAACTCTTCTTAGTCTAACATTAAAGGAAGAAACCCCGTTTGCAACGAAGGCCTCAAAGAGGTCCAAATATCCACTTGCAGACATAACAAGCAGAGTGTTTCTAAACTGCTCTAAGAAAAGAAAGTTTAAACTCTGTGAGTTGAAGGCACACATCACAAAGTAGTTTCTGAGAATGATTCTGTCTAGTTTTTATTTGAAGATATTTCCTTTTCTACTGTTGGCATCAAATCGCTTGAAATCTCCACTTGCAAACTCCACAAAAAGAGTGTTTCAAATCTGCTCTGTGCAAAGGGACGTTCCACTCTGTGAGTTGAATACACACAGCACAAAGAAGTTACTGAGAATTCTTCTGTCTAGCATGAAATGAAGAAATCCCGTTTCCAACGAAGGCCTCAATGCGGTCCATATATCCACTTGCAGACTTTACAAACAGAGTGTTTCCAAACTGCTCTATGAAAAGAAAGGTTAAACTATGTGAGTTGAACGCACACATCACAAAGAATTTTCTGAGAATGATTCTGTCTGGTTTTTATTTGAAGATATTTCCCTTTCTACTGTTGGCATCAAATGGCTAGAAATCTCCACTTGCAAATTCCGCAAAAAGAGTGTTTCAAATCTGCTCTGTCTAAAGGGACGTTCCACTCTGTGAGTTGAATGCACACAACACAAAGAATTTACTGAGAATTCTTCCGTCTAGCATTCAATGAAGAAATCCCGTTTCCAACGAAGGCCTCAAACAGGTCCATATATCCACTTGCAGACTTTAGAAACAGTGTGTTTCCAAACTCCTCTATGAAAAGAAAGGTTAAACTCTGTGAGTTGAACGCACACATCACAAAGCACTTTCTGAGAATGATTCTGTCTGGTTATTATACGAAGATATTTCCTTTTCTGCAATTGTCCTCAAATCGCTTGAAATCTCCACCTGAAAATGCCACAGCAAGAGTGTTTCAAATCTGCTCTCTCTAAAGCAAGGTTCAACTCTGTGAGTTGAATACACACAACACAAAAAAGTTACTGAGAACTCTTCTTAGTCTAGCATGAAAGGAAGAAACCCCGTTTGCAACGAAGGCCTCAAAGAGGTCCAAATATCCACTTGCAGACATAACAAGCAGAGTGTTTCTAAACTGCTCTAAGAAAAGAAAGGTTAAACTCTGTGAGTTGAAGGCACACATCACAAAGTAGTTTCTGAGAATGATTCTGTCTAGTTTTTATTTGAAGATATTTCCTTTTCTACTGTTGGCATCAAATCGCTTGAAATCTCCACTTGCAAACTCCACAAAAAGAGTGTTTCAAATCTGCTCTGTGTAAAGGGACGTTCCACTCTGTGAGTTGAATACACACAGCACAAAGAAGTTACTGAGAATCTTCTGTCTAGCATGAAATGAAGAAATCCCGTTTCCAACGAAGGCCTCAATGCGGTCCATATATCCACTTTCAGACTTTACAAACAGAGTGTTTCCAAACTGCTCTATGAAAAGAAAGGTTAAACTATGTGAGTTGAATGCACACATCACAAAGAATTTTCTGAGAATGATTCTGTCTGGTTTTTATTTGAAGATATTTCCCTTTCTACTGTTGGCATCAAATGGCTAGAAATCTCCACTTGCAAATTCCGCAAAAAGAGTGTTTCAAATCTGCTCTGTCTAAAGGGACGTTCCACTCTGTGAGTTGAATGCACACAACACAAAGAATTTACTGAGAATTCTTCCGTCTAGCATTCAATGAAGAAATCCCGTTTCCAACGAAGGCCTCAAACAGGTCCATATATCCACTTGCAGACTTTACAAACAGTTTGTTTCCAAACTCCTCTATGAAAAGAAAGGTTAAACTCTGTGAGTGGAACGCACACATCACAAAGCACTTTCTGAGAATGATTCTGTCTGGTTATTATACGAAGATATTTCCTTTTCTGCAATTGTCCTCAAATCGCTTGAAATCTCCACCTGAAAATGCCACAGCAAGAGTGTTTCAAATCTGCTCTCTCTAAAGCAAGGTTCAACTCTGTGAGTTGAATACACACAACACAAAAAAGTTACTGAGAACTCTTCTTAGTCTAGCATGAAAGGAAGAAACCCCGTTTGCAACGAAGGCCTCAAAGAGGTCCAAATATCCACTTGCAGACATAACAAGCAGAGTGTTTCTAAACTGCTCTAAGAAAAGAAAGGTTAAACTCTGTGAGTTGAAGGCACACATCACAAAGTAGTTTCTGAGAATGATTCTGTCTAGTTTTTATTTGAAGATATTTCCTTTTCTACTGTTGGCATCAAATCGCTTGAAATCTCCACTTGCAAACTCCACAAAAAGAGTGTTTCAAATCTGCTCTGTGCAAAGGGACGTTCCACTCTGTGAGTTGAATACACACAGCACAAAGAAGTTACTGAGAATTCTTCTGTCTAGCATGAAATGAAGAAATCCCGTTTCCAACGAAGGCCTCAATGCGGTCCATATATCCACTTGCAGACTTTACAAACAGAGTGTTTCCAAACTGCTCTATGAAAAGAAAGGTTAAACTATGTGAGTTGAACGCACACATCACAAAGAATTTTCTGAGAATGATTCTGTCTGGTTTTTATTTGAAGATATTTCCCTTTCTACTGTTGGCATCAAATGGCTAGAAATCTCCACTTGCAAATTCCGCAAAAAGAGTGTTTCAAATCTGCTCTGTCTAAAGGGACGTTCCACTCTGTGAGTTGAATGCACACAACACAAAGAATTTACTGAGAATTCTTCCGTCTAGCATTCAATGAAGAAATCCCGTTTCCAACGAAGGCCTCAAACAGGTCCATATATCCAATTGCAGACTTTACAAACAGTGTGTTTCCAAACTCCTCTATGAAAAGAAAGGTTAAACTCTGTGAGTGGAACGCACACATCACAAAGCACTTTCTGAGAATGATTCTGTCTGGTTGATATACGAAGATATTTCCTTTTCTGCAATTGTCCTCAAATCGCTTGAAATCTCCACCTGAAAATGTCACAGCAAGAGTGTTTCAAATCTGCTCTCTCTAAAGCAAGGTTCAACTCTGTGAGTTGAATACACACAACACAAAAAAGTTACTGAGAACTCTTCTTAGTCTAGCATGAAAGGAAGAAACCCCGTTTGCAACGAAGGCCTCAAAGAGGTCCAAATATCCACTTGCAGACATAACAAGCAGAGTGTTTCTAAACTGCTCTAAGAAAAGAAAGGTTAAACTCTGTGAGTTGAAGGCACACATCACAAAGTAGTTTCTGAGAATGATTCTGTCTAGTTTTTATTTGAAGATATTTCCTTTTCTACTGTTGGCATCAAATCGCTTGAAATCTCCACTTGCAAACTCCACAAAAAGAGTGTTTCAAATCTGCTCTGTGTAAAGGGACGTTCCACTCTGTGAGTTGAATACACACAGCACAAAGAAGTTACTGAGAATTCTTCTTAGTCTAGCATGAAAGGAAGAAACCCCGTTTGCAACGAAGGCCTCAAAGTAGGTCCAAATATCCACTTGCAGACATAACAAGCAGAGTGTTTCTAAACTGCTCTAAGAAAAGAAAGGTTAAACTATGTGAGTTGAACGCACACATCACAAAGAATTTTCTGAGAATGATTCTGTCTGGTTTTTATTTGAAGATATTTCCCTTTCTACTGTTGGCATCAAATGGCTAGAAATCTCCACTTGCAAATTCCGCAAAAAGAGTGTTTCAAATCTGCTCTGTCTAAAGGGACGTTCCACTCTGTGAGTTGAATGCACACAACACAAAGAATTTACTGAGAATTCTTCTGTCTAGCAGTCAATGAAGAAATCCCGTTTCCAACGAAGGCCTCAAACTGGTCCATATATCCAATTGCAGACTTTACAAACAGTGTGTTTCCAAACTCCTCTATGAAAAGAAAGGTTAAACTCTGTGAGTTGAACCCACACATCACAAAGCACTTTCTGAGAATGATTCTGTCTGGTTATTATACGAAGATATTTCCTTTTCTGCAATTGTCCTCAAATCGCTTGAAATCTCCACCTGAAAATGCCACAGCAAGAGTGTTTCAAATCTGCTCTCTCTAAAGCAAGGTTCAACTCTGTGAGTTGAATACACACAACACAAAAAAGTTACTGAGAACTCTTCTTAGTCTAGCATGAAAGGAAGAAACCCCGTTTGCAACGAAGGCCTCAAAGAGGTCCAAATATCCACTTGCAGACATAACAAGCAGAGTGTTTCTAAACTGCTCTAAGAAAAGAAAGGTTAAACTCTGTGAGTTGAAGGCACACATCACAAAGTAGTTTCTGAGAATGATTCTGTCTAGTTTTTATTTGAAGATATTTCCTTTTCTACTGTTGGCATCAAATCGCTTGAAATCTCCACTTGCAAACTCCACAAAAAGAGTGTTTCAAATCTGCTCTGTGCAAAGGGACGTTCCACTCTGTGAGTTGAATACACACAGCACAAAGAAGTTACTGAGAATTCTTCTGTCTAGCATGAAATGAAGAAATCCCGTTTCCAACGAAGGCCTCAATGCGGTCCATATATCCACTTGCAGACTTTACAAACAGAGTGTTTCCAAACTGCTCTATGAAAAGAAAGGTTAAACTATGTGAGTTGAACGCACACATCACAAAGAATTTTCTGAGAATGATTCTGTCTGGTTTTTATTTGAAGATATTTCCCTTTCTACTGTTGGCATCAAATGGCTAGAAATCTCCACTTGCAAATTCCGCAAAAAGAGTGTTTCAAATCTGCTCTGTCTAAAGGGACGTTCCACTCTGTGAGTTGAATGCACACAACACAAAGAATTTACTGAGAATTCTTCCGTCTAGCATTCAATGAAGAAATCCCGTTTCCAACGAAGGCCTCAAACAGGTCCATATATCCAATTGCAGACTTTACAAACAGTGTGTTTCCAAACTCCTCTATGAAAAGAAAGGTTAAACTCTGTGAGTTGAACGCACACATCACAAAGCACTTTCTGAGAATGATTCTGTCTGGTTATTATACGAAGATATTTCCTTTTCTGCAATTGTCCTCAAATCGCTTGAAATCTCCACCTGAAAATGCCACAGCAAGAGTGTTTCAAATCTGCTCTCTCTAAAGCAAGGTTCAACTCTGTGAGTTGAATACACACAACACAAAAAAGTTACTGAGAACTCTTCTTAGTCTAGCATGAAAGGAAGAAACCCCGTTTGCAACGAAGGCCTCAAAGAGGTCCAAATATCCACTTGCAGACATAACAAGCAGAGTGTTTCTAAACTGCTCTAAGAAAAGAAAGGTTAAACTCTGTGAGTTGAAGGCACACATCACAAAGTAGTTTCTGAGAATGATTCTGTCTAGTTTTTATTTGAAGATATTTCCTTTTCTACTGTTGGCATCAAATCGCTTGAAATCTCCACTTGCAAATTCCACAAAAAGAGTGTTTCAAATCTGCTCTGTGCAAAGGGACGTTCCACTCTGTGAGTTGAATACACACAGCACAAAGAAGTTACTGAGAATTCTTCTGTCTAGCATGAAATGAAGAAATCCCGTTTCCAACGAAGGCCTCAATGCGGTCCATATATCCACTTGCAGACTTTACAAACAGAGTGTTTCCAAACTGCTCTATGAAAAGAAAGGTTAAACTATGTGAGTTGAACGCACACATCACAAAGAATTTTCTGAGAATGATTCTGCCTGGTTTTTATTTGAAGTATATTTCCCTTTCTACTGTTGGCATCAAATGGCTAGAAATCTCCACTTGCAAATTCCGCAAAAAGAGTGTTTCAAATCTGCTCTGTCTAAAGGGACGTTCCACTCTGTGAGTTGAATGCACACAACACAAAGAATTTACTGAGAATTCTTCCGTCTAGCATTCAATGAAGAAATCCCGTTTCCAACGAAGGCCTCAAACAGGTCCATATATCCAATTGCAGACTTTACAAACAGTGTGTTTCCAAACTCCTCTATGAAAAGAAAGGTTAAACTCTGTGAGTTGAACGCACACATCACAAAGCACTTTCTGAGAATGATTCTGTCTGGTTATTATACGAAGATATTTCCTTTTCTGCAATTGTCCTCAAATCGCTTGAAATCTCCACCTGAAAATGCCACAGCAAGAGTGTTTCAAATCTGCTCTCTCTAAAGCAAGGTTCAACTCTGTGAGTTGAATACACACAACACAAAAAAGTTACTGAGAACTCTTCTTAGTCTAGCATGAAAGGAAGAAACCCCGTTTGCAACGAAGGCCTCAAAGAGGTCCAAATATCCACTTGCAGACATAACAAGCAGAGTGTTTCTAAACTGCTCTAAGAAAAGAAAGGTTAAACTCTGTGAGTTGAAGGCACACATCACAAAGTAGTTTCTGAGAATGATTCTGTCTAGTTTTTATTTGAAGATATTTCCTTTTCTACTGTTGGCATCAAATCGCTTGAAATCTCCACTTGCAAACTCCACAAAAAGAGTGTTTCAAATCTGCTCTGTGCAAAGGGACGTTCCACTCTGTGAGTTGAATACACACAGCACAAAGAAGTTACTGAGAATTCTTCTGTCTAGCATGAAATGAAGAAATCCCGTTTCCAACGAAGGCCTCAATGCGGTCCATATATCCACTTGCAGACTTTACAAACAGAGTGTTTCCAAACTGCTCTATGAAAAGAAAGGTTAAACTATGTGAGTTGAACGCACACATCACAAAGAATTTTCTGAGAATGATTCTGTCTGGTTTTTATTTAAAGATATTTCCCTTTCTACTGTTGGCATCAAATGGCTAGAAATCTCCACTTGCAAATTCCGCCAAAAGAGTGTTTCAAATCTGCTCTGTCTAAAGGGACGTTCCACTCTGTGAGTTGAATGCACACAACACAAAGAATTTACTGAGAATTCTTCCGTCTAGCATTCAATGAAGAAATCCCGTTTCCAACGAAGGCCTCAAACAGGTCCATATATCCACTTGCAGACTTTACAAACAGTGTGTTTCCAAACTCCTCTATGAAAAGAAAGGTTAAACTCTGTGAGTTGAACGCACACATCACAAAGCACTTTCTGAGAATGATTCTGTCTGGTTATTATACGAAGATACTTCCTTTTCTGCAGTTGTCCTCAAATCGCTTGAAATCTCCACCTGAAAATGCCACAGCAAGAGTGTTTCAAATCTGCTCTCTCTAAAGCAAGGTTCAACTCTGTGAGTTGAATACACACAACACAAAAAAGTTACTGAGAACTCTTCTTAGTCTAGCATGAAAGGAAGAAACCCCGTTTGCAACGAAGGCCTCAAAGAGGTCCAAATATCCACTTGCAGACATAACAAGCAGAGTGTTTCTAAACTGCTCTAAGAAAAGAAAGGTTAAACTCTGTGAGTTGAAGGCACACATCACAAAGTAGTTTCTGAGAATGATTCTGTCTAGTTTTTATTTGAAGATATTTCCTTTTCTACTGTTGGCATCAAATCGCTTGAAATCTCCACTTGCAAATTCCACAAAAAGAGTGTTTCAAATCTGCTCTGTGCAAAGGGACGTTCCACTCTGTGAGTTGAATACACACAGCACAAAGAAGTTACTGAGAATTCTTCTGTCTAGCATGAAATGAAGAAACCCCGTTTCCAACGAAGGCCTCAATGCGGTCCATATATCCACTTGCAGACTTTACAAACAGAGTGTTTCCAAACTGCTCTATGAAAAGAAAGGTTAAACTATGTGAGTTGAACGCACACATCACAAAGAATTTTCTGAGAATGATTCTGTCTGGTTTTTATTTGAAAATATTTCCCTTTCTACTGTTGGCATCAAATGGCTAGAAATCTCCACTTGCAAATTCCGCAAAAAGAGTGTTTCAAATCTGCTCTGTCTAAAGGGACGTTCCACTCTGTGAGTTGAATGCACACAACACAAAGAATTTACTGAGAATTCTTCCGTCTAGCATTCAATGAAGAAATCCCGTTTCCAACGAAGGCCTCAAAGAGGTCCATATATCCACTTGCAGACTTTACAAACAGTGTGTTTCCAAACTCCTCTATGAAAAGAAAGGTTAAACTCTGTGAGTGGAACGCACACATCACAAAGCACTTTCTGAGAATGATTCTGTCTGGTTATTATACGAAGATATTTCCTTTTCTGCAATTGTCCTCAAATCGCTTGAAATCTCCACCTGAAAATGCCACAGCAAGAGTGTTTCAAATCTGCTCTCTCTAAAGCAAGGTTCAACTCTGTGAGTTGAATACACACAACACAAAAAAGTTACTGAGAACTCTTCTTAGTCTAGCATGAAAGGAAGAAACCCCGTTTGCAACGAAGGCCTCAAAGAGGTCCAAATATCCACTTGCAGACATAACAAGCAGAGTGTTTCTAAACTGCTCTAAGAAAAGAAAGGTTAAACTCTGTGAGTTGAAGGCACACATCACAAAGTAGTTTCTGAGAATGATTCTGTCTAGTTTTTATTTGAAGATATTTCCTTTTCTACTGTTGGCATCAAATCGCTTGAAATCTCCACTTGCAAACTCCACAAAAAGAGTGTTTCAAATCTGCTCTGTGTAAAGGGACGTTCCACTCTGTGAGTTGAATACACACAGCACAAAGAAGTTACTGAGAATTCTTCTGTCTAGCATGAAATGAAGAAATCCCGTTTCCAACGAAGGCCTCAATGCGGTCCATATATCCACTTGCAGACTTTACAAACAGAGTGTTTCCAAACTGCTCTATGAAAAGAAAGGTTAAACTATGTGAGTTGAACGCACACATCACAAAGAATTTTCTGAGAATGATTCTGTCTGGTTTTTATTTGAAGATATTTCCCTTTCTACTGTTGGCATCAAATGGCTAGAAATCTCCACTTGCAAATTCCGCAAAAAGAGTGTTTCAAATCTGCTCTGTCTAAAGGGACGTTCCACTCTGTGAGTTGAATGCACACAACACAAAGAATTTACTGAGAATTCTTCCGTCTAGCATTCAATGAAGAAATCCCGTTTCCAACGAAGGCCTCAAACAGGTCCATATATCCAATTGCAGACTTTACAAACAGTGTGTTTCCAAACTCCTCTATGGAAAGAAAGGTTAAACTCTGCGAGTTGAACGCGCACATCACAAAGCACTTTCTGAGAATGATTCTGTCTGGCTGTTATACGAAGATATTTCCTTTTCTGCAATTGTCCTCAAATCGCTTGAAATCTCCACCTGAAAATGCCACAGCAAGAGTGTTTCAAATCTGCTCTCTCTAAAGCAAGGTTCAACTCTGTGAGTTGAATACACACAACACAAAAAAGTTACTGAGAACTCTTCTTAGTCTAGCATTAAAGGAAGAAACCCCGTTTGCAACGAAGGCCTCAAAGTAGGTCCAAATATCCACTTGCAGACATAACAAGCAGAGTGTTTCTAAACTGCTCTAAGAAAAGAAAGGTTAAACTCTGTGAGTTGAAGGCACACATCACAAAGTAGTTTCTGAGAATGATTCTGTCTAGTTTTTATTTGAAGATATTTCCTTTTCTACTGTTGGCATCAAATCGCTTGAAATCTCCACTTGCAAACTCCACAAAAAGAGTGTTTCAAATCTGCTCTGTGTAAAGGGACGTTCCACTCTGTGAGTTGAATACACACAGCACAAAGAAGTTACTGAGAATTCTTCTGTCTAGCATGAAATGAAGAAATCCCGTTTCCAACGAAGGCCTCAATGCGGTCCATATATCCACTTGCAGACTTTACAAACAGAGTGTTTCCAAACTGCTCTATGAAAAGAAAGGTTAAACTATGTGAGTTGAACGCACACATCACAAAGAATTTTCTGAGAATGATTCTGTCTGGTTTTTATTTGAAGATATTTCCCTTTCTACTGTTGGCATCAAATGGCTAGAAATCTCCACTTGCAAATTCCGCAAAAAGAGTGTTTCAAATCTGCTCTGTCTAAAGGGACGTTCCACTCTGTGAGTTGAATGCACACCACACAAAGAATTTACTGAGAATTCTTCCGTCTAGCATGCAATGAAGAAATCCCGTTTCCAACGAAGGCCTCAAACAGGTCCATATATCCAATTGCAGACTTTACAAACAGTGTGTTTCCAAACTCCTCTATGAAAAGAAAGGTTAAACTCTGTGAGTTGAACGCACACATCACAAAGCACTTTCTGAGAATGATTCTGTCTGGTTGTTATACGAAGATATTTCCTTTTCTGCAATTGTCCTCAAATCGCTTGAAATCTCCACCTGAAAATGCCACAGCAAGAGTGTTTCAAATCTGCTCTCTCTAAAGCAAGGTTCAACTCTGTGAGTTGAATACACACAACACAAAAAAGTTACTGAGAACTCTTCTTAGTCTAGCATGAAATGAAGAAACCCCGTTTGCAACGAAGGCCTCAAAGAGGTCCAAATATCCACTTGCAGACATAACAAGCAGAGTGTTTCTAAACTGCTCTATGAAAAGAAAGGTTAAACTCTGTGAGTTGAAGGCACACATCACAAAGTAGTTTCTGAGAATGATTCTGTCTAGTTTTTATTTGAAGATATTTCCTTTTCTACTGTTGGCATCAAATCGCTTGAAATCTCCACTTGCAAACTCCACAAAAAGAGTGTTTCAAATCTGCTCTGTGCAAAGGGACGTTCCACTCTGTGAGTTGAATACACACAGCACAAAGAAGTTACTGAGAATTCTTCTGTCTAGCATGAAATGAAGAAATCCCGTTTCCAACGAAGGCCTCAATGCGGTCCATATATCCACTTGCAGACTTTACAAACAGAGTGTTTCCAAACTGCTCTATGAAAAGAAAGGTTAAACTATGTGAGTTGAACGCACACATCACAAAGAATTTTCTGAGAATGATTCTGTCTGGTTTTTATTTGAAGATATTTCCCTTTCTACTGTTGGCATCAAATGGCTAGAAATCTCCACTTGCAAATTCCGCCAAAAGAGTGTTTCAAATCTGCTCTGTCTAAAGGGACGTTCCACTCTGTGAGTTGAATGCACAAAACACAAAGAATTTACTGAGAATTCTTCCGTCTAGCATTCAATGAAGAAATCCCGTTTCCAACGAAGGCCTCAAACAGGTCCATATATCCACTTGCAGAGTTTACAAACAGTGTGTTTCCAAACTCCTCTATGAAAAGAAAGGTTAAACTCTGTGAGTGGAACGCACACATCACAAAGCACTTTCTGAGAATGATTCTGTCTGGTTATTATACGAAGATATTTCCTTTTCTGCAATTGTCCTCAAAACGCTTGAAATCTCCACCTGAAAATGCCACAGCAAGAGTGTTTCAAATCTGCTCTCTCTAAAGCAAGGTTCAACTCTGTGAGTTGAATACACACAACACAGAAAAGTTACTGAGAACTCTTCTTAGTCTAGCATGAAAGGAAGAAACCCCGTTTGCAACGAAGGCCTCAAAGAGGTCCAAATATCCACTTGCAGACATAACAAGCAGAGTGTTTCTAAACTGCTCTAAGAAAAGAAAGGTTAAACTCTGTGAGTTGAAGGCACACATCACAAAGTAGTTTCTGAGAATGATTCTGTCTAGTTTTTATTTGAAGATATTTCCTTTTCTACTGTTGGCATCAAATCGCTTGAAATCTCCACTTGCAAACTCCACAAAAAGAGTGTTTCAAATCTTCTCTGTGTAAAGGGACGTTCCACTCTGTGAGTTGAATACACACAGCACAAAGAAGTTACTGAGAATTCTTCTGGCTAGCATGAAATGAAGAAATCCCGTTTCCAACGAAGGCCTCAATGAGGTCCATATATCCACTTGCAGACTTTACAAACAGAGTGTTTCCAAACTGCTCTATGAAAAGAAAGGTTAAATTATGTGAGTTGAACGCACACATCACAAAGAATTTTCTGAGAATGATTCTGTCTGGTTTTTATTTGAAGATATTTCCCTTTCTACTGTTGGCATCAAATGGCTAGAAATCTCCACTAGCAAATTCCGCAAAAAGAGTGTTTCAAATCTGCTCTGTCTAAAGGGACGTTCCACTCTGTGAGTTGAATGCACACAACACAAAGAATTTACTGAGAATTCTTCCCTCTAGCATTCAATGAAGAAATCCCGTTTCCAACGAAGGCCTCAAACAGGTCCATATATCCACTTGCAGACTTTACAAAAAGAGTGTTTCCAAACTGCTCTATGAAAAGAAAGGTTAAACTATGTGAGTTGAACGCACACATCACAAAGAATTTTCTGAGAATGATTCTGTCTGGTTTTTATTTGAAGATATTTCCCTTTCTACTGTTGGCATCAAATGGCTAGAAATCTCCACTTGCAAATTCCGCAAAAAGAGTGTTTCAAATCTGCTCTGTCTAAAGGGACGTTCCACTCTGTCAGTTGAATGCGCACAACACAAAGTATTTACTGAGAATTCTTCCGTCTAGCATTCAATGAAGAAATCCCGTTTCCAACGAAGGCCTCAAACAGGTCCATATATCCAATTGCAGACTTTACAAACAGTGTGTTTCCAAACTCCTCTATGAAAAGAAAGGTTAAACTCTGTGAGTTGAACCGCACACATCACAAAGCACTTTCTGAGAATGATTCTGTCTGGTTATTATACGAAGTAGTTCCTTTTCTGCAATTGTCCTCAAATCGCTTGAAATCTCCACCTGAAAATGCCACAGCAAGAGTGTTTCAAATCTGCTCTCTCTAAAGCAAGGTTCAACTCTGTGAGTTGAATACACACAACACAAAAAAGTTACTGAGAACTCTTCTTAGTCTAGCATGAAAGGAAGAAACCCCGTTTGCAACGAAGGCCTCAAAGAGGTCCAAATATCCACTTGCAGACATAACAAGCAGAGTGTTTCTAAACTGCTCTAAGAAAAGAAAGGTTAAACTCTGTGAGTTGAAGGCACACATCACAAAGTAGTTTCTGAGAATGATTCTGTCTAGTTTTTATTTGAAGATATTTCCTTTTCTACTGTTGGCATCAAATCGCTTGAAATCTCCACTTGCAAACTCCACAAAAAGAGTGTTTCAAATCTGCTCTGTCTAAAGGGACGTTCCACTCTGTGAGTTGAATGCACACAACACAAAGAATTTACTGAGAATTCTTCCGTCTAGCATTCAATGAAGAAATCCCGTTTCCAACGAAGGCCTCAAACAGGTCCATATATCCACTTGCAGACTTTACAAACAGTGTGTTTCCAAACTCCTCTATGAAAAGAAAGTTTAAACTCTGTGAGTTGAACGCACACATCACAAAGCACTTTCTGAGAATGATTCTGTCTGGTTATTATACGAAGATATTTCCTTTTCTGCAATTGTCCTCAAATCGCTTGAAATCTCCACCTGAAAATGCCACAGCAAGAGTGTTTCAAATCTGCTCTCTCTAAAGCAAGGTTCAACTCTGTGAGTTGAATACACACAACACAAAAAAGTTACTGAGAACTCTTCTTAGTGTAGCATGAAAGGAAGAAATCCCGTTTGCAACGAAGGCCTCAAAGAGGTCCAAATATCCACTTGCAGACATAACAAGCAGAGTGTTTCTAAACTGCTCTAAGAAAAGAAAGGTTAAACTCTGTGAGTTGAAGGCACACATCACAAAGTAGTTTCTGAGAATGATTCTGTCTAGTTTTTATTTGAAGATATTTCCTTTTCTACTGTTGGCATCAAATCGCTTGAAATCTCCACTTGCAAACTCCACAAAAAGAGTGTTTCAAATCTGCTCTGTGTAAAGGGACGTTCCACTCTGTGAGTTGAATACACACAGCACAAAGAAGTTACTGAGAATTCTTCTGTCTAGCATGAAATGAAGAAATCCCGTTTCCAACGAAGGCCTCAATGCGGTCCATATATCCACTTGCAGACTTTACAAACAGAGTGTTTCCAAACTGCTCTATGAAAAGAAAGGTTAAACTATGTGAGTTGAACGCACACATCACAAAGAATTTTCTGAGAATGATTCTGTCTGGTTTTTATTTGAAGATATTTCCCTTTCTACTGTTGGCATCAAATGGCTAGAAATCTCCACTTGCAAATTCCGCAAAAAGAGTGTTTTAAATCTGCTCTGTCTAAAGGGACGTTCCACTCTGTGAGTTGAATGCACACAACACAAAGAATTTACTGAGAATTCTTCCGTCTAGCATTCAATGAAGAAATCCCGTTTCCAACGAAGGCCTCAAACAGGTCCATATATCCACTTGCAGAGTTTACAAACAGTGTGTTTCCAAACTCCTCTATGAAAAGAAAGGTTAAACTCTGTGAGTGGAACGCACACATCACAAAGCACTTTCTGAGAATGATTCTGTCTGGTTATTATACGAAGATATTTCCTTTTCTGCAATTGTCCTCAAATCGCTTGAAATCTCCACCTGAAAATGCCACAGCAAGAGTGTTTCAAATCTGCTCTCTCTAAAGCAAGGTTCAACTCTGTGAGTTGAATACACACAACACAAAAAAGTTACTGAGAACTCTTCTTAGTCTAGCATGAAAGGAAGAAACCCCGTTTGCAACGAAGGCCTCAAAGAGGTCCAAATATCCACTTGCAGACATAACAAGCAGAGTGTTTCTAAACTGCTCTAAGAAAAGAAAGGTTAAACTCTGTGAGTTGAAGGCACACATCACAAAGTAGTTTCTGAGAATGATTCTGTCTAGTTTTTATTTGAAGATATTTCCTTTTCTACTGTTGGCATCAAATCGCTTGAAATCTCCACTTGCAAACTCCACAAAAAGAGTGTTTCAAATCTGCTCTGTGCAAAGGGACGTTCCACTCTGTGAGTTGAATACACACAGCACAAAGAAGTTACTGAGAATTCTTCTGTCTAGCATGAAATGAAGAAATCCCGTTTCCAACGAAGGCCTCAAATGCGGTCCATATATCCACTTGCAGACTTTACAAACAGAGTGTTTCCAAACTGCTCTATGAAAAGAAAGGTTAAACTATGTGAGTTGAACGCACACATCACAAAGAATTTTCTGAGAATGATTCTGTCTGGTTTTTATTTGAAGATATTTCCCTTTCTACTGTTGGCATCAAATGGCTAGAAATCTCCACTTGCAAATTCCGCAAAAAGAGTGTTTCAAATCTGCTCTGTCTAAAGGGACGTTCCACTCTGTGAGTTGAATGCACACAACACAAAGAATTTACTGAGAATTCTTCTGTCTAGCAGTCAATGAAGAAATCCCGTTTCCAACGAAGGCCTCAAACAGGTCCATATATCCAATTGCAGACTTTACAAACAGTGTGTTTCCAAACTCCTCTATGAAAAGAAAGGTTAAACTCTGTGAGTTGAACCCACACATCACAAAGCACTTTCTGAGAATGATTCTGTCTGGTTGTTATACGAAGATATTTCCTTTTCTGCAATTGTCCTCAAATCGCTTGAAATCTCCACCTGAAAATGCCACAGCAAGAGTGTTTCAAATCTGCTCTCTCTAAAGCAAGGTTCAACTCTGTGAGTTGAATACACACAACACAAAAAAGTTACTGAGAACTCTTCTTAGTCTAGCATGAAAGGAAGAAACCCCGTTTGCAACGAAGGCCTCAAAGAGGTCCAAATATCCACTTGCAGACATAACAAGCAGAGTGTTTCTAAACTGCTCTAAGAAAAGAAAGGTTAAACTCTGTGAGTTGAAGGCACACATCACAAAGTAGTTTCTGAGAATGATTCTGTCTAGTTTTTATTTGAAGATATTTCCTTTTCTACTGTTGGCATCAAATCGCTTGAAATCTCCACTTGCAAACTCCACAAAAAGAGTGTTTCAAATCTGCTCTGTGCAAAGGGACGTTCCACTCTGTGAGTTGAATACACACAGCACAAAGAAGTTACTGAGAATTCTTCTGTCTAGCATGAAATGAAGAAATCCCGTTTCCAACGAAGGCCTCAATGCGGTCCATATATCCACTTGCAGACTTTACAAACAGAGTGTTTCCAAACTGCTCTATGAAAAGAAAGGTTAAACTATGTGAGTTGAACGCACACATCACAAAGAATTTTCTGAGAATGATTCTGTCTGGTTTTTATTTGAAGATATTTCCCTTTCTACTGTTGGCATCAAATGGCTAGAAATCTCCACTTGCAAATTCCGCAAAAAGAGTGTTTCAAATCTGCTCTGTCTAAAGGGACGTTCCACTCTGTGAGTTGAATGCACACAACACAAAGAATTTACTGAGAATTCTTCCGTCTAGCATTCAATGAAGAAATCCCGTTTCCAACGAAGGCCTCAAACAGGTCCATATATCCAATTGCAGACTTTACAAACAGTGTGTTTCCAAACTCCTCTATGAAAAGAAAGGTTAAACTCTGTGAGTTGAACGCACACAACACAAAGCACTTTCTGAGAATGATTCTGTCTGGTTATTATACGAAGATATTTCCTTTTCTGCAATTGTCCTCAAATCGCTTGAAATCTCCACCTGAAAATGCCACAGCAAGAGTGTTTCAAATCTGCTCTCTCTAAAGCAAGGTTCAACTCTGTGAGTTGAATACACACAACACAAAAAAGTTACTGAGAACTCTTCTTAGTCTAGCATGAAAGGAAGAAACCCCGTTTGCAACGAAGGCCTCAAAGAGGTCCAAATATCCACTTGCAGACATAACAAGCAGAGTGTTTCTAAACTGCTCTAAGAAAAGAAAGGTTAAACTCTGTGAGTTGAAGGCACACATCACAAAGTAGTTTCTGAGAATGATTCTGTCTAGTTTTTATTTGAAGATATTTCCTTTTCTACTGTTGGCATCAAATCGCTTGAAATCTCCACTTGCAAATTCCACAAAGAGAGTGTTTCAAATCTGCTCTGTGCAAACGGACGTTCCAGTCTGTGAGTTGAATACACACAGCACAGAGAAGTTACTGAGAATTCTTCTGTCTAGCATGAAATGAAGAAATCCCGTTTCCAACGAAGGCCTCAATGCGGTCCATATATCCACTTGCAGACTTTACAAACAGAGTGTTTCCAAACTGCTCTATGAAAAGAAAGGTTAAACTATGTGAGTTGAACGCACACATCACAAAGAATTTTCTGAGAATGATTCTGTCTGGTTTTTATTTGAAGATATTTCCCTTTCTACTGTTGGCATCAAATGGCTAGAAATCTCCACTTGCAAATTCCGCAAAAAGAGTGTTTCAAATCTGCTCTGTCTAAAGGGACGTTCCACTCTGTGAGTTGAATGCACACCACACAAAGAATTTACTGAGAATTCTTCCGTCTAGCATTCAATGAAGAAATCCCGTTTCCAACGGAGGCCTCAAACAGGTCCATATATCCAATTGCAGACTTTACAAACAGTGTGTTTCCAAGCTCCTCTATGAAACGAAAGGTTAAACTCTGTGAGTTGAACGCACACATCACAAAGCACTTTCTGAGAATGATTCTGTCTGGTTATTATACGAAGATATTTCCTTTTCTGCAATTGTCCTCAAATCGCTTGAAATCTCCACCTGAAAATTCCACAGCAAGAGTGTTTCAAATCTGCTCTCTCTAAAGCAAGGTTCAACTCTGTGAGTTGAATACACACAACACAAAAAAGTTACTGAGAACTCTTCTTAGTCTAGCATTAAAGGAAGAAACCCCGTTTGCAACGAAGGCCTCAAAGAGGTCCAAATATCCACTTGCAGACATAACAAGCAGAGTGTTTCTAAACTGCTCTAAGAAAATAAAGGTTAAACTCTGTGAGTTGAAGGCACACATCACAAAGTAGTTCCTGAGAATGATTCTGTCTAGTTTTTATTTGAAGATATTTCCTTTTCTACTGTTGGCATCAAATCGCTTGAAATCTCCACTTGCAAATTCCACAAAAAGAGTGTTTCAAATCTGCTCTGTGTAAAGGGACGTTCCACTCTGTGAGTTGAGTACACACAGCACAAAGAAGTTACTGAGAATTCTTCTGTCTAGCATGAAATGAAGAAATCCCGTTTCCAACGAAGGCCTCAATGCGGTCCATATATCCACTTGCAGACTTTACAAACAGAGTGTTTCCAAACTGCTCTATGAAAAGAAAGGTTAAACTATGTGAGTTGAACGCACACATCACAAAGAATTTTCTGAGAATGATTCTGTCTGGTTTTTATTTGAAGATATTTCCCTTTCTACTGTTGGCATCAAATGGCTAGAAATCTCCACTTGCAAATTCCGCAAAAAGAGTGTTTCAAATCTGCTCTGTCTAAAGGGACGTTCCACTCTGTCAGTTGAATGCACACAACACAAAGAATTTACTGAGAATTCTTCCGCCTAGCATTCAATGAAGAAATCCCGTTTCCAACGAAGGCCTCAAACAGGTCCATATATCCAATTGCAGACTTTACAAACAGGGTGTTTCCAAACTCCTCTATGAAAAGAAAGGTTAAACTCTGTGAGTTGAACGCACACATCACAAAGCACTTTCTGAGAATGATTCTGTCTGGTTGTTATACGAAGATATTTCCTTTTCTGTAATTGTCCTCAAATCGCTTGAAATCTCCACCTGAAAATGCCACAGCAAGAGTGTTTCAAATCTGCTCTCTCTAAAGCAAGGTTCAACTCTGTGAGTTGAATACACACAACACAAAAAAGTTACTGAGAACTCTTCTTAGTCTAGCATGAAAGGAAGAAACCCCGTTTGCAACGAAGGCCTCAAAGAGGTCCAAATATCCACTTGCAGACATAACAAGCAGAGTGTTTCTAAACTGCTCTAAGAAAAGAAAGGTTAAACTCTGTGAGTTGAAGGCACACATCACAAAGTAGTTTCTGAGAATGGTTCTGTCTAGTTTTTATTTGAAGATATTTCCTTTTCTACTGTTGGCATCAAATCGCTTGAAATCTCCACTTGCAAATTCCACAAAAAGAGTGTTTCAAATCTGCCCTGTGCAAAGGGACGTTCCACTCTGTGAGTTGAATACACACAGCACAAAGAAGTTACTGAGAATTCTTCTGTCTAGTATGAAATGAAGAAATCCCGTTTCCAACGAAGGCCTCAATGCGGTCCATATATCCACTTGCAGACTTTACAAACAGAGTGTTTCCATACTGCTCTATGAAAAGAAAGGTTAAACTATGTGAGTTGAACGCACACATCACAAAGAATTTTCTGAGAATGATTCTGTCTGGTTTTTATTTGAAGATATTTCCCTTTCTACTGTTGGCATCAAATGGCTAGAAATCTCCACTTGCAAATTCCGCAAAAAGAGTGTTTCAAATCTGCTCTGTCTAAAGGGACGTTCCACTCTGTGAGTTGAATGCACACAACACAAAGAATTTACTGAGAATTCTTCCGTCTAGCATTCAATGAAGAAATCCCGTTTCCAACGAAGGCCTCAAACAGGTCCATATATCCAATTGCAGACTTTACAAACAGTGTGTTTCCAAACTCCTCTATGGAAAGAAAGGTTAAACTCTGTGAGTTGAACGCGCACATCACAAAGCACTTTCTGAGAATGATTCTGTCTGGTTATTATACGAAGATATTTCCTTTTCTGCAATTGTCCTCAAAACGCTTGAAATCTCCACCTGAAAATGCCACAGCAAGAGTGTTTCAAATCTGCTCTCTCTAAAGCAAGGTTCAACTCTGTGAGTTGAATACACACAACACAAAAAAGTTACTGAGAACTCTTCTTAGTCTAGCATGAAAGGAAGAAACCCCGTTTGCAACGAAGGCCTCAAAGAGGTCCAAATATCCACTTGCAGACATAACAAGCAGAGTGTTTCTAAACTGCTCTAAGAAAAGAAAGGTTAAACTCTGTGAGTTGAAGGCAAACATCACAAAGTAGTTTCTGAGAATGATTCTGTCTAGTTTTTATTTGAAGATATTTCCTTTTCTACTGTTGGCATCAATTCGCTTGAAATCTCCACTTGCAAACTCCACAAAAAGAGTGTTTCAAATCTGCTCTGTGTAAAGGGACGTTCCACTCTGTGAGTTGAATACACACAGCACAAAGAAGTTACTGAGAATTCTTCTGTCTAGCATGAAATGAAGAAATCCCGTTTCCAACGAAGGCCTCAATGCGGTCCATATATCCACTTGCAGACTTTACAAACAGAGTGTTTCCAAACTGCTCTATGAAAAGAAAGGTTAAACTATGTGAGTTGAACGCACACATCACAAAGAATTTTCTGAGAATGATTCTGTCTGGTTTTTATTTGAAGATATTTCCCTTTCTACTGTTGGCATCAAATGGCTAGAAATCTCCACTTGGAAATTCCGCAAAAAGAGTGTTTCACATCTGCTCTGTCTAAAGGGACGTTCCACTCTGTGAGTTGAATGCACACAACACAAAGAATTTACTGAGAATTCTTCCGTCTAGCATTCAATGAAGAAATCCCGTTTCCAACGAAGGCCTCAAACAGGTCCATATATCCACTTGCAGACTTTACAAACAGTGTGTTTCCAAACTCCTCTATGAAAAGAAAGGTTAAACTCTGTGAGTTGAACGCACACATCACAAAGCACTTTCTGAGAATGATTCTGTCTGGTTATTATACGAAGATATTTCCTTTTCTGCAATTGTCCTCAAATCGCTTGAAATCTCCACCTGAAAATGCCACAGCAAGAGTGTTTCAAATCTGCTCTCTCTAAAGCAAGGTTCAACTCTGTGAGTTGAATACACACAACACAAAAAAGTTACTGAGAACTCTTCTTAGTCTAGCATGAAAGGAAGAAACCCCGTTTGCAACGAAGGCCTCAAAGAGGTCCAAATATCCACTTGCAGACATAACAAGCAGAGTGTTTCTAAACTGCTCTAAGAAAAGAAAGGTTAAACTCTGTGAGTTGAAGGCACACATCACAAAGTAGTTTCTGAGAATGATTCTGTCTAGTTTTTATTTGAAGATATTTCCTTTTCTACTGTTGGCAAGAAATTGCTTGAAATCTCCACTTGCAAATTCCACAAAAAGAGTGTTTCAAATCTGCTCTGTGTAAAGGGACGTTCCACTCTGTGAGTTGAATACACACAGCACAAAGAAGTTACTGAGAATTCTTCTGTCTAGCATGAAATGAAGAAATCCCGTTTCCAACGAAGGCCTCAATGCGGTCCATATATCCACTTGCAGACTTTACAAACAGAGTGTTTCCAAACTGCTCTATGAAAAGAAAGGTTAAACTATGTGAGTTGAACGCACACATCACAAAGAATTTTCTGAGAATGATTCTGTCTGGTTTTTATTTGAAGATATTTCCCTTTCTACTGTTGGCATCAAATGGCTAGAAATCTCCACTTGCAAATTCCGCAAAAAGAGTGTTTCAAATCTGCTCTGTCTAAAGGGACGTTCCACTCTGTGAGTTGAATGCACACAACACAAAGAATTTACTGAGAATTCTTCCGTCTAGCATTCAATGAAGAAATCCCGTTTCCAACGAAGGCCTCAAACAGGTCCATATATCCAATTGCAGACTTTACAAACAGTGTGTTTCCAAACTCCTCTATGAAAAGAAAGGTTAAACTCTGTGAGTTGAACGCACACATCACAAAGCACTTTCTGAGAATGATTCTGTCTGGTTATTATACGAAGATATTTCCTTTTCTGCAATTGTCCTCAAATCGCTTGAAATCTCCACCTGAAAATGCCACAGCAAGAGTGTTTCAAATCTGCTCTCTCTAAAGCAAGGTTCAACTCTGTGAGTTGAATACACACAACACAAAAAAGTTACTGAGAACTCTTCTTAGTCTAGCATGAAAGGAAGAAACCCCGTTTGCAACGAAGGCCTCAAAGAGGTCCAAATATCCACTTGCAGACATAACAAGCAGAGTGTTTCTAAACTGCTCTAAGAAAAGAAAGGTTAAACTCTGTGAGTTGAAGGCACACATCACAAAGTAGTTTCTGAGAATGATTCTGTCTAGTTTTTATTTGAAGATATTTCCTTTTCTACTGTTGGCATCAAATCGCTTGAAATCTCCAATTGCAAACTCCACAAAAAGAGTGTTTCAAATCTGCTCTGTGCAAAGGGACGTTCCACTCTGTGAGTTGAATACACACAGCACAAAGAAGTTACTGAGAATTCTTCTGTCTAGCATGAAATGAAGAAATCCCGTTTCCAACGAAGGCCTCAATGCGGTCCATATATCCACTTGCAGACTTTACAAACAGAGTGTTTCCAAACTGCTCTATGAAAAGAAAGGTTAAACTATGTGAGTTGAACGCACACATCACAAAGAATTTTCTGAGAATGATTCTGTCTGGTTTTTATTTGAAGATATTTCCCTTTCTACTGTTGGCATCAAATGGCTAGAAATCTCCACTTGCAAATTCCGCAAAAAGAGTGTTTCAAATCTGCTCTGTCTAAAGGGACGTTCCACTCTGTGAGTTGAATGCACACCACACAAAGAATTTACTGAGAATTCTTCCGTCTAGCATTCAATGAAGAAATCCCGTTTCCAACGAAGGCCTCAAACAGGTCCATATATCCAATTGCAGACTTTACAAACAGTGTGTTTCCAAACTCCTCTATGAAAAGAAAGGTTAAACTCTGTGAGTTGAACGCACACATCACAAAGCACTTTCTGAGAATGATTCTGTCTGGTTATTATACCAAGATATTTCCTTTTCTGCAATTGTCCTCAAATCGCTTGAAATCTCCACCTGAAAATGCCACAGCAAGAGTGTTTCAAATCTGCTCTCTCTAAAGCAAGGTTCAACTCTGTGAGTTGAATACACACAACACAAAAAAGTTACTGAGAACTCTTCTTAGTCTAGCATGAAAGGAAGAAACCCCGTTTGCAACGAAGGCCTCAAAGAGGTCCAAATATCCACTTGCAGACATAACAAGCAGAGTGTTTCTAAACTGCTCTAAGAAAAGAAAGGTTAAACTCTGTGAGTTGAAGGCACACATCACAAAGTAGTTTCTGAGAATGATTCTGTCTAGTTTTTATTTGAAGATATTTCCTTTTCTACTGTTGGCATCAAATCGCTTGAAATATCCACTTGCAAACTCCACAAAAAGAGTGTTTCAAATCTGCTCTGTGTAAAGGGACGTTCCACTCTGTGAGTTGAATACACACAGCACAAAGAAGTTACTGAGAATTCTTCTGTCTAGCATGAAATGAAGAAATCCCGTTTCCAACGAAGGCCTCAATGCGGTCCATATATCCACTTGCAGACTTTACAAACAGAGTGTTTCCAAACTGCTCTATGAAAAGAAAGGTTAAACTATGTGAGTTGAACGCACACATCACAAAGAATTTTCTGAGAATGATTCTGTCTGGTTTTTATTTGAAGATATTTCCCTTTCTACTGTTGGCATCAAATGGCTAGAAATCTCCACTTGCAAATTCCGCAAAAAGAGTGTTTCAAATCTGCTCTGTCTAAAGGGACGTTCCACTCTGTGAGTTGAATGCACACCACACAAAGAATTTACTGAGAATTCTTCCGTCTAGCATTCAATGAAGAAATCCCGTTTCCAACGAAGGCCTCAAACAGGTCCATATATCCAATTGCAGACTTTACAAACAGTGTGTTTCCAAACTCCTCTATGGAAAGAAAGGTTAAACTGTGTGAGTTGAACGCACACATCACAAAGCACTTTCTGAGAAAGATTCTGTCTGGTTATTATACGAAGATATTTCCTTTTCTGCAATTGTCCTCAAATCGCTTGAAATCTCCACCTGAAAATGCCACAGCAAGAGTGTTTCAAATCTGCTCTCTCTAAAGCAAGGTTCAACTCTGTGAGTTGAATACACACAACACAAAAAAGTTACTGAGAACTCTTCTTAGTCTAGCATGAAAGGAAGAAACCCCGTTTGCAACGAAGGCCTCAAAGAGGTCCAAATATCCACTTGCAGACATAACAAGCAGAGTGTTTCCAAAGTGCTCTAAGAAAAGAAAGGTTAAACTCTGTGAGTTGAAGGCACACATCACAAAGTAGTTTCTGAGAATGATTCTGTCTAGTTTTTATTTGAAGATATTTCCTTTTCTACTGTTGGCATCAAATCGCTTGAAATCTCCACTTGCAAACTCCACAAAAAGAGTGTTTCAAATCTGCTCTGTGTAAAGGGACGTTCCACTCTGTGAGTTGAATACACACAGCACAAAGAAGTTACTGAGAATTCTTCTGTCTAGCATGAAATGAAGAAATCCCGTTTCCAACGAAGGCCTCAATGCGGTCCATATATCCACTTGCAGACTTTACAAACAGAGTGTTTCCAAACTGCTCTATGAAAAGAAAGGTTAAACTATGTGAGTTGAACGCACACATCACAAAGAATTTTCTGAGAATGATTCTGTCTGGTTTTTATTTGAAGATATTTCCCTTTCTACTGTTGGCATCAAATGGCTAGAAATCTCCACTTGCAAATTCCGCAAAAAGAGTGTTTCAAATCTGCTCTGTCTAAAGGGACGTTCCACTCTGTCAGTTGAATGCACACAACACAAAGAATTTACTGAGAATTCTTCCGTCTAGCATTCAATGAAGAAATCCCGTTTCCAACGAAGGCCTCAAACAGGTCCATATATCCACTTGCAGAGTTTACAAACAGTGTGTTTCCAAACTCCTCTATGAAAAGAAAGGTTAAACTCTGTGAGTGGAACGCACACATCACAAAGCACTTTCTGAGAATGATTCTGTCTGGTTATTATACGAAGATATTTCCTTTTCTGCAATTGTCCTCAAAACGATTGAAATCTCCACCTGAAAATGCCACAGCAAGAGTGTTTCAAATCTGCTCTCTCTAAAGCAAGGTTCAACTCTGTGAGTTGAATACACACAACACAGAAAAGTTACTGAGAACTCTTCTTAGTCTAGCATGAAAGGAAGAAACCCCGTTTGCAACGAAGGCCTCAAAGAGGTCCAAATATCCACTTGCAGACATAACAAGCAGAGTGTTTCTAAACTGCTCTAAGAAAAGAAAGGTTAAACTCTGTGAGTTGAAGGCACACATCACAAACTAGTTTCTGAGAATGATTTCTGTCTAGTTTTTATTTGAAGATATTTCCTTTTCTACTGTTGGCATCAAATCGCTTGAAATCTCCACTTGCAAACTCCACAAAAAGAGTGTTTCAAATCTGCTCTGTGCAAAGGGACGTTCCACTCTGTGAGTTGAATACACACAGCACAAAGAAGTTACTGAGAATTCTTCTGTCTAGCATGAAATGAAGAAATCCCGTTTCCAACGAAGGCCTCAATGCGGTCCATATATCCACTTGCAGACTTTACAAACAGAGTGTTTCCAAACTGCTCTATGAAAAGAAAGGTTAAACTATGTGAGTTGAACGCACACATCACAAAGAATTTTCTGAGAATGATTCTGTCTGGTTTTTATTTGAAGATATTTCCCTTTCTACTGTTGGCATCAAATGGCTAGAAATCTCCACTTGCAAATTCCGCAAAAAGAGTGTTTCAAATCTGCTCTGTCTAAAGGGACGTTCCACTCTGTGAGTTGAATGCACACAACACAAAGAATTTACTGAGAATTCTTCCGTCTAGCATTCAATGAAGAAATCCCGTTTCCAACGAAGGCCTCAAACAGGTCCATATATCCACTTGCAGACTTTACAAACAGTGTGTTTCCAAACTCCTCTATGAAAAGAAAGGTTAAACTCTGTGAGTGGAACGCACACATCACAAAGCACTTTCTGAGAATGATTCTGTCTGGTTATTATACGAAGATATTTCCTTTTCTGCAATTGTCCTCAAATCGCTTGAAATCTCCACCTGAAAATGCCACAGCAAGAGTGTTTCAAATCTGTTCTCTCTAAAGCAAGGTTCAACTCTGTGAGTTGAATACACACAACACAAAAAAGTTACTGAGAACTCTTCTTAGTCTAGCATGAAAGGAAGAAACCCCGTTTGCAACGAAGGCCTCAAAGAGGTCCAAATATCCACTTGCAGACATAACAAGCAGAGTGTTTCTAAACTGCTCTAAGAAAAGAAAGGTTAAACTCTGTGAGTTGAAGGCACACATCACAAAGTAGTTTCTGAGAATGATTCTGTCTAGTTTTTATTTGAAGATATTTCCTTTTCTACTGTTGGCATCAAATCGCTTGAAATCTCCACTTGCAAACTCCACAAAAAGAGTGTTTCAAATCTGCTCTGTGCAAAGGGACGTTCCACTCTGTGAGTTGAATACACACAGCACAAAGAAGTTACTGAGAATTCTTCTGTCTAGCATGAAATGAAGAAATCCCGTTTCCAACGAAGGCCTCAATGCGGTCCATATATCCACTTGCAGACTTTACAAACAGAGTGTTTCCAAACTGCTCTATGAAAAGAAAGGTTAAACTATGTGAGTTGAACGCACACATCACAAAGAATTTTCTGAGAATGATTCTGTCTGGTTTTTATTTGAAGATATTTCCCTTTCTACTGTTGGCATCAAATGGCTAGAAATCTCCACTTGCAAATTCCGCAAAAAGAGTGTTTCAAATCTGCTCTGTCTAAAGGGACGTTCCACTCTGTGAGTTGAATGCACACAACACAAAGAATTTACTGAGAATTCTTTCGTCTAGCATTCAATGAAGAAATCCCGTTTCCAACGAAGGCCTCAAACAGGTCCATATATCCACTTGCAGACTTTACAAACAGTGTGTTTCTAAACTCCTCTATGAAAAGAAAGGTTAAACTCTGTGAGTTGAACGCACACATCACAAAGCACTTTCTGAGAATGATTCTGTCTGGTTATTATACGAAGATATTTCCTTTTCTGCAATTGTCCTCAAATCGCTTGAAATCTCCACCTGAAAATGCCACAGCAAGAGTGTTTCAAATCTGCTCTCTCTAAAGCAAGGTTCAACTCTGTGAGTTGAATACACACAACACAAAAAAGTTACTGAGAACTCTTCTTAGTCTAGCATGAAAGGAATAAACCCCGTTTGCAACGAAGGCCTCAAAGAGGTCCAAATATCCACTTGCAGACATAACAAGCAGAGTGTTTCTAAACTGCTCTAAGAAAAGAAAGGTTAAACTCTGTGAGTTGAAGGCACACATCACAAAGTAGTTTCTGAGAATGATTCTGTCTAGTTTTTATTTGAAGATATTTCCTTTTCTACTGTTGGCATCAAATCGCTTGAAATCTCCACTTGCAAACTCCACAAAAAGAGTGTTTCAAATCTGCTCTGTGCAAAGGGACGTTCCACTCTGTGAGTTGAATACACACAGCACAAAGAAGTTACTGAGAATTCTTCTGTCTAGTATGAAATGAAGAAATCCCGTTTCCAACGAAGGCCTCAATGCGGTCCATATATCCACTTGCAGACTTTACAAACAGAGTGTTTCCAAACTGCTCTACGAAAAGAAAGGTTAAACTATGTGAGTTGAACGCACACATCACAAAGAATTTTCTGAGAATGATCTGTCTGGTTTTTATTTGAAGATATTTCCCTTTCTACTGTTGGCATCAAATGGCTAGAAATCTCCACTTGCAAATTCCGCAAAAAGAGTGTTTCAAATCTGCTCTGTCTAAAGGGACGTTCCACTCTGTCAGTTGAATGCACACAACACAAAGAATTTACTGAGAATTCTTTCCATCTAGCATTCAATGAAGAAATCCCGTTTCCAACGAAGGCCTCAAACAGGTCCATATATCCACTTGCAGACTTTACAAACAGTGTGTTTCCAAACTCCTCTATGAAAAAAAGGTTAAACTCTGTGAGTTGAACGCACACATCACAAAGCACTTTCTGAGAATGATTCTGTCTGGTTATTATACGAAGATATTTCCTTTTCTGCAATTGTCCTCAAATCGCTTGAAATCTCCACCTGAAAATGCCACAGCAAGAGTGTTTCAAATCTGCTCTCTCTAAAGCAAGGTTCAACTCTGTGAGTTGAATACACACAACACAAAAAAGTTACTGAGAACTCTTCTTAGTCTAGCATGAAAGGAAGAAACCCCGTTTGCAACGAAGGCCTCAAAGAGGTCCAAATATCCACTTGCAGACATAACAAGCAGAGTGTTTCTAAACTGCTCTAAGAAAAGAAAGGTTAAACTCTGTGAGTTGAAGGCACACATCACAAAGTAGTTTCTGAGAATGATTCTGTCTAGTTTTTATTTGAAGATATTTCCTTTTCTACTGTTGGCATCAAATCGCTTGAAATCTCCACTTGCAAACTCCACAAAAAGAGTGTTTCAAATCTGCTCTGTGTAAAGGGACGTTCCACTCTGTGAGTTGAATACACACAGCACAAAGAAGTTACTGAGAATTCTTCTGTCTAGCATGAAATGAAGAAATCCCGTTTCCAACGAAGGCCTCAATGCGGTCCATATATCCACTTGCAGACTTTACAAACAGAGTGTTTCCAAACTGCTCTATGAAAAGAAAGGTTAAACTATGTGAGTTGAACGCACACATCACAAAGAATTTTCTGAGAATGATTCTGTCTGGTTTTTATTTGAAGATATTTCCCTTTCTACTGTTGGCATCAAATGGCTAGAAATCTCCACTTGCAAATTCCGCAAAAAGAGTGTTTCAAATCTGCTCTGTCTAAAGGGACGTTCCACTCTGTGAGTTGAATGCACACAACACAAAGAATTTACTGAGAATTCTTCCGTCTAGCATTCAATGAAGAAATCCAGTTTCCAACTAAGGCCTCAAACAGGTCCATATATCCACTTGCAGACTTTACAAACAGTGTGTTTCCAAACTCCTCTATGAAAAGAAAGGTTAAACACTGTGAGTGGAACGCACACATCACAAAGCACTTTCTGAGAATGATTCTGTCTGGTTATTATACGAAGATATTTCCTTTTCTGCAATTGTCCTCAAATCGCTTGAAATCTCCACCTGAAAATGCCACAGCAAGAGTGTTTCAAATCTGCTCTCTCTAAAGCAAGGTTCAACTCTGTGAGTTGAATACACACAACACAAAAAAGTTACTGAGAACTCTTCTTAGTCTAGCATTAAAGGAAGAAACCCCGTTTGCAACGAAGGCCTCAAAGAGGTCCAAATATCCACTTGCAGACATAACAAGCAGAGTGTTTCTAAACTGCTCTAAGAAAAGAAAGGTTAAACTCTGTGAGTTGAAGGCACACATCACAAAGTAGTTTCTGAGAATGATTTTGTCTACTTTTTATTTGCAGGTATTTCCTTTTCTACAGTTGGCATCAAATCGCTTGAAATCTCCACTTGCAAATTCCACAAAAAGAGTGTTTCAAAACTGCTCTGTGTAAAGGGACGTTCCAATCTGTGAGTTGAATACACACAACACAAAGAAGTTACTGACAATTCTTCTGTCTAGCATGAAATGAAGAAATCCCGTTTCCAACAAAGGCCTCAAAGCGGTCTATGTATCCACTTGCAGACATTACCAACAGAGTGTTTCCAAACTGCTCTATGAAAAGAAAGGTTAAACTATGTGAGTTGAACGCACACATCAGAAAGAATTTTCTGAGGATGATTCTGTCTGGTTTTTATTTGAAGATATTTTCCTTTCTACTGTTGGCATCAAATGGCTAGAAATCTCCACTTGCAAATTCCGCAAAAAGAGTGTTTCAAATCTGCTCTGTCTAAAGGGACGTTCCACTCTGTGAGTTGAATGCACACAACACAAAGAATTTACTGAGAATTCTTCCGTCTAGCATTATATGATAAAATCCCCTTTCCAACGAAGGCCTCAAACAGGTACATATATCCACTGGCAGACTTTACAAACAGTGTGTTTCCAAACTCCTTTATGAAAAGAAAGGTTAAACTATGTGAGTTGAACGCACACATCACAAAGCACTTTCTGAGAATGATTCTGTCTGGTTTTTATTTGAAGATATTTCCCTTTCTACTGTTGGCATCAAATGGCTAGTAAATCTCCACTTGCAAATTCCGCAAAAAGAGTGTTTCAAATCTGCTCTGTCTAAAGGGACGTTCCACTCTGTGAGTTGAATGCACACCACACAAAGAATTTACTGAGAATTCTTCTGTCTAGCATTCAATGAAGAAATCCCGTTTCCAACGAAGGCCTCAAACAGGTCCATATATCCACTTGCAGACTTTACAAACATTGTTTTTCCAAACTCCTCTATGAAAAGAAAGGTTAAACTCTGTGAGTTGAACGCACACATCACAAAGCACTTTCTGAGAATGATTCTGTCTGGTTATTATACGAAGATATTTCTTTTTCTGCAATTGTCCTCAAATCGCTTGAAATCTCCACCTGAAAATGCCACAGCAAGAGTGTTTCAAATCTGCTCTCTCTAAAGCAAGGTTCAACTCTGTGAGTTGAATACACACAACACAAAAAAGTTACTGAGAACTCTTCTTAGTCTAGCATGAAAGGAAGAAACCCCGTTTGCAACGAAGGCCTCAAAGAGGTCCAAATATCCACTTGCAGACATAACAAGCAGAGTGTTTCTAAACTGCTCTAAGAAAAGAAAGGTTAAACTCTGTGAGTTGAAGGCACACATCACAAAGTAGTTTCTGAGAATGATTCTGTCTAGTTTTTATTTGAAGATATTTCCTTTTCTACTGTTGGCATCAAATCGCTTGAAATCTCCACTTGCAAACTCCACAAAAAGAGTGTTTCAAATCTGCTCTGTGCAAAGGGACGTTCCACTCTGTGAGTTGAATACACACAGCACAAAGAAGTTACTGAGAATTCTTCTGTCTAGCATGAAATGAAGAAATCCCGTTTCCAACGAAGGCCTCAATGCGGTCCATATATCCACTTGCAGACTTTACAAACAGAGTGTTTCCAAACTGCTCTATGAAAAGAAAGGTTAAACTATGTGAGTTGAACGCACACATCACAAAGAATTTTCTGAGAATGATTCTGTCTGGTTTTTATATGAAGATATTTAACTTTCTACTGTTGGCATCAAATGGCTAGAAATCTCCACTTGCAAATTCCGCAAAAAGAGTGTTTCAAATCTGCTCTATCTAAAGGGACGTTCCACTCTGTGAGTTGAATGCATACAACACAAAGAATTTACTGAGAATTCTTCCGTCTAGCATTATATGATAAAATCCCGTTTCCAACGAAGGCCTCAAACAGGTCCATATATCCACTTGCAGACTTTACAAACAGTGTGTTTCCAAACTCCTCTATGAAAAGAAAGGTTAAACTCTGTGAGTTGAACGCACACATCACAAAGCACTTTCTGAGAATGATTCTGTCTGGTTATTATACGAAGATATTTCCTTTTCTGCAATTGTCCTCAAAACGCTTGAAATCTCCACCTGAAAATGCCACAGCAAGAGTGTTTCAAATCTGCTCTCTCTAAAGCAAGGTTCAACTCTGTGAGTTGAATACACACAACACAAAAAAGTTACTGAGAACTCTTCTTAGTCTAGCATGAAAGGAAGAAACCCCGTTTGCAACGAAGGCCTCAAAGAGGTCCAAATATCCACTTGCAGACATAACAAGCAGAGTGTTTCTAAACTGCTCTAAGAAAAGAAAGGTTAAACTCTGTGAGTTGAAGGCACACATCACAAAGTAGTTTCTGAGAATGATTCTGTCTAGTTTTTATTTGAAGATATTTCCTTTTCTACTGTTGGCATCAAATCGCTTGAAATCTCCACTTGCAAACTCCACAAAAAGAGTGTTTCAAATCTGCTCTGTGTAAAGGGACGTTCCACTCTGTGAGTTGAATACACACAGCACAAAGAAGTTACTGAGAATTCTTCTGTCTAGCATGAAATGAAGAAATCCCGTTTCCAACGAAGGCCTCAATGCGGTCCATATATCCACTTGCAGACTTTACAAACAGAGTGTTTCCAAACTGCTCTATGAAAAGAAAGGTTAAACTATGTGAGTTGAACGCACACATCACAAAGAATTTTCTGAGAATGATTCTGTCTGGTTTTTATTTGAAGATATTTCCCTTTCTACTGTTGGCATCAAATGGCTAGAAATCTCCACTTGCAAATTCCGCAAAAAGAGTGTTTCAAATCTGCTCTGTCTAAAGGGACGTTCCACTCTGTGAGTTGAATGCACACAACACGAAGAATTTACTGAGAATTCTTCCGTCTAGCATTCAATGAAGAAATCCCGTTTCCAACGAAGGCCTCAAACAGGTCCATATATCCAATTGCAGACTTTACAAACAGTGTGTTTCCAAACTCCTCTATGAAAAGAAAGATTAAACTCTGTGAGTTGAACGCACACATCACAAAGCACTTTCTCAGAATGATTCTGTCTGGTTGTTATACGAAGATATTTCCTTTTCTGCAATTATCCTCAAATCGCTTGAAATCTCCACCTGAAAATGCCACAGCAAGAGTGTTTCAAATCTGCTCTCTCTAAAGCAAGGTTCAACTCTGTGAGTTGAATACACACAACACAAAAAAGTTACTGAGAACTCTTCTTAGTCTAGCATTAAAGGAAGAAACCCCGTTTGCAACGAAGGCCTCAAAGAGGTCCAAATATCCACTTGCAGACATAACAAGCAGAGTGTTTCTAAACTGCTCTAAGAAAAGAAAGGTTAAACTCTGTGAGTTGAAGGCACACATCACAAAGTAGTTTCTGAGAATGATTTCTGTCTAGTTTTTATTTGAAGATATTTCCTTTTCTACTGTTGGCATCAAATCGCTTGAAATCTCCACTTGCAAACTCCACAAAAAGAGTGTTTCAAATCTGCTCTGTGCAAAGGGACGTTCCACTCTGTGAGTTGAATACACACAGCACAAAGAAGTTACTGAGAATTCTTCTGTCTAGCATGAAATGAAGAAATCCCGTTTCCAACGAAGGCCTCAATGCGGTCCATATATCCACTTGCAGACTTTACAAACAGAGTGTTTCCAAACTGCTCTATGAAAAGAAAGGTTAAACTATGTGAGTTGAACGCACACATCACAAAGAATTTTCTGAGAATGATTCTGTCTGGTTTTTATTTGAAGATATTTCCCTTTCTACTGTTGGCATCAAATGGCTAGAAATCTCCACTTGCAAATTCCGCAAAAAGAGTGTTTCAAATCTGCTCTGTCTAAAGGGACGTTCCACTCTGTGAGTTGAATGCACACAACACAAAGAATTTACTGAGAATTCTTCCGTCTAGCATTCAATGAAGAAATCCCGTTTCCAACGAAGGCCTCAAACAGGTCCATGTATCCACTTGCAGACTTTACAAACAGTGTGTTTCCAAACTCCTCTATGAAAAGAAAGGTTAAACTCTGTGAGTTGAACGCACACATCACAAAGCACTTTCTGAGAATGATTCTGTCTGGTTATTATACGAAGATATTTCCTTTTCTGCAATTGTCCTCAAATCGCTTGAAATCTCCACCTGAAAATGCCACAGCAAGAGTGTTTCAAATCTGCTCTCTCTAAAGCAAGGTTCAACTCTGTGAGTTGAATACACACAACACAAAAAAGTTACTGAGAACTCTTCTTAGTCTAGCATTAAAGGAAGAAACCCCGTTTGCAACGAAGGCCTCAAAGAGGTCCAAATATCCACTTGCAGACATAACAAGCAGAGTGTTTCTAAAGTGCTCTAAGAAAAGAAAGGTTAAACTCTGTGAGTTGAAGGCACACATCACAAAGTAGTTTCTGAGAATGATTCTGTCTAGTTTTTATTTGAAGATATTTCCTTTTCTACTGTTGGCATCAAATCGCTTGAAATCTCCACTTGCAAACTCCACAAAAAGAGTGTTTCAAATCTGCTCTGTGTAAAGGGACGTTCCACTCTGTGAGTTGAATACACACAGCACAAAGAAGTTACTGAGAATTCTTCTGTCTAGCATGAAATGAAGAAATCCCGTTTCCAACGAAGGCCTCAATGCGGTCCATATATCCACTTGCAGACTTTACAAACAGAGTGTTTCCAAACTGCTCTATGAAAAGAAAGGTTAAACTATGTGAGTTGAACGCACACATCACAAAGAATTTTCTGAGAATGATTCTGTCTAGTTTTTATTTGAAGATATTTCCCTTTGTACTGTTGGCATCAAATGGCTAGAAATCTCCACTTGCAACTTCCGCAAAAAGAGTGTTTCAAATCTGCTCTGTCTAAAGGGACGTTCCACTCTGTGAGTTGAATGCACACAACACAAAAAAGTTACTGAGAAGTCTTCTTAGTCTAGCATTAAAGGAAGAAACCCCGTTTGCAACGAAGGCCTCAAAGAGGTCCAAATATCCACTTGCAGACATAACAAGCAGAGTGTTTCTAAACTGCTCTAAGAAAAGAAAGGTTAAACTCTGTGAGTTGAAGGCACACATCACAAAGTAGTTTCTGAGAATGATTCTGTCTAGTTTTTATTTGAAGATATTTCCTTTTCTACTGTTGGCATCAAATCGCTTAAAATCTCCACTTGCAAATTCCACAAAAAGAGTGTTTCAAATCTGCTCTGTGCAAAGGGACGTTCCACTCTGTGAGTTGAATACACACAGCACAAAGAAGTTACTGAGAATTCTTCTGTCTAGCATGAAATGAAGAAATCCCGTTTCCAACGAAGGCCTCAATGCGGTCCATATATCCACTTGCAGACTGTACAAACAGAGTGTTTCCAAACTGCTCTATGAAAAGAAAGGTTAAACTATGTGAGTTGAACGCACACATCACAAAGAATTTTCTGAGAATGATTCTGTCTGGTTTTTATTTGAAGATATTTCCCTTTCTACTCTTGGCATCAAATGGCTAGAAATCTCCACTTGCAAATTCCGCAAAAAGAGTGTTTCAAATCTGCTCTGTCTAAAGGGACGTTCCACTCTGTGAGTTGAATGCACACAACACAAAGAATTTACTGAGAATTCTTCCGTCTAGCATTCAATGAAGAAATCCCGTTTCCAACGAAGGCCTCAAACAGGTCCATATATCCAATTGCAGACTTTACAAACAGTGTGTTTCCAAACTCCTCTATGGAAAGAAAGGTTAAACTGTGTGAGTTGAACGCACACATCACAAAGCACTTTCTGAGAATGATTCTGTCTGGTTATTATACGAAGATATTTCCTTTTCTGCAATTGTCCTCAAATCGCTTGAAATCTCCACCTGAAAATGCCACAGCAAGAGTGTTTCAAATCTGCTCTCTCTAAAGCAAGGTTCAACTCTGTGAGTTGAATAAACACAACACAAAAAAGTTACTGAGAACTCTTCTTAGTCTAGCATGAAAGGAAGAAACCCCGTTTGCAACGAAGGCCTCAAAGAGGTCCAAATATCCACTTGCAGACATAACAAACAGAGTGTTTCTAAACTGCTCTAAGAAAAGAAAGGTTAAACTCTGTGAGTTGAAGGCACACATCACAAAGTAGTTTCTGAGAATGATTCTGTCTAGTTTTTATTTGAAGATATTTCCTTTTCTACTGTTGGCATCAAATCGCTTGAAATCTTCACTTGCAAACTCCACAAAAAGAGTGTTTCAAATCTGCTCTGTGTAAAGGGACGTTCCACTCTGTGAGTTGAATACACACAGCACAAAGAAGTTGCTGAGAATTCTTCTGTCTAGCATGAAATGAAGAAATACCGTTTCCAACGAAGGCCTCAATGCGATCCATATATCCACTTGCAGACTTTACAAACAGAGTGTTTCCAAACTGCTCTATGAAAAGAAAGGTTAAACTATGTGAGTTGAACGCACACATCACAAAGAATTTTCTGAGAATGATTCTGTCTGGTTTTTATTTGAAGATGTTTCCCTTTCTACTGTTGGCATCAAATGGCTAGAAATCTCCACTTGCAAATTCCGCAAAAAGAGTGTTTCAAATCTGCTCTGTCTAAAGGGACGTTCCACTCTGTCAGTTGAATGCACACAACACAAAGAATTTACTGAGAATTCTTCCGTCTAGCATTCAATGAAGAAATCCCGTTTCCAACGAAGGCCTCAAACAGGTCCATATATCCAATTGCAGACTTTACAAACAGTGTGTTTCCAAACTCCTCTATGGAAAGAAAGGTTAAACTCTGTGAGTTGAACGCACACATCACAAAGCACTTTCTGAGAATGATTCTGTCTGGTTATTATACGAAGATATTTCCTTTTCTGCAATTGTCCTCAAATCGCTTGAAATCTCCAACTGAAAATGCCACAGCAAGAGTGTTTCAAATCTGCTCTCTCTAAAGCAAGGTTCAACTCTGTGAGTTGAATACACACAACACAAAAAAGTTACTGAGAACTCTTCTTAGTCTAGCATGAAAGGAAGAAACCCCGTTTGCAACGAAGGCCTCAAAGAGGTCCAAATATCCACTTGCAGACATAACAAGCAGAGTGTTTCTAAACTGCTCTAAGAAAAGAAAGGTTAAACTCTGTGAGTTGAAGGCACACATCACAAAGTAGTTTCTGAGAATGATTCTGTCTAGTTTTTATTTGAAGATATTCCCTTTTCTACTGTTGGCATCAAATCGCTTGAAATCTCCACTTGCAAATTCCACAAAAAGAGTGTTTCAAATCTGCTCTGTGCAAAGGGACGTTCCACTCTGTGAGTTGAATACACACAGCACAAAGAAGTTACTGAGAATTCTTCTGTCTAGCATGAAATGAAGAAATCCCGTTTCCAACGAAGGCCTCAATGCGGTCCATATATCCACTTGCAGACTTTACAAACAGAGTGTTTCCAAACTGCTCTATGAAAAGAAAGGTTAAACTATGTGAGTTGAACGCACACAAAACAAAGAATTTTCTGAGAATGATTCTGTCTGGTTTTTATTTGAAGATATTTCCCTTTCTACTGTTGGCATCAAATGGCTAGAAATCTCCACTTGCAAATTCCGCAAAAAGAGTGTTTCAAATCTGCTCTGTCTAAAGGGACGTTCCACTCTGTGAGTTGAATGCACACAACACAAAGAATTTACTGAGAATTCTTCCGCCTAGCATTCAATGAAGAAATCCCGTTTCCAAGGAAGGCCTCAAACAGGTCCATATATCCAATTGCAGACTTTACAAACAGTGTGTTTCCAAACTCCTCTATGAAAAGAAAGGTTAAACTCTGTGAGTTGAACGCACACATCACAAAGCACTTTCTGAGAATGATTCTGTCTGGTTATTATACGAAGATATTTCCTTTTCTGCAATTGTCCTCAAATCGCTTGAAATCTCCACCTGAAAATGCCACAGCAAGAGTGTTTCAAATCTGCTCTCTCTAAAGCAAGGTTCAACTCTGTGAGTTGAATACACACAACACAAAAAAGTTACTGAGAACTCTTCTTAGTCTAGCATGAAAGGAAGAAACCCCGTTTGCAACGAAGGCCTCAAAGAGGTCCAAATATCCACTTGCAGACATAACAAGCAGAGTGTTTCTAAACTGCTCTAAGAAAAGAAAGGTTAAACTCTGTGAGTTGAAGGCACACATCACAAAGTAGTTTCTGAGAATGATTCTGTCTAGTTTTTATTTGAAGATATTTCCTTTTCTACTGTTGGCATCAAATCGCTTGAAATCTCCACTTGCAAACTCCACAAAAAGAGTGTTTCAAATCTGCTCTGTGTAAAGGGACGTTCCACTCTGTGAGTTGAATACACACAGCACAAAGAAGTTACTGAGAATTCTTCTGTCTAGCATGAAATGAAGAAATCCCGTTTCCAACGAAGGCCTCAATGCGGTCCATATATCCACTTGCAGACTTTACAAACAGAGTGTTTCCAAACTGCTCTATGAAAAGAAAGGTTAAACTATGTGAGTTGAACGCACACATCACAAAGAATTTTCTGAGAATGATTCTGTCTGGTTTTTATTTGAAGATATTTCCCTTTCTACTGTTGGCATCAAATGGCTAGAAATCTCCACTTGCAAATTCCGCAAAAAGAGTGTTTCAAATCTGCTCTGTCTAAAGGGACGTTCCACTCTGTGAGTTGAATGCACACAACACAAAGAATTTACTGAGAATTCTTCCGTCTAGCATTCAATGAAGAAATCCCGTTTCCAACGAAGGCCTCAAACAGGTCCATATATCCACTTGCAGACTTTACAAACAGTGTGTTTCCAAACTCCTCTATGAAAAGAAAGGTTAAACTCTGTGAGTGGAACGCACACATCACAAAGCACTTTCTGAGAATGATTCTGTCTGGTTGTTATACGAAGATATTTCCTTTTCTGCAATTTTCCTCAAATCGCTTGAAATCTCCACCTGAAAATGCCACAGCAAGAGTGTTTCAAATCTGCTCTCTCTAAAGCAAGGTTCAACTCTGTGAGTTGAATACACACAGCACAAAGAAGTTACTGAGAATTCTTCTGTCTAGCATGAAAGGAAGAAACCCCGTTTGCAACGAAGGCCTCAATGCGGTCCATATATCCACTTGCAGACTTTACAAACAGAGTGTTTCCAAACTGCTCTATGAAAAGAAAGGTTAAACTATGTGAGTTGAACGCACACATCACAAAGAATTTTCTGAGAATGATTCTGTCTGGTTTTTATTTGAAGATATTTCCCTTTCTACTGTTGGCATCAAATGGCTAGAAATCTCCACTTGCAAATTCCGCAAAAAGAGTGTTTCAAATCTGCTCTGTCTAAAGGGACGTTCCACTCTGTGAGTTGAATGCACACAACACAAAGAATTTACTGAGAATTCTTCCGTCTAGCATTCAATGAAGAAATCCCGTTTCCAACGAAGGCCTCAAACAGGTCCATATATCCACTTGCAGACTTTACAAACAGTGTGTTTCCAAACTCCTCTATGAAAAGAAAGGTTAAACTCTGTGAGTGGAACGCACACATCACAAAGCACTTTCTGAGAATGATTCTGTCTGGTTGTTATACGAAGATATTTCCTTTTCTGCAATTGTCCTCAAATCGCTTGAAATCTCCACCTGAAAATGTCACAGCAAGAGTGTTTCAAATCTGCTCTCTCTAAAGCAAGGTTCAACTCTGTGAGTTGAATACACACAACACAAAAAAGTTACTGAGAACTCTTCTTAGTCTAGCATGAAAGGAAGAAACCCCGTTTGCAACGAAGGCCTCAAAGAGGTCCAAATATCCACTTGCAGACATAACAAGCAGAGTGTTTCTAAACTGCTCTAAGAAAAGAAAGGTTAAACTCTGTGAGTTGAAGGCACACATCACAAAGTAGTTTCTGAGAATGATTCTGTCTAGTTTTTATTTGAAGATATTTCCTTTTCTACTGTTGGCATCAAATCGCTTGAAATCTCCACTTGCAAACTCCACAAAAAGAGTGTTTCAAATCTGCTCTGTGTAAAGGGACGTTCCACTCTGTGAGTTGAATACACACAGCACAAAGAAGTTACTGAGAATTCTTCTGTCTAGCATGAAATGAAGAAATCCCGTTTCCAACGAAGGCCTCAATGCGGTCCATATATCCACTTGCAGACTTTACAAACAGAGTGTTTCCAAACTGCTCTATGAAAAGAAAGGTTAAACTATGTGAGTTGAACGCACACATCACAAAGAATTTTCTGAGAATGATTCTGTCTGGTTTTTATTTGAAGATATTTCCCTTTCTACTGTTGGCATCAAATGGCTAGAAATCTCCACTTGCAAATTCCGCAAAAAGAGTGTTTCAAATCTGCTCTGTCTAAACGGACGTTCCACTCTGTCAGTTGAATGCACACAACACAAAGAATTTACTGAGAATTCTTCCGTCTAGCATTCAATGAAGAAATCCCGTTTCCAACGAAGGCCTCAAACAGGTCCATATATCCAATTGCAGACTTTACAAACAGTGTGTTTCCAAACTCCTCTATGAAAAGAAAGGTTAAACTCTGTGAGTTGAACGCACACATCACAAAGCACTTTCTGAGAATGATTCTGTCTGGTTGTTGTACGAAGATATTTCCTTTTCTGCAATTGTCCTCAAATCGCTTGAAATCTCCACCTGAAAATGTCACAGCAAGAGTGTTTCAAATCTGCTCTCTCTAAAGCAAGGTTCAACTCTGTGAGTTGAATACACACAACACAAAAAAGTTACTGAGAACTCTTCTTAGTCTAGCATGAAAGGAAGAAACCCCGTTTGCAACGAAGGCCTCAAAGAGGTCCAAATATCCACTTGCAGACATAACAAGCAGAGTGTTTCTAAACTGCTCTAAGAAAAGAAAGGTTAAACTCTGTGAGTTGAAGGCACACATCACAAAGTAGTTTCTGAGAATGATTCTGTCTAGTTTTTATTTGAAGATATTTCCTTTTCTACTGTTGGCATCAAATCGCTTGAAATCTCCACTTGCAAACTCCACAAAAAGAGTGTTTCAAATCTGCTCTGTGTAAAGGGACGTTCCACTCTGTGAGTTGAATACACACAGCACAAAGAAGTTACTGAGAATTCTTCTGTCTAGCATGAAATGAAGAAATCCCGTTTCCAACGAAGGCCTCAATGCGGTCCATATATCCACTTGCAGACTTTACAAACAGAGTGTTTCCAAACTGCTCTATGAAAAGAAAGGTTAAACTATGTGAGTTGAACGCACACATCACAAAGAATTTTCTGAGAATGATTCTGTCTGGTTTTTATTTGAAGATATTTCCCTTTCTACTGTTGGCATCAAATGGCTAGAAATCTCCACTTGCAAATTCCGCAAAAAGAGTGTTTCAAATCTGCTCTGTCTAAAGGGACGTTCCACTCTGTGAGTTGAATGCACACAACACAAAGAATTTACTGAGAATTCTTCCGTCTAGCATTCAATGAAGAAATCCCGTTTCCAAAGAAGGCCTCAAACAGGTCCATATATCCAATTGCAGACTTTACAAACAGTGTGTTTCCAAACTCCTCTATGAAAAGAAAGGTTAAACTCTGTGAGTTGAACGCACACATCACAAAGCACTTTCTGAGAATGATTCTGTCTGGTTATTATACGAAGATATTTCCTTTTCTGCAATTGTCCTCAAATCGCTTGAAATCTCCACCTGAAAATGCCACAGCAAGAGTGTTTCAAATCTGCTCTCTCTAAAGCAAGGTTCAACTCTGTGAGTTGAATACACACAACACAAAAAAGTTACTGAGAACTCTTCTTAGTCTAGCATGAAAGGAAGAAACCCCGTTTGCAACGAAGGCCTCAAAGAGGTCCAAATATCCACTTGCAGACATAACAAGCAGAGTGTTTCTAAACTGCTCTAAGAAAAGAAAGGTTAAACTCTGTGAGTTGAAGGCACACATCACAAAGTAGTTTCTGAGAATGATTCTGTCTAGTTTTTATTTGAAGATATTTCATTTTCTACTGTTGGCATCAAATCGCTTGAAATCTCCACTTGCAAACTCCACAAAAAGAGTGTTTCAAATCTGCTCTGTGTAAAGGGACGTTCCACTCTGTGAGTTGAATACACACAGCACAAAGAAGTTACTGAGAATTCTTCTGTCTAGCATGAAATGAAGAAATCCCGTTTCCAACGAAGGCCTCAATGCGGTCCATATATCCACTTGCAGACTTTACAAACAGAGTGTTTCCAAACTGCTCTATGAAAAGAAAGGTTAAACTATGTGAGTTGAACGCACACATCACAAAGAATTTTCTGAGAATGATTCTGTCTGGTTTTTATTTGAAGATATTTCCCTTTCTACTGTTGGCATCAAATGGCTAGAAATCTCCACTTGCAAATTCCGCAAAAAGAGTGTTTCAAATCTGCTCTGTCTAAAGGGACGTTCCACTCTGTGAGTTGAATGCACACAACACAAAGAATTTACTGAGAATTCTTCCGTCTAGCATTCAATGAAGAAATCCCGTTTCCAACGAAGGCCTCAAACAGGTCCATATATCCACTTGCAGACTTTACAAACAGTGTGTTTCCAAACTCCTCTATGGAAAGAAAAGTTAAACTCTGTGAGTTGAACGCACACATCACAAAGCACTTTCTGAGAATGATTCTGTCTGGTTATTATACGAAGATATTTCCTTTTCTGCAATTGTCCTCAAAACGCTTGAAATCTCCACCTGAAAATGCCACAGCAAGAGTGTTTCAAATCTGCTCTCTCTAAAGCAAGGTTCAACTCTGTGAGTTGAATACACACAACACAAAAAAGTTACTGAGAACTCTTCTTAGTCTAGCATGAAAGGAAGAAACCCCGTTTGCAACGAAGGCCTCAAAGAGGTCCAAATATCCACTTGCAGACATAACAAGCAGAGTGTTTCTAAACTGCTCTAAGAAAAGAAAGGTTAAACTCTGTGAGTTGAAGGCACACATCACAAAGTAGTTTCTGAGAATGATTCTGTCTAGTTTTTATTTGAAGATATTTCCTTTTCTACTGTTGGCATCAAATCGCTTGAAATCTCCACTTGCAAACTCCACAAAAAGAGTGTTTCAAATCTGCTCTGTGCAAAGGGACGTTCCACTCTGTGAGTTGAATACACACAGCACAAAGAAGTTACTGAGAATTCTTCTGTCTAGCATGAAATGAAGAAATCCCGTTTCGAACGAAGGCCTCAATGCGGTCCATATATCCACTTGCAGACTTTACAAACAGAGTGTTTCCAAACTGCTCTATGAAAAGAAAGGTTAAACTATGTGAGTTGAACGCACACATCACAAAGAATTTTCTGAGAATGATTCTGTCTGGTTTTTATTTGAAGATATTTCCCTTTCTACTGTTGGCATCAAATGGCTAGAAATCTCCACTTGCAAATTCCGCAAAAAGAGTGTTTCAAATCTGCTCTGTCTAAAGGGACGTTCCACTCTGTGAGTTGAATGCACACCACACAAAGAATTTACTGAGAATTCTTCCGTCTAGCATTCAATGAAGAAATCCCGTTTCCAACGAAGGCCTCAAACAGGTCCATATATCCAATTGCAGACTTTACAAACAGTGTGTTTCCAAACTCCTCTATGAAAAGAAAGGTTAAACTCTGTGAGTGGAACGCACACATCACAAAGCACTTTCTGAGAATGATTCTGTCTGGTTGTTATACGAAGATATTTCCTTTTCTGCAATTGTCCTCAAATCGCTTGAAATCTCCACCTGAAAATGCCACAGCAAGAGTGTTTCAAATCTGCTCTCTCTAAAGCAAGGTTCAACTCTGTGAGTTGAATACACACAACACAAAAAAGTTACTGAGAACTCTTCTTAGTCTAGCATGAAAGGAAGAAACCCCGTTTGCAACGAAGGCCTCAAAGAGGTCCAAATATCCACTTGCAGACATAACAAGCAGAGTGTTTCTAAACTGCTCTAAGAAAAGAAAGGTTAAACTCTGTGAGTTGAAGGCACACATCACAAAGTAGTTTCTGAGAATGATTCTGTCTAGTTTTTATTTGAAGATACTTCCTTTTCAACTGTTGGCATCAAATCGCTTGAAATCTCCACTTGCAAACTCCACAAAAAGAGTGTTTCAAATCTGCTCTGTGTAAAGGGACGTTCCACTCTGTGAGTTGAATACACACAGCACAAAGAAGTTACTGAGAATTCTTCTGTCTAGCATGAAATGAAGAAATCCCGTTTCCAACGAAGGCCTCAATGCGGTCCATATATCCACTTGCAGACTTTACAAACAGAGTGTTTCCAAACTGCTCTATGAAAAGAAAGGTTAAACTATGTGAGTTGAACGCACACATCACAAAGAATTTTCTGAGAATGATTCTGTCTGGTTTTTATTTGAAGATATTTCCCTTTCTACTGTTGGCATCAAATGGCTAGAAATCTCCACTTGCAAATTCCGCAAAAAGAGTGTTTCAAATCTGCTCTGTCTAAAGGGACGTTCCACTCTGTGAGTTGAATGCACACAACACAAAGAATTTACTGAGAATTCTTCTGTCTAGCATTCAATGAAGAAATCCCGTTTCCAACGAAGGCCTCAAACAGGTCCATATATCCACTTGCAGACTTTACAAACAGTGTGTTTCCAAACTCCTCTATGAAAAGAAAGGTTAAACTCTGTGAGTGGAACGCACACATCACAAAGCACTTTCTGAGAATGATTCTGTCTGGTTATTATACGAAGATATTTCTTTTTCTGCAATTGTCCTCAAATCGCTTGAAATCTCCACCTGAAAATGCCACAGCAAGAGTGTTTCAAATCTGCTCTCTCTAAAGCAAGGTTCAACTCTGTGAGTTGAATACACACAACACAAAAAAGTTACTGAGAACTCTTCTTAATCTAGCATGAAAGGAAGAAACCCCGTTTGCAACGAAGGCCTCAAAGAGGTCCAAATATCCACTTGCAGACATAACAAGCAGAGTGTTTCTAAACTGCTCTAAGAAAAGAAAGGTTAAACTCTGTGAGTTGAAGGCACACATCACAAAGTAGTTTCTGAGAATGATTCTGTCTAGTTTTTATTTGAAGATATTTCCTTTTCTACTGTTGGCATCAAATCGCTTGAAATCTCCACTTGCAAACTCCACAAAAAGAGTGTTTCAAATCTGCTCTGTGCAAAGGGACGTTCCACTCTGTGAGTTGAATACACACAGCACAAAGAAGTTACTGAGAATTCTTCTGTCTAGCATGAAATGAAGAAATCCCGTTTCCAACGAAGGCCTCAATGCGGTCCATATATCCACTTGCAGACTTTACAAACAGAGTGTTTCCAAACTGCTCTATGAAAAGAAAGGTTAAACTATGTGAGTTGAACGCACACATCACAAAGAATTTTCTGAGAATGATTCTGTCTGGTTTTTATTTGAAGATATTTCCCTTTCTACTGTTGGCATCAAATGGCTAGAAATCTCCACTTGCAAATTCCGCAAAAAGAGTGTTTCAAATCTGCTCTGTCTAAAGGGACGTTCCACTCTGTGAGTTGAATGCACACAACACAAAGAATTTACTGAGAATTCTTCCGTCTAGCATTCAATGAAGAAATCCCGTTTCCAACGAAGGCCTCAAACAGGTCCATATATCCAATTGCAGACTTTACAAACAGTGTGTTTCCAAACTCCTCTATGAAAAGAAAGGTTAAACTCTGTGAGTTGAACGCACACATCACAAAGCACTTTCTGAGAATGATTCTGTCTGGTTATTATACGAAGATATTTCCTTTTCTGCAATTGTCCTCAAATCGCTTGAAATCTCCACCTGAAAATGCCACAGCAAGAGTGTTTCAAATCTGCTCTCTCTAAAGCAAGGTTCAACTCTGTGAGTTGAATACACACAACACAAAAAAGTTACTGAGAACTCTTCTTAGTCTAGCATGAAAGGAAGAAACCCCGTTTGCAACGAAGGCCTCAAAGAGGTCCAAATATCCACTTGCAGACATAACAAGCAGAGTGTTTCTAAACTGCTCTAAGAAAAGAAAGGTTAAACTCTGTGAGTTGAAGGCACACATCACAAAGTAGTTTCTGAGAATGATTCTGTCTAGTTTTTATTTGAAGATATTTCCTTTTCTACTGTTGGCATCAAATCGCTTGAAATCTCCACTTGCAAACTCCACAAAAAGAGTGTTTCAAATCTGCTCTGTGCAAAGGGACGTTCCACTCTGTGAGTTGAATACACACAGCACAAAGAAGTTACTGAGAATTCTTCTGTCTAGCATGAAATGAAGAAATCCCGTTTCCAACGAAGGCCTCAATGCGGTCTATATATCCACTTGCAGACATCACAAACAGAGTGTTTCCAAACTGCTCTATGAAAAGAAAGGTTAAACTATGTGAGTTGAACGCACACATCACAAAGAATTTTCTGAGAATGATTCTGTCTGGTTTTTATTTGAAGATATTTCCCTTTCTACTGTTGGCATCAAATGGCTAGAAATCTCCACTTGCAAATTCCGCAAAAAGAGTGTTTCAAATCTGCTCTGTCTAAAGGGACGTTCCACTCTGTGAGTTGAATGCACACAACACAAAGAATTTACTGAGAATTCCTCCGCCTAGCATTCAATGAAGAAATCCCGTTTCCAACGAAGGCCTCAAACAGGTCCATATATCCACTTGCAGACTTTACAAACAGTGTGTTTCCAAACTCCTCTATGAAAAGAAAGGTTAAACTCTGTGAGTGGAATGCACACATCACAAAGCACTTTCTGAGAATGATTCTGTCTGGTTGTTATACGAAGATATTTCCTTTTCTGCAATTGTCCTCAAATCGCTTGAAATCTCCACCTGAAAATGCCACAGCAAGAGTGTTTCAAATCTGCTCTCTCTAAAGCAAGGTTCAACTCTGTGAGTTGAATACACACAACACAAAAAAGTTACTGAGAACTCTTCTTAGTCTAGCATGAAAGGAAGAAACCCCGTTTGCAACGAAGGCCTCAAAGAGGTCCAAATATCCACTTGCAGACATAACAAGCAGAGTGTTTCTAAACTGCTCTAAGAAAAGAAAGGTTAAACTCTGTGAGTTGAAGGCACACATCACAAAGTAGTTTCTGAGAATGATTCTGTCTAGTTTTTATTTGAAGATATTTCCTTTTCTACTGTTGGCATCAAATCGCTTGAAATCTCCACTTGCAAACTCCACAAAAAGAGTGTTTCAAATCTGCTCTGTGCAAAGGGACGTTCCACTCTGTGAGTTGAATACACACAGCACAAAGAAGTTACTGAGAATTCTTCTGTCTAGCATGAAATGAAGAAATCCCGTTTCCAACGAAGGCCTCAATGCGGTCCATATATCCACTTGCAGACTTTACAAACAGAGTGTTTCCAAACTGCTCTATGAAAAGAAAGTTTAAACTATGTGAGTTGAACGCACACATCACAAAGAATTTTCTGAGAATGATTCTGTCTGGTTTTTATTTGAAGATATTTCCCTTTCTACTGTTGGCATCAAATGGCTAGAAATCTCCACTTGCAAATTCCGCAAAAAGAGTGTTTCAAATCTGCTCTGTCTAAAGGGACGTTCCACTCTGTGAGTTGAATGCACACAACACAAAGAATTTACTGAGAATTCTTCCGTCTAGCATTCAATGAAGAAATCCCGTTTCCAACGAAGGCCTCAAACAGGTCCATATATCCACTTGCAGACTTTACAAACAGTGTGTTTCCAAACTCCTCTATGAAAAGAAAGGTTAAACTCTGTGAGTGGAACGCACACATCACAAAGCACTTTCTGAGAATGATTCTGTCTGGTTATTATACGAAGATATTTCCTTTTCTGCAATTGTCCTCAAATCGCTTGAAATCTCCACCTGAAAATGCCACAGCAAGAGTGTTTCAAATCTGCTCTCTCTAAAGCAAGGTTCAACTCTGTGAGTTGAATACACACAACACAAAAAAGTTACTGAGAACTCTTCTTAGTCTAGCATGAAAGGAAGAAACCCCGTTTGCAACGAAGGCCTCAAAGAGGTCCAAATATCCACTTGCAGACATAACAAGCAGAGTGTTTCTAAACTGCTCTAAGAAAAGAAAGGTTAAACTCTGTGAGTTGAAGGCACACATCACAAAGTAGTTTCTGAGAATGATTCTGTCTAGTTTTTATTTGAAGATATTTCCTTTTCTACTGTTGGCATCAAATCGCTTGAAATCTCCACTTGCAAACTCCACAAAAAGAGTGTTTCAAATCTGCTCTGTGTAAAGGGACGTTCCACTCTGTGAGTTGAATACACACAGCACAAAGAAGTTACTGAGAATTCTTCTGTCTGGCATGAAATGAAGAAATCCCGTTTCCAACGAAGGCCTCAATGCGGTCCATATATCCACTTGCAGACTTTACAAACAGAGTGTTTCCAAACTGCTCTATGAAAAGAAAGGTTAAACTATGTGAGTTGAACGCACACATCACAAAGAATTTTCTGAGAATGATTCTGCCTGGTTTTTATTTGAAGTATATTTCCCTTTCTACTGTTGGCATCAAATGGCTAGAAATCTCCACTTGCAAATTCCGCAAAAAGAGTGTTTCAAATCTGCTCTGTCTAAAGGGACGTTCCACTCTGTGAGTTGAATGCACACAACACAAAGAATTTACTGAGAATTCTTCCGTCTAGCATTCAATGAAGAAATCCCGTTTCCAACGAAGGCCTCAAACAGGTCCATATATCCAATTGCAGACATTACAAACAGTGTGTTTCCAAACTCCTCTATGAAAAGAAAGGTTAAACTCTGTGAGTTGAACGCACACATCACAAAGCACTTTCTGAGAATGATTCTGTCTGGTTACTATACGAAGATATTTCCTTTTCTGCAATTGTCCTCAAATCGCTTGAAATCTCCACCTGAAAATTCCACAGCGAGAGTGTTTCAAATCTGCTCTCTCTAAAGCAAGGTTCAACTCTGTGAGTTGAATACACACAACACAAAAAAGTTACTGAGAACTCTTCTTAGTCTAGCATGAAAGGAAGAAACCCCGTTTGCAACGAAGGCCTCAAAGAGGTCCAAATATCCACTTGCAGACATAACAAGCAGAGTGTTTCTAAACTGCTCTAAGAAAAGAAAGGTTAAACTCTGTGAGTTGAAGGCACACATCACAAAGTAGTTTCTGAGAATGATTCTGTCTAGTTTTTATTTGAAGATATTTCCTTTTCTACTGTTGGCATCAAATCGCTTGAAATCTCCACTTGCAAACTCCACAAAAAGAGTGTTTCAAATCTGCTCTGTGTAAAGGGACGTTCCACTCTGTGAGTTGAATACACACAGCACAAAGAAGTTACTGAGAATTCTTCTGTCTAGCATGAAATGAAGAAATCCCATTTCCAACGAAGGCCTCAATGCGGTCCATATATCCACTTGCAGACTTTACAAACAGAGTGTTTCCAAACTGCTCTATGAAAAGAAAGGTTAAACTATGTGAGTTGAAAGCACACATCACAAAGAATTTTCTGAGAATGATTCTGTCTGGTTTTTATTTGAAGATATTTCCCTTTCTACTGTTGGCATCAAATGGCTAGAAATCTCCACTTGCAAATTCCGCAAAAAGAGTGTTTCAAATCTGCTCTGTCTAAAGGGACGTTCCACTCTGTGAGTTGAATGCACACAACACAAAGAATTTACTGAGAATTCTTCCGTCTAGCATTCAATGAAGAAATCCCGTTTCCAACGAAGGCCTCAAACAGGTCCATATATCCACTTGCAGACTTTACAAACAGTGTGTTTCCAAACTCCTCTATGAAAAGAAAGGTTAAACTCTGTGAGTTGAACGCACACATCACAAAGCACTTTCTGAGAATGATTCTGTCTGGTTATTATACGAAGATATTTCCTTTTCTGCAATTGTCCTCAAATCGCTTGAAATCTCCACCTGAAAATGCCACAGCAAGAGTGTTTCAAATCTGCTCTCTCTAAAGCAAGGTTCAACTCTGTGAGTTGAATACACACAACACAAAAAAGTTACTGAGAACTCTTCTTAGTCTAGCATGAAAGGAAGAAACCCCATTTGCAACGAAGGCCTCAAAGAGGTCCAAATATCCACTTGCAGACATAACAAGCAGAGTGTTTCTAAACTGCTCTAAGAAAAGAAAGGTTAAATTCTGTGAGTTGAAGGCACACATCACAAAGTAGTTTCTGAGAATGATTCTGTCTAGTTTTTATTTGAAGATATTTCCTTTTCTACTGTTGGCATCAAATCGCTTGAAATCTCCACTTGCAAACTCCACAAAAAGAGTGTTTGAAATCTGCTCTGTGTAAAGGGACGTTCCACTCTGTGAGTTGAATACACACAGCACAAAGAAGTTACTGAGAATTCTTCTGTCTAGCATGAAATGAAGAAATCCCGTTTCCAACGAAGGCCTCAATGCGGTCCATATATCCACTTGCAGACTTTACAAACAGAGTGTTTCCAAACTGCTCTATGAAAAGAAAGGTTAAACTATGTGAGTTGAACGCACACATCACAAAGAATTTTCTGAGAATGATTCTGTCTGGTTTTTATTTGAAGATATTTCCCTTTCTACTGTTGGCATCAAATGGCTAGAAATCTCCACTTGCAAATTCCGCAAAAAGAGTGTTTCAAATCTGCTCTGTCTAAAGGGACGTTCCACTCTGTGAGTTGAATGCACACAACACAAAGAATTTACTGAGAATTCTTCCGTCTAGCATTCAATGAAGAAATCCCGTTTCCAACGAAGGCCTCAAACAGGTCCATATATCCACTTGCAGAGTTTACAAACAGTGTGTTTCCAAACTCCTCTATGAAAAGAAAGGTTAAACTCTGTGAGTGGAACGCACACATCACAAAGCACTTTCTGAGAATGATTCTGTCTGGTTATTATACGAAGATATTTCTTTTTCTGCAATTGTCCTCAAATCGCTTGAAATCTCCACCTGAAAATGCCACAGCAAGAGTGTTTCAAATCTGCTCTCTCTAAAGCAAGGTTCAACTCTGTGAGTTGAATACACACAACACAAAAAAGTTACTGAGAACTCTTCTTAGTCTAGCATGAAAGGAAGAAACCCCGTTTGCAACGAAGGCCTCAAAGAGGTCCAAATATCCACTTGCAGACATAACAAGCAGAGTGTTTCTAAACTGCTCTAAGAAAAGAAAGGTTAAACTCTGTGAGTTGAAGGCACACATCACAAAGTAGTTTCTGAGAATGATTCTGTCTAGTTTTTATTTGAAGATATTTCCTTTTCTACTGTTGGCATCAAATCGCTTGAAATCTCCACTTGCAAACTCCACAAAAAGAGTGTTTCAAATCTGCTCTGTGTAAAGGGACGTTCCACTCTGTGAGTTGAATACACACAGCACAAAGAAGTTACTGAGAATTCTTCTGTCTAGCATGAAATGAAGAAATCCCGTTTCCAACGAAGGCCTCAATGCGGTCCATATATCCACTTGCAGACTTTACAAACAGAGTGTTTCCAAACTGCTCTATGAAAAGAAAGGTTAAACTATGTGAGTTGAACGCACACATCACAAAGAATTTTCTGAGAATGATTCTGTCTGATTTTTATTTGAAGATATTTCCCTTTCTACTGTTGGCATCAAATGGCTTGAAATCTCCACTTCCAAATTTCGCAAAAAGAGTGTTTCAAATCTGCTCTGTCTAAAGGGACGGTTCCACTCGGCGAGTTGAATGCACACAACACAAAGAATTTACTGAGAATTCTTCCGTCTAGCATTCAATGAAGAAATCCCGTTTCCAACGAAGGCCTCAAACAGGTCCATATATCCAATTGCAGACTTTACAAACAGTGTGTTTCCACACTCCTCTATGAAAAGAAAGGTTAAACTCTGTGAGTTGAACGCACAAATCACAAAGCACTTTCTGAGAATGATTCTGTCTGGTTATTGTACGAAGATATTTCCTTTTCTGCAATTGTCCTCAAATCGCTTGAAATCTCCACCTGAAAATGCCACAGCAAGAGTGTTTCAAATCTGCTCTCTCTAAAGCAAGGTTCAACTCTGTGAGTTGAATACACACAACACAAAAAAGTTACTGAGAACTCTTCTTAGTCTAGCATGAAAGGAAGAAACCCCGTTTGCAACGAAGGCCTCAAAGAGGTCCAAATATCCACTTGCAGACATAACAAGCAGAGTGTTTCTAAACTGCTCTAAGAAAAGAAAGGTTAAACTCTGTGAGTTGAAGGCACACATCACAAAGTAGTTTCTGAGAATGATTCTGTCTAGTTTTTATTTGAAGATATTTCCTTTTCTACTGTTGGCATCAAATCGCTTGAAATCTCCACTTGCAAACTCCACAAAAAGAGTGTTTCAAATCTGCTCTGTGTAAAGGGACGTTCCACTCTGTGAGTTGAATACACACAGCACAAAGAAGTTACTGAGAATTCTTCTGTCTAGCATGAAATGAAGAAATCCCGTTTCCAACGAAGGCCTCAATGCGGTCCATATATCCACTTGCAGACTTTACAAACAGAGTGTTTCCAAACTGCTCTATGAAAAGAAAGGTTAAACTATGTGAGTTGAACGCTCACATCACAAAGAATTTTCTGAGAATGATTCTGTCTGGTTTTTATTTGAAGATATTTCCCTTTCTACTGTTGGCATCAAATGGCTAGAAATCTCCACTTGCAAATTCCGCAAAAAGAGTGTTTCAAATCTGCTCTGTCTAAAGGGACGTTCCACTCTGTGAGTTGAATGCACACAACACAAAGTATTTACTGAGAATTCTTCCGTCTAGCATTCAATGAAGAAATCCCGTTTCCAACGAAGGCCTCAAACAGGTCCATATATCCAATTGCAGACTTTACAAACAGTGTGTTTCCAAACTCCTCTATGAAAAGAAAGGTTAAACTCTGTGAGTTGAAGGCACACATCACAAAGTAGTTTCTGAGAATGATTCTGTCTGGTTATTATACGAAGATATTTCCTTTTCTGCAATTCTCCTCAAATCGCTTGAAATCTCCACCTGAAAATTCCACAGCGAGAGTGTTTCAAATCTGCTCTCTCTAAAGCAAGGTTCAACTCTGTGAGTTGAATACACACAACACAAAAAAGTTACTGAGAACTGTTCTTAGTCTAGCATTAAAGGAAGAAACCCCGTTTGCAACGAAGGCCTCAAAGAGGTCCAAATATCCACTTGCAGACATAACAAGCAGAGTGTTTCTAAACTGCTCTAAGAAAAGAAAGGTTAAACTCTGTGAGTTGAAGGCACACATCACAAAGTAGTTTCTGAGAATGATTCTGTCTAGTTTTTATTTGAAGATATTTCCTTTTCTACTGTTGGCATCAAATCGCTTGAAATCTCCACTTGCAAACTCCACAAAAAGAGTGTTTCAAATCTGCTCTGTGCAAAGGGACGTTCCACTCTGTGAGTTGAATACACACAGCACAAAGAAGTTACTGAGAATTCTTCTGTCTAGCATGAAATGAAGAAATACCGTTTCCAACGAAGGCCTCAATGCGGTCCATATATCCACTTGCAGACTTTACAAACAGAGTGTTTCCAAACTGCTCTATGAAAAGAAAGGTTAAACTATGTGAGTTGAACGCACACATCACTAAGAATTTTCTGAGAATGATTCTGTCTGGTTTTTATTTGAAGATATTTCCCTTTCTACTGTTGGCATCAAATGGCTAGAAATCTCCACTTGCAAATTCCGCAAAAAGAGTGTTTCAAATCTGCTCTGTCTAAAGGGACGTTCCACTCTGTCAGTTGAATGCACACAACACAAAGAATTTACTGAGAATTCTTCCGTCTAGCATTCAATGAAGAAATCCCGTTTCCAACGAAGGCCTCAAACAGGTCCATATATCCACTTGCAGACTTTACAAACAGTGTGTTTCCAAACTCCTCTATGGAAAGAAAAGTTAAACTCTGTGAGTTGAACGCACACATCACAAAGCACTTTCTGAGAATGATTCTTTCTGGTTATTATACGAAGATATTTCCTTTTCTGCAATTGTCCTCAAATCGCTTGAAATCTCCACCTGAAAATGTCACAGCAAGAGTGTTTCAAATCTGCTCTCTCTAAAGCAAGGTTCAACTCTGTGAGTTGAATACACACAACACAAAAAAGTTACTGAGAACTCTTCTTAGTCTAGCATGAAAGGAAGAAACCCCGTTTGCAACGAAGGCCTCAAAGAGGTCCAAATATCCACTTGCAGACATAACAAGCAGAGTGTTTCTAAACTGCTCTAAGAAAAGAAAGGTTAAACTCTGTGAGTTGAAGGCACACATCACAAAGTAGTTTCTGAGAATGATTCTGTCTAGTTTTTATTTGAAGATATTTCCTTTTCTACTGTTGGCATCAAATCGCTTGAAATCTCCACTAGCAAACTCCACAAAAAGAGTGTTTCAAATCTGCTCTGTGCAAAGGGACGTTCCACTCTGTGAGTTGAATACACACAGCACAAAGAAGTTACTGAGAATTCTTCTGTCTAGCATGAAATGAAGAAATCCCGTTTCCAACGAAGGCCTCAATGCGGTCCATATATCCACTTGCAGACTTTACAAACAGAGTGTTTCCAAACTGCTCTATGAAAAGAAAGGTTAAACTATGTGAGTTGAACGCACACATCACAAAGAATTTTCTGAGAATGATTCTGTCTGGTTTTTATTTGAAGATATTTCCCTTTCTACTGTTGGCATCAAATGGCTAGAAATCTCCACTTGCAAATTCCGCAAAAAGAGTGTTTCAAATCTGCTCTGTCTAAAGGGACGTTCCACTCTGTGAGTTGAATGCACACAACACAAAGAATTTACTGAGAATTCTTCCGTCTAGCATTCAATGAAGAAATCCCGTTTCCAACGAAGGCCTCAAACAGGTCCATGTATCCACTTGCAGACTTTACAAACAGTGTGTTTCCAAACTCCTCTATGAAAAGAAAGGTTAAACTCTGTGAGTTGAACGCACACATCACAAAGCACTTTCTGAGAATGATTCTGTCTGGTTATTATACGAAGATATTTCCTTTTCTGCAATTGTCCTCAAATCGCTTGAAATCTCCACCTGAAAATGCCACAGCAAGAGTGTTTCAAATCTGCTCTCTCTAAAGCAAGGTTCAACTCTGTGAGTTGAATACACACAACACAAAAAAGTTACTGAGAACTCTTCTTAGTCTAGCATTAAAGGAAGAAACGCCGTTTGCAACGAAGGCCTCAAAGAGGTCCAAATATCCACTTGCAGACATAACAACCAGAGTGTTTCTAAACTGCTCTAAGAAAAGAAAGGTTAAACTCTGTGAGTTGAAGGCACACATCACAAAGTAGTTTCTGAGAATGATTCTGTCTAGTTTTTATTTGAAGATATTTCCTTTTCTACTGTTGGCATCAAATCGCTTGAAATCTCCACTTGCAAACTCCACAAAAAGAGTGTTTCAAATCTGCTCTGTGTAAAGGGACGTTCCACTCTGTGAGTTGAATACACACAGCACAAAGAAGTTACTGAGAATTATTCTGTCTAGCATGAAATGAAGAAATCCCGTTTCCAACGAAGGCCTCAATGCGGTCCATATATCCACTTGCAGACTTTACAAACAGAGTGTTTCCAAACTGCTCTATGAAAAGAAAGGTTAAACTATGTGAGTTGAACGCACACATCACAAAGAATTTTCTGAGAATGATTCTGTCTAGTTTTTATTTGAAGATATTTCCCTTTGTACTGTTGGCATCAAATGGCTAGAAATCTCCACTTGCAACTTCCGCAAAAAGAGTGTTTCAAATCTGCTCTGTCTAAAGGGACGTTCCACTCTGTGAGTTGAATGCACACAACACAAAAAAGTTACTGAGAAGTCTTCTTAGTCTAGCATTAAAGGAAGAAACCCCGTTTGCAACGAAGGCCTCAAAGAGGTCCAAATATCCACTTGCAGACATAACAAGCAGAGTGTTTCTAAACTGCTCTAAGAAAAGAAAGGTTAAACTCTGTGAGTTGAAGGCACACATCACAAAGTAGTTTCTGAGAATGATTCTGTCTAGTTTTTATTTGAAGATATTTCCTTTTCAACTGTTGGCATCAAATCGCTTGAATTCTCCACTTTTAAATTCCACAAAAAGAGTGTTTCAAAACTGCTCTGTGTAATGGGACATTCCAATCTGTCAGTTGAATACACACAACACAAAGAAGTTACTGAGAATTCTTCTGTCTAGCATGAAATTAAGAAATCCCGTTTCCAACGAAGTCCTCAAAGCGGTCCATCTTTCCACTTGCAGACATTACCAACAGAGTGTTTCCAAACTGGTCTATGAAAAGAAAGGTTAAACTATGTGAGTTGAACGCACACATCACAAAGAATTTTATGAGGATGATTCTGTCTGGTTTTTATTTGAAGATATTTCCCTTTCTACAGTTGGCATCAAATGGCTAGAAATCTCCACTTGCAAATTCCGCAAAAAGAGTGTTTCAAATCTGCTCTGTCTAAAGGGACGTTCCACTCTCTCAGTTGAATGCACACAACACAAAGAATTTACTGAGAATTCTTCCGTCTAGCATTCAATGAAGAAATCCCGTTTCCAACGAAGGCCTCAAACAGGTCCATATATCCAATTGCAGACTTTACAAACAGTGTGTTTCCAAACTCCTCTATGAAAAGAAAGGTTAAACTCTGTGAGTTGAACGCACATATCACAAAGCACTTTCTGAGAATGATTCTGTCTGGTTATTATACGAAGATATTTCCTTTTCTGCAATTGTCCTCAAATCGCTTGAAATCTCCACCTGAAAATGCCACAGCAAGAGTGTTTCAAATCTGCTCTCTCTAAAGCAAGGTTCAACTCTGTGAGTTGAATACACACAACACAAAAAAGTTACTGAGAACTCTTCTTAGTCTAGCATGAAAGGAAGAAACCCCGTTTGCAACGAAGGCCTCAAAGAGGTCCAAATATCCACTTGCAGACATAACAAGCAGAGTGTTTCTAAACTGCTCTAAGAAAAGAAAGGTTAAACTCTGTGAGTTGAAGGCACACATCACAAAGTAGTTTCTGAGAATGATTCTGTCTAGTTTTTATTTGAAGATATTTCCTTTTCTACTGTTGGCATCAAATCGCTTGAAATCTCCACTTGCAAACTCCACAAAAAGAGTGTTTCAAATCTTCTCTGTGTAAAGGGACGTTCCACTCTGTGAGTTGAATACACACAGCACAAAGAAGTTACTGAGAATTCTTCTGTCTAGCATGAAATGAAGAAATCCCGTTTCCAACGAAGGCCTCAATGCGGTCCATAGATCCACTTGCAGACTTTACAAACAGAGTGTTTCCAAACTGCTCTATGAAAAGAAAGGTTAAACTATGTGAGTTGAACGCACACATCACAAAGAATTTTCTGAGAATGATTCTGTCTGGTTTTTATTTGAAGATATTTCCCTTTCTACTGTTGGCATCAAATGGCTAGAAATCTCCACTTGCAAATTCCGCAAAAAGAGTGTTTCAAATCTGCTCTGTCTAAAGGGACGTTCCACTCTGTGAGTTGAATGCACACAACACAAAGAATTTACTGAGAATTCTTCCGTCTAGCATTCAATGAAGAAATCCCGTTTCCAACGAAGGCCTCAAACAGGTCCATATATCCACTTGCAGACTTTACAAACAGTGTGTTTCCAAACTCCTCTATGAAAAGAAAGGTTAAACTCTGTGAGTTGAACGCACACATCACAAAGCACTTTCTGAGAATGATTCTGTCTGGTTATTATACGAAGATATTTCCTTTTCTGCAATTGTCCTCAAATCGCTTGAAATCTCCACCTGAAAATGCCACAGCAAGAGTGTTTCAAATCTGCTCTCTCTAAAGCAAGGTTCAACTCTGTGAGTTGAATACACACAACACAAAAAAGTTACTGAGAACTCTTCTTAGTCTAGCATGAAAGGAAGAAACCCCGTTTGCAACGAAGGCCTCAAAGAGGTCCAAATATCCACTTGCAGACATAACAAGCAGAGTGTTTCTAAACTGCTCTAAGAAAAGAAAGGTTAAACTCTGTGAGTTGAAGGCACACATCACAAAGTAGTTTCTGAGAATGATTCTGTCTAGTTTTTATTTGAAGATATTTCCTTTTCTACTGTTGGCATCAAATCGCTTGAAATCTCCACTTGCAAACTCCACAAAAAGAGTGTTTCAAATCTGCTCTGTGCAAAGGGACGTTCCACTCTGTGAGTTGAATACACACAGCACAAAGAAGTTACTGAGAATTCTTCTGTCTAGCATGAAATGAAGAAATCCCGTTTCCAACGAAGGCCTCAATGCGGTCCATATATCCACTTGCAGACTTTACAAACAGAGTGTTTCCAAACTGCTCTATGAAAAGAAAGGTTAAACTATGTGAGTTGAAAGCACACATCACAAAGAATTTTCTGAGAATGATTCTGTCTGGTTTTTATTTGAAGATATTTCCCTTTCTACTGTTGGCAACAAATGGCTAGAAATCTCCACTTGCAAATTCCACAAAAAGAGTGTTTCAAATCTGCTCTGTCTAAAGGGACGTTCCACTCTGTGAGTTGAATGCACACAACACAAAGAATTTACTGAGAATTCTTCCGTCTAGCATTCAATGAAGAAATCCCGTTTCCAACGAAGGCCTCAAACAGGTCCATATATCCAATTGCAGACTTTACAAACAGTGTGTTTCCAAACTCCTCTATGAAAAGAAAGGTTAAACTCTGTGAGTTGAACGCACACATCACAAAGCACTTTCTGAGAATGATTCTGTCTGGTTATTATACGAAGATATTTCCTTTTCTGCAATTGTCCTCAAATCGCTTGAAATCTCCACCTGAAAATTCCACAGCGAGAGTGTTTCAAATCTGCTCTCTCTAAAGCAAGGTTCAACTCTGTGAGTTGAATACACACAACACAAAAAAGTTGCTGAGAACTCTTCTTAGTCTAGCATGAAAGGAAGAAACCCCGTTTGCAACGAAGGCCTCAAAGAGGTCCAAATATCCACTTGCAGACATAACAAGCAGAGTGTTTCTAAACTGCTCTAAGAAAAGAAAGGTTAAACTCTGTGAGTTAAAGGCACACATCACAAAGTAGTTTCTGAGAATGATTCTGTCTATTTTTTATTTGAAGATATTTCCTTTTCTACTGTTGGCATCAAATCGCTTGAAATCTCCACTTGCAAACTCCACAAAAAGAGTGTTTCAAATCTGCTCTGTGCAAAGGGACGTTCCACTCTGTGAGTTGAATACACACAGCACAAAGAAGTTACTGAGAATTCTTCTGTCTAGCATGAAATGAAGAAATCCCGTTTCCAACGAAGGCCTCAATGCGGTCCATATATCCACTTGCAGACTTTACAAACAGAGTGTTTCCAAACTGCTCTATGAAAAGAAAGGTTAAACTATGTGAGTTGAAAGTACACATCACAAAGAATTTTCTGAGAATGATTCTGTCTGGTTTTTATTTGAAGATATTTCCCTTTCTACTGTTGACATCAAATGGGTAGAAATCTCCACTTGCAAATTCCGCAAAAAGAGTGTTTCAAATCTGCTCTGTCTAAAGGGACGTTCCACTCTGTGAGTTCAATGCACACAACACAAAGAATTTACTGAGAATTCTTCCCGTCTAGCATTCAATGAAGAAATCCCGTTTCCAACGAAGGCCTCAAACAGGTCCATATATCCACTTGCAGACTTTACAAACAGTGTGTTTCCAAACTCCTCTATGAAAAGAAAGGTTAAACTCTGTGAGTTGAACGCACACATCACAAAGCACTTTCTGAGAATGATTCTGTCTGGTTATTATACGAAGATATTTCCTTTTCTGCAATTGTCCTCAAATCGCTTGAAATCTCCACCTGAAAATGCCACAGCAAGAGTGTTTCAAATCTGCTCTCTCTAAAGCAAGGTTCAACTCTGTGAGTTGAATACACACAACACAAAAAAGTTACTGAGAACTCTTCTTAGTCTAGCATGAAAGGAAGAAACCCCGTTTGCAACGAAGGCCTCAAAGAGGTCCAAATATCCACTTGCAGACATAACAAGCAGAGTGTTTCTAAACTGCTCTAAGAAAAGAAAGGTTAAACTCTGTGAGTTGAACGCACACATCACAAAGCACTTTCTGAGAATGATTCTGTCTAGTTTTTATTTGAAGATATTTCCTTTTCTACTGTTGGCATCAAATCGCTTGAAATCTCCACTTGCAAACTCCACAAAAAGAGTGTTTCAAATCTGCTCTGTGTAAAGGGACGTTCCACTCTGTGAGTGGAATACACACAGCACAAAGAAGTTACTGAGAATTCTTCTGTCTAGCATGAAATGAAGAAATCCCGTTTCCAACGAAGGCCTCAATGCGGTCCATATATCCACTTGCAGACTTTACAAACAGAGTGTTTCCAAACTGCTCTATGAAAAGAAAGGTTAAACTATGTGAGTTGAACGCACACATCACAAAGAATTTTCTGAGAATGATTCTGTCTGGTTTTTATTTGAAGATATTTCCCTTTCTACTGTTGGCATCAAATGGCTAGAAATCTCCACTTGCAAATTCCGCAAAAAGAGTGTTTCAAATCTGCTCTGTCTAAAGGGACGTTCCACTCTGTGAGTTGAATGCACACAACACAAAGAATTTACTGAGAATTCTTCCGTCTAGCATTCAATGAAGAAATCCCGTTTCCAACGAAGGCCTCAAACAGGTCCATATATCCAATTGCAGACTTTACAAACAGTGTGTTTTCAAACTCCTCTATGAAAAGAAAGGTTAAGCTCTGTGAGTTGAACGCACACATCACAAAGCACTTTCTGAGAATGATTCTGTCTGGTTGTTATACGAAGATATTTCCTTTTCTGTAATTGTCCTCAAATCGCTTGAAATCTCCACCTGAAAATGCCACAGCAAGAGTGTTTCAAATCTGCTCTCTCTAAAGCAAGGTTCAACTCTGTGAGTTGAATACACACAACACAAAAAAGTTACTGAGAACTCTTCTTAGTCTAGCATGAAAGGAAGAAACCCCGTTTGCAACGAAGGCCTCAAAGAGGTCCAAATATCCACTTGCAGACATAACAAGCAGAGTGTTTCTAAACTGCTCTAAGAAAAGAAAGGTTAAACTCTGTGAGTTGAAGGCACACATCACAAAGTAGTTTCTGAGAATGATTCTGTCTAGTTTTTATTTGAAGATATTTCCTTTTCTACTGTTGGCATCAAATCGCTTGAAATCTCCACTTGCAAATTCCACAAAAAGAGTGTTTCAAATCTGCTCTGTGCAAAGGGACGTTCCACTCTGTGAGTTGAATACACACAGCACAAAGAAGTTACTGAGAATTCTTCGGTCTAGCATGAAATGAAGAAATCCCGTTTCCAACGAAGGCCTCAATGCGGTCCATATATCCACTTGCAGACTTTACAAACAGAGTGTTTCCAAACTGCTCTATGAAAAGAAAGGTTAAACTATGTGAGTTGAACGCACACATCACAATGAATTTTCTGAGAATGATTCTGCCTGGTTTTTATTTGAAGATATTTCCCTTTCTACTGTTGGCATCAAATGGCTAGAAATCTCCACTTGCAAATTCCGCAAAAAGAGTGTTTCAAATCTGCTCTGTCTAAAGGGACGTTCCACTCTGTGAGTTGAATGCACACAACACAAAGAATTTACTGAGAATTCTTCCGTCTAGCATTCAATGAAGAAATCCCGTTTCCAACGAAGGCCTCAAACAGGTCCATATATCCACTTGCAGACTTTACAAACAGTGTGTTTCCAAACTCCTCTATGAAAAGAAAGGTTAAACTCTGTGAGTGGAACACACACATCACAAAGCACTTTCTGAGAATGATTCTGTCTGGTTATTATACGAAGATATTTCCTTTTCTGCAATTGTCCTCAAAACGCTTGAAATCTCCACCTGAAAATGCCACAGCAAGAGTGTTTCAAATCTGCTCTCTCTAAAGCAAGGTTCAACTCTGTGAGTTGAATACACACAACACAAAAAAGTTACTGAGAACTCTTCTTAGTCTAGCATGAAAGGAAGAAACCCCGTTTGCAACGAAGGCCTCAAAGAGGTCCAAATATCCACTTGCAGACATAACAAGCAGAGTGTTTCTAAACTGCTCTAAGAAAAGAAAGGTTAAACTCTGTGAGTTGAGGGCACACATCACAAAGAAGTTTCTGAGAATGATTCTGTCTAGTTTTTATTTGAAGATAATTCCTTTTCTACTGTTGGCATCAAATCGCTTGAAATCTCCACTTGCAATTTCCACAAAAAGAGTGTTTCAAATCTGCTCTGTGTAAAGGAACGTTCCACTCTGTGAGGTGAATACACACAGCACAAAGTAGTTACTGAGAATTCTTCTGTCTAGCATGAAATGAAGAAATCCCGTTTCCAACGAAGGCCTCAATGCGGTCCATATATCCACTTGCAGACTTTACAAACAGAGTGTTTCCAAACTGCTCTATGAAAAGAAAGGTTAAACTATGTGAGTTGAACGCACACATCACAAAGAATTTTCTGAGAATGATTCTGTCTGGTTTTTATTTGAAGATATTTCCCTTTCTACTGTTGGCATCAAATGGCTAGAAATCTCCACTTGCAAATTCCGCAAAAAGAGTGTTTCAAATCTGCTCTGTCTAAAGGGACGTTCCACTCTGTGAGTTGAATGCACACAACACAAAGAATTTACTGAGAATTCTTCCGTCTAGCATTCAATGAAGAAATCCCGTTTCCAACGAAGGCCTCAAAGAGGTCCATATATCCACTTGCAGACTTTACAAACAGTGTGTTTCCAAACTCCTCTATGAAAAGAAAGGTTAAACTCTGTGAGTGGAACGCACACATCACAAAGCACTTTCTGAGAATGATTCTGTCTGGTTATTATACGAAGATATTTCCTTTTCTGCAATTGTCCTCAAAACGCTTGAAATCTCCACCTGAAAATGCCACAGCAAGAGTGTTTCAAATCTGCTCTCTCTAAAGCAAGGTTCAACTCTGTGAGTTGAATACACACAACACAAAAAAGTTACTGAGAACTCTTCTTAGTCTAGCATGTAAAGGAAGAAACCCCGTTTGCAACGAAGGCCTCAAAGAGGTCCAAATATCCACTTGCAGACATAACAAGCAGAGTGTTTCTAAAGTGCTCTAAGAAAAGAAAGGTTAAACTCTGTGAGTTGAAGGCACACATCACAAAGTAGTTTCTGAGAATGATTCTGTCTAGTTTTTATTTGAAGATATTTCCTTTTCTACTGTTGGCATCAAATCGCTTGAAATCTCCACTTGCAAATTCCACAAAAAGAGTGTTTCTAATCTGCTCTGTGCAAAGGGACGTTCCACTCTGTGAGTTGAATACACACAGCACAAAGAAGTTACTGAGAATTCTTCTGTCTAGCATGAAATGAAGAAATCCCGTTTCCAACGAAGGCCTCAATGCGGTCCATATATCCACTTGCAGACTTTACAAACAGAGTGTTTCCAAACTGCTCTATGAAAAGAAAGGTTAAACTATGTGAGTTGAACGCACACATCACAAAGAATTTTCTGAGAATGATTCTGTCTGGTTTTTATTTGAAGATATTTCCCTTTCTACTGTTGGCATCAAATGGCTAGAAATCTCCACTTGCAAATTCCGCAAAAAGAGTGTTTCAAATCTGCTCTGTCTAAAGGGACGTTCCACTCTGTGAGTTGAATGCACACAACACAAAGAATTTACTGAGAATTCTTCCGTCTAGCATTCAATGAAGAAATCCCGTTTCCAACGAAGGCCTCAAACAGGTCCATATATCCAATTGCAGACTTTACAAACAGTGTGTTTCCAAACTCCTCTATGAAAAGAAAGGTTAAACTCTGTGAGTTGAACGCACACATCACAAAGCACTTTCTGAGAATGATTCTGTCTGGTTATTATACGAAGATATTTCCTTTTCTGCAATTGTCCTCAAATCGCTTGAAATCTCCACCTGAAAATGCCACAGCAAGAGTGTTTCAAATCTGCTCTCTCTAAAGCAAGGTTCAACTCTGTGAGTTGAATACACACAACACAAAAAAGTTACTGAGAACTCTTCTTAGTCTAGCATGAAAGGAAGAAACCCCGTTTGCAACGAAGGCCTCAAAGAGGTCCAAATATCCACTTGCAGACATAACAAGCAGAGTGTTTCTAAACTGCTCTAAGAAAAGAAAGGTTAAACTCTGTGAGTTGAAGGCACACATCACAAAGTAGTTTCTGAGAATGATTCTGTCTAGTTTTTATTTGAAGATATTTCCTTTTCTACTGTTGGCATCAAATCGCTTGAAATCTCCACTTGCAAATTCCACAAAAAGAGTGTTTCAAATCTGCTCTGTGCAAAGGGACGTTCCACTCTGTGAGTTGAATACACACAGCACAAAGAAGTTACTGAGAATTCTTCTGTCTAGCATGAAATGAAGAAATCCCGTTTCCAACGAAGGCCTCAATGCGGTCCATATATCCACTTGCAGACTTTACAAACAGAGTGTTTCCAAACTGCTCTATGAAAAGAAAGGTTAAACTATGTGAGTTGAACGCACACATCACAAAGAATTTTCTGAGAATGATTCTGTCTGGTTTTTATTTGAAGATATTTCCCTTTCTACTGTTGGCATCAAATGGCTAGAAATCTCCACTTGCAAATTCCGCAAAAAGAGTGTTTCAAATCTGCTCTGTCTAAAGGGACGTTCCACTCTGTGAGTTGAATGCACACAACACAAAGAATTTACTGAGAATTCTTCCGTCTAGCATTCAATGAAGAAATCCCGTTTCCAACGAAGGCCTCAAAGAGGTCCATATATCCACTTGCAGACTTTACAAACAGTGTGTTTCCAAACTCCTCTATGAAAAGAAAGGTTAAACTCTGTGAGTGGAACGCACACATCACAAAGCACTTTCTGAGAATGATTATCTGTCTGGTTATTATACGAAGATATTTCCTTTTCTGCAATTGTCCTCAAATCGCTTGAAATCTCCACCTGAAAATGCCACAGCAAGAGTGTTTCAAATCTGCTCTCTCTAAAGCAAGGTTCAACTCTGTGAGTTGAATACACACAACACAAAAAAGTTACTGAGAACTCTTCTTAGTCTAGCATGAAAGGAAGAAACCCCGTTTGCAACGAAGGCCTCAAAGAGGTCCAAATATCCACTTGCAGACATAACAAGCAGAGTGTTTCTAAACTGCTCTAAGAAAAGAAAGGTTAAACTCTGTGAGTTGAAGGCACACATCACAAAGTAGTTTCTGAGAATGATTCTGTCTAGTTTTTATTTGAAGATATTTCCTTTTCTACTGTTGGCATCAAATCGCTTGAAATCTCCACTTGCAAACTCCACAAAAAGAGTGTTTCAAATCTGCTCTGTGCAAAGGGACGTTCCACTCTGTGAGTTGAATACACACAGCACAAAGAAGTTACTGAGAATTCTTCTGTCTAGCATGAAATGAAGAAATCCCGTTTCCAACGAAGGCCTCAATGCGGTCCATATATCCACTTGCAGACTTTACAAACAGAGTGTTTCCAAACTGCTCTATGAAAAGAAAGGTTAAACTATGTGAGTTGAACGCACACATCACAAAGAATTTTCTGAGAATGATTCTGTCTGGTTTTTATTTGAAGATATTTCCCTTTCTACTGTTGGCATCAAATGGCTAGAAATCTCCACTTGCAAATTCCGCAAAAAGAGTGTTTCAAATCTGCTCTGTCTAAAGGGACGTTCCACTCTGTGAGTTGAATGCACACAACACAAAGAATTTACTGAGAATTCTTCCGTCTAGCATTCAATGAAGAAATCCCGTTTCCAACGAAGGCCTCAAACAGGTCCATATATCCAATTGCAGACTTTACAAACAGTGTGTTTCCAAACTCCTCTATGAAAAGAAAGGTTAAACTCTGTGAGTTGAACGCACACATCACAAAGCACTTTCTGAGAATGATTCTGTCTGGTTATTATATGAAGATATTTCCTTTTCTGCAATTGTCCTCAAATCGCTTGAAATCTCCACCTGAAAATGCCACAGCAAGAGTGTTTCAAATCTGCTCTCTCTAAAGCAAGTTTCAACTCTGTGAGTTGAATACACACAACACAAAAAAGTTACTGAGAACTCTTCTTAGTCTAGCATGAAAGGAAGAAACCCCGTTTGCAACGAAGGCCTCAAAGAGGTCCAAATATCCACTTGCAGACATAACAAGCAGAGTGTTTCTAAACTGCTCTAAGAAAAGAAAGGTTAAACTCTGTGAGTTGAAGGCACACATCACAAAGTAGTTTCTGAGAATGATTCTGTCTAGTTTTTATTTGAAGATATTTCCTTTTCTACTGTTGGCATCAAATCGCTTGAAATCTCCACTTGCAAACTCCACAAAAAGAGTGTTTCAAATCTCCTCTGTGTAAAGGGACGTTCCACTCTGTGAGTTGAATACACACAGCACAAAGAAGTTACTGAGTATTCTTCTGTCTAGCATGAAATGAAGAAATCCCGTTTCCAACGAAGGCCTCAATGCGGTCCATATATCCACTTGCAGACTTTACAAACAGAGTGTTTCCAAACTGCTCTATGAAAAGAAAGGTTAAACTATGTGAGTTGAACGCACACATCACAAAGAATTTTCTGAGAATGATTCTGTCTGGTTTTTATTTGAAGATATTTCCCTTTCTACTGTTGGCATCAAATGGCTAGAAATCTCCACTTGCAAATTCCGCAAAAAGAGTGTTTCAAATCTGCTCTGTCTAAAGGGACGTTCCACTCTGTGAGTTGAATGCACACAACACAAAGAATTTACTGAGAATTCTTCCGTCTAGCATTCAATGAAGAAATCCCGTTTCCAACGAAGGCCTCAAAGAGGTCCATATATCCACTTGCAGAGTTTACAAACAGTGTGTTTCCAAACTCCTCTATGAAAAGAAAGGTTAAACTCTGTGAGTGGAACGCACACATCACAAAGCACTTTCTGAGAATGATTCTGTCTGGTTATTATACGAAGATATTTCCTTTTCTGCAATTGTCCTCAAAACGCTTGAAATCTCCACCTGAAAATGCCACAGCAAGAGTGTTTCAAATCTGCTCTCTCTAAAGCAAGGTTCAACTGTGTGAGTTGAATACACACAACACAGAAAAGTTACTGAGAACTCTTCTTAGTCTAGCATGAAAGGAAGAAACCCCGTTTGCAACGAAGGCCTCAAAGAGGTCCAAATATCCACTTGCAGACATAACAAGCAGAGTGTTTCTAAACTGCTCTAAGAAAAGAAAGGTTAAACTCTGTGAGTTGAAGGCACACATCACAAAGTAGTTTCTGAGAATGATTCTGTCTAGTTTTTATTTGAAGATATTTTCCTTTTCTACTGTTGGCATCAAATCGCTTGAAATCTCCACTTGCAAATTCCACAAAAAGAGTGTTTCAAATCTGCTCTGTGCAAAGGGACGTTCCACTCTGTGAGTTGAATACACACAGCACAAATAAGTTACTGAGAATTCTTCTGTCTAGCATGAAATGAAGAAATCCCGTTTCCAACGAAGGCCTCAATGCGGTCCATATATCCACTTGCAGACTTTACAAACAGAGTGTTTCCAAACTGCTCTATGAAAAGAAAGGTTAAACTATGTGAGTTGAACGCACACATCACAAAGAATTTTCTGAGAATGATTCTGTCTGGTTTTTATTTGAAGATATTTCCGTTTCTACTGTTGGCATCAAATGGCTAGAAATCTCCACTTGCAAATTCCGCAAAAAGAGTGTTTCAAATCTGCTCTGTCTAAAGGGACGTTCCACTCTGTGAGTTGAATGCACACAACACAAAGAATTTACTGAGAATTCTTCCGTCTAGCATTCAATGAAGAAATCCCGTTTCCAACGAAGGCCTCAAACAGGTCCATATATCCACTTGCAGACTTTACAAACAGTGTGTTTCCAAACTCCTCTATGAAAAGAAAGGTTAAACTCTGTGAGTTGAACGCACACATCACAAAGCACTTTCTGAGAATGATTCTGTCTGGTTATTATACGAAGATACTTCCTTTTCTGCAGTTGTCCTCAAATCGCTTGAAATCTCCACCTGAAAATGCCACAGCAAGAGTGTTTCAAATCTGCTCTCTCTAAAGCAAGGTTCAACTCTGTGAGTTGAATACACACAACACAAAAAAGTTACTGAGAACTCTTCTTAGTCTAGCATGAAAGGAAGAAACCCCGTTTGCAACGAAGGCCTCAAAGAGGTCCAAATATCCACTTGCAGACATAACAAGCAGAGTGTTTCTAAACTGCTCTAAGAAAAGAAAGGTTAAACTCTGTGAGTTGAAGGCACACATCACAAAGTAGTTTCTGAGAATGATTCTTCCTAGTTTTTATTTGAAGATATTTCCTTTTCTACTGTTGGCATCAAATCGCTTGAAATCTCCACTTGCAAACTCCACAAAAAGAGTGTTTCAAATCTGCTCTGTGCAAAGGGACGTTCCACTCTGTGAGTTGAATACACACAGCACAAAGAAGTTACTGAGAATTCTTCTGTCTAGCATGAAATGAAGAAATCCCGTTTCCAACGAAGGCCTCAATGAGGTCCATATATCCACTTGCAGACTTTACAAACAGAGTGTTTCCAAACTGCTCTATGAAAAGAAAGGTTAAACTATGTGAGTTGAACGCACACATCACAAAGAATTTTCTGAGAATGATTCTGTCTGGTTTTTATTTGAAGATATTTCCCTTTCTACTGTTGGCATCAAATGGCTAGAAATCTCCACTTGCAAATTCCGCAAAAAGAGTGTTTCAAATCTGCTCTGTCTAAAGGGACGTTCCACTCTGTGAGTTGAATGCACACAACACAAAGAATTTACTGAGAATTCTTCCGTCTAGCATTCAATGAAGAAATCCCGTTTCCAACGAAGGCCTCAAACAGGTCCATATATCCAATTGCAGACTTTACAAACAGTGTGTTTCCAAACTCCTCTATGAAAAGAAAGGTTAAACTCTGTGAGTGGAATGCACACATCACAAAGCACTTTCTGAGAATGATTCTGTCTGGTTGTTATACAAAGATATTTCCTTTTCTGCAATTGTCCTCAAATCGCTTGAAATCTCCACCTGAAAATGTCACAGCAAGAGTGTTTCAAATCTGCTCTCTCTAAAGCAAGGTTCAACTCTGTGAGTTGAATACACACAACACAGAAAAGTTACTGAGAACTCTTCTTAGTCTAGCATGAAAGGAAGAAACCCCGTTTGCAACGAAGGCCTCAAAGAGGTCCAAATATCCACTTGCAGACATAACAAGCAGAGTGTTTCTAAACTGCTCTAAGAAAAGAAAGGTTAAACTCTGTGAGTTGAAGGCACACATCACAAAGTAGTTTCTGAGAATGATTCTGTCTAGTTTTTATTTGAAGATATTTCCTTTTCTACTGTTGGCATCAAATCGCTTGAAATCTCCACTTGCAAACTCCACAAAAAGAGTGTTTCAAATCTGCTCTGTGTAAAGGGACGTTCCACTCTGTGAGTTGAATACACACAGCACAAAGAAGTTACTGAGAATTCTTCTGTCTAGCACGAAATGAAGAAATCCCGTTTCCAACGAAGGCCTCAATGCGGTCTATATATCCACTTGCAGACTTTACAAACAGAGTGTTTCCAAACTGCTCTATGAAAAGAAAGGTTAAACTATGTGAGTTGAACGCACACATCACAAAGAATTTTCTGAGAATGATTCTGTCTGGTTTTTATTTGAAGATATTTCCCTTTCTACTGTTGGCATCAAATGGCTAGAAATCTCCACTTGCAAATTCCGCAAAAAGAGTGTTTCAAATCTGCTCTGTCTAAAGGGACAGTTCCACTCTGTCAGTTGAATGCACACAACACAAAGAATTTACTGAGAATTCTTCCGCCTAGCATTCAATGAAGAAATCCCGTTTCCAAGGAAGGCCTCAAACAGGTCCATATATCCAATTGCAGACTTTACAAACAGTGTGTTTCCAAACTCCTCTATGAAAAGAAAGGTTAAACTCTGTGAGTTGAACGCACACATCACAAAGCACTTTCTGAGAATGATTTCTGTCTGGTTATTATACGAAGATATTTCCTTTTCTGCAATTGTCCTCAAATCGCTTGAAATCTCCACCTGAAAATGCCACAGCAAGAGTGTTTCAAATCTGCTCTCTCTAAAGCAAGGTTCAACTCTGTGAGTTAAATACACACAACACAAAAAAGTTACTGAGAACTCTTCTTAGTCTAGCATGAAAGGAAGAAACCCCGTTTGCAACGAAGGCCTCAAAGAGGTCCAAATATCCACTTGCAGACATAACAAGCAGAGTGTTTCTAAACTGCTCTAAGAAAAGAAAGGTTAAACTCTGTGAGTTGAAGGCACACATCACAAAGTAGTTTCTGAGAATGATTCTGTCTAGTTTTTATTTGAAGATATTTCCTTTTCTACTGTTGGCATCAAATCGCTTGAAATCTCCACTTGCAAACTCCACAAAAAGAGTGTTTCAAATCTGCTCTGTGCAAAGGGACGTTCCACTCTGTGAGTTGAATACACACAGCACAAAGAAGTTACTGAGAATTCTTCTGTCTAGCATGAAATGAAGAAATCCCGTTTCCAACGAAGGCCTCAATGCGGTCCATATATCCACTTGCAGACTTTACAAACAGAGTGTTTCCAAACTGCTCTATGAAAAGAAAGGTTAAACTATGTGAGTTGAACGCACACATCACAAAGAATTTTCTGAGAATGATTCTGTCTGGTTTTTATTTGAAGATATTTCCCTTTCTACTGTTGGCATCAAATGGCTAGAAATCTCCACTTGCAAATTCCGCAAAAAGAGTGTTTCAAATCTGCTCTGTCTAAAGGGACGTTCCACTCTGTGAGTTGAACGCACACAACACAAAGAATTTACTGAGAATTCTTCCGTCTAGCATTCAATGAAGAAATCCCGTTTCCAACGAAGGCCTCAAACAGGTCCATATATCCACTTGCAGAGTTTACAAACAGTTTGTTTCCAAACTCCTCTATGAAAAGAAAGGTTAAACTCTGTGAGTGGAACGCACACATCACAAAGCACTTTCTGAGAATGATTCTGTCTGGTTATTATACGAAGATATTTCCTTTTCTGCAATTGTCCTCAAATCGCTTGAAATCTCCACCTGAAAATGCCACAGCAAGAGTGTTTCAAATCTGCTCTCTCTAAAGCAAGGTTCAACTCTGTGAGTTGAATACACACAACACAAAAAAGTTACTGAGAACTCTTCTTAGTCTAGCATGAAAGGAAGAAATCCCGTTTGCAACGAAGGCCTCAAAGAGGTCCAAATATCCACTTGCAGACATAACAAGCAGAGTGTTTCTAAACTGCTCTAAGAAAAGAAAGGTTAAACTCTGTGAGTTGAAGGCACACATCACAAAGTAGTTTCTGAGAATGATTCTGTCTAGTTTTTATTTGAAGATATTTCCTTTTCTACTGTTGGCATCAAATCGCTTGAAATCTCCACTTGCAAACTCCACAAAAAGAGTGTTTCAAATCTGCTCTGTGTAAAAGGACGTTCCACTCTGTGAGTTGAATACACACAGCACAAAGAAGTTACTGAGAATTCTTCTGTCTAGCATGAAATGAAGAAATCCCGTTTCCAACGAAGGCCTCAATGCGGTCCATATATCCACTTGCAGACTTTACAAACAGAGTGTTTCCAAACTGCTCTATGAAAAGAAAGGTTAAACTATGTGAGTTGAACGCACACATCACAAAGAATTTTCTGAGAATGATTCTGTCTGGTTTTTATTTGAAGATATTTCCCTTTCTACTGTTGGCATCAAATGGCTAGAAATCTCCACTTGCAAATTCCGCAAAAAGAGTGTTTCAAATCTGCTCTGTCTAAAGGGACGTTCCACTCTGTGAGTTGAATGCACACAACACAAAGAATTTACTGAGAATTCTTCCGTCTAGCATTCAATGAAGAAATCCCGTTTCCAACGAAGGCCTCAAACAGGTCCATATATCCACTTGCAGACTTTACAAACAGTGTGTTTCCAAACTCCTCTACGAAAAGAAAGGTTAAACTCTGTGAGTGGAACGCACACATCACAAAGCACTTTCTGAGAATGATTCTGTCTGGTTATTATACGAAGATATTTCCTTTTCTGCAATTGTCCTCAAATCGCTTGAAATCTCCACCTGAAAATGCCACAGCAAGAGTGTTTCAAATCTGCTCTCTCTAAAGCAAGGTTCAACTCTGTGAGTTGAATACACACAACACAAAAAAGTTACTGAGAACTCTTCTTAGTCTAGCATGAAAGGAAGAAACCCCGTTTGCAACGAAGGCCTCAAAGAGGTCCAAATATCAACTTGCAGACATAACAAGCAGAGTGTTTCTAAGCTGCTCTCAGAAAAGAAAGGTTAAACTCGGTGAGTTGAAGGCACACATCACAAAGTAGTTTCTGAGAATGATTCTCTGTCTAGTTTTTATTTGAAGATATTTCCTTTTCTACTGTTGGCATCAAATCGCTTGAAATCTCCACTTGCAAACTCCACAAAAAGAGTGTTTCAAATCTGCTCTGTGCAAAGGGACGTTCCACTCTGTGAGTTGAATACACAGAGCACAAAGAAGTTACTGAGAATTCTTCTGTCTAGCATGAAATGAAGAAATCCCGTTTCCAACGAAGGCCTCAATGCGGTCCATATATCCACTTGCAGACTTTACAAACAGAGTGTTTCCAAACTGCTCTATGAAAAGAAAGGTTAAACTATGTGAGTTGAACGCACACATCACAAAGAATTTTCTGAGAATGATTCTGTCTGGTTTTTATTTGAAGATATTTCCCTTTCTACTGTTGGCATCAAATGGCTAGAAATCTCCAGTTGCAAATTCCGCAAAAAGAGTGTTTCAAATCTGCTCTGTCTAAAGGGACGTTCCACTCTGTGAGTTGAATGCACACATCACAAAGAATTTACTGAGAATTCTTCCGTCTAGCATTCAATGAAGAAATCCCGTTTCCAACGAAGGCCTCAAACAGGTCCATATATCCACCTGCAGACTTTACTAACAGTGTGTTTCCAAACTCCTCTATGAAAAGAAAGGTTAAACTCTGTGAGTTGAACGCACACATCACAAAGCACTTTCTGAGAATGATTCTGTCTGGTTATTATACGAAGATATTTCCTTTTCTGCAATTGTCCTCAAATCGCTTGAAATCTCCACCTGAAAATGCCACAGCAAGAGTGTTTCAAATCTGCTCTCTCTAAAGCAAGGTTCAACTCTGTGAGTTGAATACACACAACACAAAAAAGTTACTGAGAACACTTCTTAGTCTAGCATGAAAGGAAGAAACCCCGTTTGCAACGAAGGCCTCAAAGAGGTCCAAATATCCACTTGCAGACATAACAAGCAGAGTGTTTCTAAACTGCTCTAAGAAAAGAAAGGTTAAACTCTGTGAGTTAAAGGCACACATCACAAAGTAGTTTCTGAGAATGATTCTGTCTAGTTTTTATTTGAAGATATTTCCTTTTCTACTGTTGGCATCAAATCGCTTGAAATCTCCACTTGCAAACTCCACAAAAAGAGTGTTTCAAATCTGCTCTGTGTAAAGGGACGTTCCACTCTGTGAGTTGAATACACACAGCACAAAGAAGTTACTGAGAATTCTTCTGTCTAGCATGAAATGAAGAAATCCCGTTTCCAACGAAGGCCTCAATGCGGTCCATATATCCACTTGCAGACTTTACAAACAGAGTGTTTCCAAACTGCTCTATGAAAAGAAAGGTTAAACTATGTGAGTTGAACGCACACATCACAAAGAATTTTCTGAGAATGATTCTGTCTGGTTTTTATTTGAAGATATTTCCCTTTCTACTGTTGGCATCAAATGGCTAGAAATCTCCACTTGCAAATTCCGCAAAAAGAGTGTTTCAAATCTGCTCTGTCTAAAGGGACGTTCCACTCTGTGAGTTGAATGCACACAACACAAAGAATTTACTGAGAATTCTTCCGTCTAGCATTCAATGAAGAAATCCCGTTTCCAACGAAGGCCTCAAACAGGTCCATATATCCAATTGCAGACTTTACAAACAGTGTGTTTCCAAACTCCTCTATGAAAAGAAAGGTTAAACTCTGTGAGTTGAACGCACACAACACAAAGCACTTTCTGAGAATGATTCTGTCTGGTTATTATACGAAGATATTTCCTTTTCTGCAATTGTCCTCAAATCGCTTGAAATCTCCACCTGAAAATGCCACAGCAAGAGTGTTTCAAATCTGCTCTCTCTAAAGCAAGGTTCAACTCTGTGAGTTGAATACACACAACACAAAAAAGTTACTGAGAACTCTTCTTAGTCTAGCATTAAATGAAGAAACCCCGTTTGCAACGAAGGCCTCAAAGAGGTCCAAATATCAACTTGCAGACATAACAAGCAGAGTGTTTCTAAGCTGCTCTCAGAAAAGAAAGGTTAAACTCGGTGAGTTGAAGGCACACATCACAAAGTAGTTTCTGAGAATGATTCTGTCTAGTTTTTATTTGAAGATACTTCCTTTTCTACTGTTGGCATCAAATCGCTTGAAATCTCCACTTGCAAACTCCACAAAAAGAGTGTTTCAAATCTGCTCTGTGCAAAGGGACGTTCCACTCTGTGAGTTGAATACACACAGCACAAAGAAGTTACTGAGAATTCTTCTGTCTAGCATGAAATGAAGAAATCCCGTTTCCAACGAAGGCCTCAATGCGGTCCATATATCCACTTGCAGACTTTACAAACAGAGTGTTTCCAAACTGCTCTATGAAAAGAAAGGTTAAACTATGTGAGTTGAACGCACACATCACAAAGAATTTTCTGAGAATGATTCTGTCTGGTTTTTATTTGAAGATATTTCCCTTTCTACTGTTGGCATCAAATGGCTAGAAATCTCCACTTGCAAATTCCGCAAAAAGAGTGTTTCAAATCTGCTCTGTCTAAAGGGACGTTCCACTCTGTGAGTTGAATGCACACAACACAAAGAATTTACTGAGAATTCTTCCGTCTAGCATTCAATGAAGAAATCCCGTTTCCAACGAAGGCCTCAAACAGGTCCATATATCCAATTGCAGACTTTACAAACAGTGTGTTTCCAAACTCCTCTATGAAAAGAAAGGTTAAACTCTGTGAGTTGAACGCACACATCACAAAGCACTTTCTGAGAATGATTCTGTCTGGTTATTATACGAAGATATTTCCTTTTCTGCAATTGTCCTCAAATCGCTTGAAATCTCCACGTGAAAATGCCACAGCAAGAGTGTTTCAAATCTGCTCTCTCTAAAGCAAGGTTCAACTCTGTGAGTTGAATACACACAACACAAAAAAGTTACTGAGAACTCTTCTTAGTCTAGCATGAAAGGAAGAAACCCCGTTTGCAACGAAGGCCTCAAAGAGGTCCAAATATCCACTTGCAGACATAACAAGCAGAGTGTTTCTAAACTGCTCTAAGAAAAGAAAGGTTAAACTCTGTGAGTTGAAGGCACACATCACAAAGTAGTTTCTGAGAATGATTCTGTCTAGTTTTTATTTGAAGATATTTCCTTTTCTACTGTTGGCATCAAATCGCTTGAAATATCCACTTGCAAACTCCACAAAAAGAGTGTTTCAAATCTGCTCTGTGCAAAGGGACGTTCCACTCTGTGAGTTGAATACACACAGCACAAAGAAGTTACTGAGAATTCTTCTGTCTAGCATGAAATGAAGAAATCCCGTTTCCAACGAAGGCCTCAATGCGGTCTATATATCCACTTGCAGACATCACAAACAGAGTGTTTCCAAACTGCTCTATGAAAAGAAAGGTTAAACTATGTGAGTTGAACGCACACATCACAAAGAATTTTCTGAGAATGATTCTGTCTGGTTTTTATTTGAAGATATTTCCCTTTCTACTGTTGGCATCAAATGGCTAGAAATCTCCACTTGCAAATTCCGCAAAAAGAGTGTTTCAAATCTGCTCTGTCTAAAGGGACGTTCCACTCTGTGAGTTGAATGCACACAACACAAAGAATTTACTGAGAATTCCTCCGCCTAGCATTCAATGAAGAAATCCCGTTTCCAACGAAGGCCTCAAACAGGTCCATATATCCACTTGCAGACTTTACAAACAGTGTGTTTCCAAACTCCTCTATGAAAAGAAAGGTTAAACTCTGTGAGTGGAACGCACACATCACAAAGCACTTTCTGAGAATGATTCTGTCTGGTTGTTATACGAAGATATTTCCTTTTCTGCAATTGTCCTCAAATCGCTTGAAATCTCCACCTGAAAATGCCACAGCAAGAGTGTTTCAAATCTGCTCTCTCTAAAGCAAGGTTCAACTCTGTGAGTTGAATACACACAACACAAAAAAGTTACTGAGAACTCTTCTTAGTCTAGCATGAAAGGAAGAAACCCCGTTTGCAACGAAGGCCTCAAAGAGGTCCAAATATCCACTTGCAGACATAACAAGCAGAGTGTTTCTAAACTGCTCTAAGAAAAGAAAGGTTAAACTCTGTGAGTTGAAGGCACACATCACAAAGTAGTTTCTGAGAATGATTCTGTCTAGTTTTTATTTGAAGATATTTCCTTTTCTACTGTTGGCATCAAATCGCTTGAAATCTCCACTTGCAAACTCCACAAAAAGAGTGTTTCAAATCTGCTCTGTGTAAAGGGACGTTCCACTCTGTGAGTTGAATACACACAGCACAAAGAAGTTACTGAGAATTCTTCTGTCTAGCATGAAATGAAGAAATCCCGTTTCCAACGAAGGCCTCAATGCGGTCCATATATCCACTTTCAGACTTTACAAACAGAGTGTTTCCAAACTGCTCTATGAAAAGAAAGGTTAAACTATGTGAGTTGAACGCACACATCACAAAGAATTTTCTGAGAATGATTCTGTCTGGTTTTTATTTGAAGATATTTCCCTTTCTACTGTTGGCATCAAATGGCTAGAAATCTCCACTTGCAAATTCCGCAAAAAGAGTGTTTCAAATCTGCTCTGTCTAAAGGGACGTTCCACTCTGTGAGTTGAATGCACACAACACAAAGAATTTACTGAGAATTCTTCCGTCTAGCATTCAATGAAGAAATCCCGTTTCCAACGAAGGCCTCAAACAGGTCCATATATCCACTTGCAGAGTTTACAAACAGTGTGTTTCCAAACTCCTCTATGAAAAGAAAGGTTAAACTCTGTGAGTGGAACGCACACATCACAAAGCACTTTCTGAGAATGATTCTGTCTGGTTATTATACGAAGATATTTCCTTTTCTGCAATTGTCCTCAAAACGCTTGAAATCTCCACCTGAAAATGCCACAGCAAGAGTGTTTCAAATCTGCTCTCTCTAAAGCAAGGTTCAACTCTGTGAGTTGAATACACACAACACAAAAAAGTTACTGAGAACTCTTCTTAGTCTAGCATGAAAGGAAGAAACCCCGTTTGCAACGAAGGCCTCAAAGAGGTCCAAATATCCACTTGCAGACATCACAAGCAGAGTGTTTCTAAACTGCTCTAAGAAAAGAAAGGTTGAACTCTGTGAGTTGAAGGTACACATCACAAAGTAGTTTCTGAGAATGATTCTGTCTAGTTTTTATTTGAAGATATTTCCTTTTCTACTGTTGGCATCAAATCGCTTGAAATCTCCACTTGCAAACTCCACAAAAAGAGTGTTTCAAATCTGCTCTGTTCAAAGGGACGTTCCACTCTGTGAGTTGAATACACACAGCACAAAGAAGTTACTGAGAATTCTTCTGTCTAGCATGAAATGAAGAAATCCCGTTTCCAACGAAGGCCTCAATGCGGTCCATATATCCACTTGCAGACTTTACAAACAGAGTGTTTCCAAACTGCTCTATGAAAAGAAAGGTTAAACTATGTGAGTTGAACGCACACATCACAAAGAATTTTCTGAGAATGATTCTGTCTGGTTTTTATTTGAAGATATTTCCCTTTCTACTGTTGGCATCAAATGGCTAGAAATCTCCACTTGCAAATTCCGCAAAAAGAGTGTTTCAAATCTGCTCTGTCTAAAGGGACGTTCCACTCTGTGAGTTGAATGCACACAACACAAAGAATTTACTGAGAATTCTTCCGTCTAGCATTCAATGAAGAAATCCCGTTTCCAACGAAGGCCTCAAACAGGTCCATATATCCAATTGCAGACTTTACAAACAGTGTGTTTCCAAACTCCTCTATGAAAAGAAAGGTTAAACTCTGTGAGTTGAACGCACACATCACAAAGCACTTTCTGAGAATGATTCTGTCTGGTTATTATACGAAGATATTTCCTTTTCTGCAATTGTCCTCAAATCCCTTGAAATCTCCACCTGAAAATGCCACAGCAAGAGTGTTTCAAATCTGCTCTCTCTAAAGCAAGGTTCAACTCTGTGAGTTGAATACACACAACACAAAAAAGTTACTGAGAACTCTTCTTAGTCTAGCATAAAAGGAAGAAACACCGTTTGCAACGAAGGCCTCAAAGAGGTCCAAATATCCACTTGCAGACATAACAAGCAGAGTGTTTCTAAACTGCTCTAAGAAAAGAAAGGTTAAACTCTGAGTTGAAGGCACACATCACAAAGTAGTTTCTGAGAATGATTCTGTCTAGTTTTTATTTGAAGATATTTCCTTTTCTACTGTTGGCATCAAATCGCTTGAAATCTCCACTTGCAAACTCCACAAAAAGAGTGTTTCAAATCTGCTCTGTGTAAAGGGACGTTCCAATCTGTGAGTTGAATACACACAGCACGAAGAAGTTACTGAGAATTCTTCTGTCTAGCACGAAATGAAGAAATCCCGTTTCCAACGAAGGCCTCAATGCGGTCTATATATCCACTTGCAGACTTTACAAACAGAGTGTTTCCAAACTGCTCTATGAAAAGAAAGGTTAAACTATGTGAGTTGAACGCACACATCACAAAGAATTTTCTGAGAATGATTCTGTCTGGTTTTTATTTGAAGATATTTCCCTTTCTACTGTTGGCATCAAATGGCTAGAAATCTCCACTTGCAAATTCCGCAAAAAGAGTGTTTCAAATCTGCTCTGTCTAAATGGACGTTCCACTCTGTGAGTTGAATGCACACAACACAAAGAATTTACTGAGAATTCTTCCGTCTAGCATTCAATGAAGAAATCCCGTTTCCAACGAAGGCCTCAAACAGGTCCATATATCCAATTGCAGACTTTACAAACAGTGTGTTTCCAAACTCCTCTATGAAAAGAAAGGTTAAACTCTGTGAGTTGAACGCACACATCACAAAGCACTTTCTGAGAATGATTCTGTCTGGTTATTATACGAAGATATTTCCTTTTCTGCAATTGTCCTCAAATCGCTTGAAATCTCCACCTGAAAATGCCACAGCAAGAGTGTTTCAAATCTGCTCTCTCTAAAGCAAGGTTCAACTCTGTGAGTTGAATACACACAACACAAAAAAGTTACTGAGAACTCTTCTTAGTCTAGCATTAAAGGAAGAAACCCCTTTTGCAACGAAGGCCTCAAAGAGGTCCAAATATCCACTTGCAGACATAACAAGCAGAGTGTTTCTAAACTGCTCTAAGAAAAGAAAGGTTAAACTCTGTGAGTTGAAGGCACACATCACAAAGTAGTTTCTGAGAATGATTCTGTCTAGTTTTTATTTGAAGATATTTCATTTTCTACTGTTGGCATCAAATCGCTTGAAATCTCCACTTGCAAACTCCACAAAAAGAGTGTTTCAAATCTGCTCTGTGTAAAGGGATGTTCCACTCTGTGAGTTGAATACACACAGCACAAAGAAGTTACTGAGAATTCTTCTGTCTAGCATGAAATGAAGAAATCCCGTTTCCAACGAAGGCCTCAATGCGGTCCATAGATCCACTTGCAGACTTTACAAACAGAGTGTTTCCAAACTGCTCTATGAAAAGAAAGGTTAAACTATGTGAGTTGAACGCACACATCACAAAGAATTTTCTGAGAATGATTCTGTCTGGTTTTTATTTGAAGATATTTCCCTTTCTACTGTTGGCATCAAATGGCTAGAAATCTCCACTTGCAAATTCCGCAAAAAGAGTGTTTCAAATCTGCTCTGTCTAAAGGGACGTTCCACTCTGTGAGTTGAATGCACACAACACAAAGAATTTACTGAGAATTCTTCCGTCTAGCATTCAATGAAGAAATCCCGTTTCCAACGAAGGCCTCAAACAGGTCCATATATCCACTTGCAGACTTTACAAACAGTGTGTTTCCAAACTCCTCTATGAAAAGAAAGGTTAAACTCTGTGAGTGGAACGCACACATCACAAAGCACTTTCTGAGAATGATTCTGTCTGGTTATTATACGAAGATATTTCCTTTTCTGCAATTGTCCTCAAATCGCTTGAAATCTCCACCTGAAAATGCCACAGCAAGAGTGTTTCAAATCTGCTCTCTCTAAAGCAAGGTTCAACTCTGTGAGTTGAATACACACAGCACAAAAAAGTTACTGAGAACTCTTCTTAGTCTAGCATGAAAGGAAGAAACCCCGTTTGCAACGAAGGCCTCAAAGAGGTCCAAATATCCACTTGCAGACATAACAAGCAGAGTGTTTCTAAACTGCTCTAAGAAAAGAAAGGTTAAACTCTGTGAGTTGAAGGCACACATCACAAAGCAGTTTCTGAGAATGATTCTGTCTAGTTTTTATTTGAAGATATTTCCTTTTCTACTGTTGGCATCAAATCGCTTGAAATCTCCACTTGCAAACTCCACAAAAAGAGTGTTTCAAATCTGCTCTGTGCAAAGGGACGTTCCACTCTGTGAGTTGAATACACACAGCACAAAGAAGTTACTGAGAATTCTTCTGTCTAGCATGAAATGAAGAAATCCCGTTTCCAACGAAGGCCTCAAAGCGGTCCATATATCCACTTGCAGACATTACCAACAGAGTGTTCCCAAACTGCTCTATGAAAAGAAAGGTTAAACTATGTGAGTTGAACGCACACATCACAAAGAATTTTCTGAGAATGATTCTGTCTGGTTTTTATTTGAAGATATTTCCCTTTCTACTGTTGGCATCAAATGGCTAGAAATCTCCACTTGCAAATTCCGCAAAAAGAGTGTTTCAAATCTGCTGTGTCTAAAGGGACGTTCCACTCTGTGAGTTGAATGCACACAACACAAAGAATTTACTGAGAATTCTTCCGTCTAGCATTCAATGAAGAAATCCCGTTTCCAACGAAGGCCTCAAACAGGTCCATATATCCACTTGCAGACTTTACAAACAGTGTGTTTCCAAACTCCTCTATGAAAAGAAAGGTTAAACTCTGTGAGTGGAACGCACACATCACAAAGCACTTTCTGAGAATGATTCTGTCTGGTTATTATACGAAGATATTTCCTTTTCTGCAATTGTCCTCAAATCGCTTGAAATCTCCACCTGAAAATGCCACAGCAAGAGTGTTTCAAATCTGCTCTCTCTAAAGCAAGGTTCAACTCTGTGAGTTGAATACACACAACACAAAAAAGTTACTGAGAACTCTTCTTAGTCTAGCATGAAAGAAGAAACCCCGTTTGCAACGAAGGCCTCAAAGAGGTCCAAATATCCACTTGCAGACATAACAAGCAGAGTGTTTCTAAACTGCTCTAAGAAAAGAAAGGTTAAACTCTGTGAGTTGAAGGCACACATCACAAAGTAGTTTCTGAGAATGATTCTGTCTAGTTTTTATTTGAAGATATTTCCTTTTCTACTGTTGGCATCAAATCGCTTGAAATCTCCACTTGCAAATTCCACAAAAAGAGTGTTTCAAATCTGCTCTGTGCAAAGGGACGTTCCACTCTGTGAGTTGAATACACACAGCACAAAGAAGTTACTGAGAATTCTTCTGTCTAGCATGAAATGAAGAAATCCCGTTTCCAACGAAGGCCTCAATGCGGTCCATATATCCACTTGCAGACTTTACAAACAGAGTGTTTCCAAACTGCTCTATGAAAAGAAAGGTTAAACTATGTGAGTTGAACGCACACATCACAAAGAATTTTCTGAGAATGATTCTGTCTGGTTTTTATTTGAAGATATTTCCCTTTCTACTGTTGGCATCAAATGGCTAGAAATCTCCACTTGCAAATTCCGCAAAAAGAGTGTTTCAAATCTGCTCTGTCTTAAGGGACGTTCCACTCTGTCAGTTGAATGCCCACAACACAAAGAATTTACTGAGAATTCTTCCGTCTAGCATTCAATGAAGAAATCCCGTTTCCAACGAAGGCCTCAAACAGGTCCATATATCCAATTGCAGACTTTACAAACAGTGTGTTTCCAAACTCCTCAATGAAAAGAAAGGTTAAACTCTGTGAGTTGAACGCACACATCACAAAGCACTTTCTGAGAATGATTCTGTCTGGTTGTTATACGAAGATATTTCCTTTTCTGCAATTGTCCTCAAATCGCTTGAAATCTCCACCTGAAAATGCCACAGCAAGAGTGTTTCAAATCTGCTCTCTCTAAAGCAAGGTTCAACTCTGTGAGTTGAATACACACAACACAAAAAAGTTACTGAGAACTCTTCTTAGTCTAGCATTAAAGGAAGAAACCCCGTTTGCAACGAAGGCCTCAAAGAGGTCCAAATATCCACTTGCAGACATAACAAGCAGAGTGTTTCTAAACTGCTCTAAGAAAAGAAAGGTTAAACTCTGTGAGTTGAAGGCACACATCACAAAGTAGTTTCTGAGAATGATTCTGTCTAGTTTTTATTTGCAGATATTTCCTTTTCTACTGTTGGCATCAAATCGCTTGAAATCTCCACTTGCAAATTCCACAAAAAGAGTGTTTCAAATCTGCTCTGTGCAAAGGGACGTTCCACTCTGTGAGTTGAATACACACAGCACAAAGAAGTTACTGAGAATTCTTCTGTCTAGCATGAAATGAAGAAATCCCGTTTCCAACGAAGGCCTCAATGCGGTCCATATATCCACTTGCAGACTTTACAAACAGAGTGTTTCCAAACTGCTCTATGAAAAGAAAGGTTAAACTATGTGAGTTGAACGCACACATCACAAAGAATTTTCTGAGAATGATTCTGTCTGGTTTTTATTTGAAGATATTTCCCTTTCTACTGTTGGCATCAAATGGCTAGAAATCTCCACTTGCAAATTCCGCAAAAAGAGTGTTTCAAATCTGCTCTGTCTAAAGAGACGTTCCACTCTGTCAGTTGAATGCACACAACACAAAGAATTTACTGAGAATTCTTCCGTCTAGCATGCAATGAAGAAATCCCGTTTCCAACGAAGGCCTCAAACAGGTCCATATATCCAATTGCAGACTTTACAAACAGTGTGTTTCCAAACTCCTCTATGAAAAGAAAGGTTAAACTCTGTGAGTTGAACGCACACATCACAAAGCACTTTCTGAGAATGATTCTGTCTGGTTATTATACGAAGATATTTCCTTTTCTGCAATTGTCCTCAAATCGCTTGAAATCTCCACCTGAAAATGCCACAGCAAGAGTGTTTCAAATCTGCTCTCTCTAAAGCAAGGTTCAACTCTGTGAGTTGAATACACACAACACAAAAAAGTTACTGAGAACTCTTCTTAGTCTAGCATTAAAGGAAAAAACCCCGTTTGCAACGAAGGCCTCAAAGAGGTCCAAATATCCACTTGCAGACATAACAAGCAGAGTGTTTCTAAACTGCTCTAAGAAAAGAAAGGTTAAACTCTGTGAGTTGAAGGCACACATCACAAAGAATTTTCTGAGAATGATTCTGTCTGGTTTTTATTTGAAGATATTTCCCTTTCTACTGTTGGCATCAAATGGCTAGAAATCTCCACTTGCAAATTCCGCAAAAAGAGTGTTTCAAATCTGCTCTGTCTAAAGGGACGTTCCACTCTGTGAGTTGAATGCACACAACACAAAGAATTTACTGAGAATTCTTCCGTCTAGCATTCAATGAAGAAATCCCGTTTCCAACGAAGGCCTCAAACAGGTCCATATATCCAATTGCAGACTTTACAAACAGTGTGTTTCCAAACTCCTCTATGAAAAGAAAGGTTAAACTCTGTGAGTTGAACGCACACATCACAAAGCACTTTCTGAGAATGATTCTGTCTGGTTGTTATACGAAGATATTTCCTTTTCTGCAATTGTCCTCAAATCGCTTGAAATCTCCACCTGAAAATGCCACAGCAAGAGTGTTTCAAATCTGCTCTCTCTAAAGCAAGGTTCAACTCTGTGAGTTGAATACACACAACACAAAAAAGTTACTGAGAACTCTTCTTAGTCTAGCATGAAAGGAAGAAACCCCGTTTGCAACGAAGGCCTCAAAGAGGTCCAAATATCCACTTGCAGACATAACAAGCAGAGTGTTTCTAAACTGCTCTAAGAAAAGAAAGGTTAAACTCTGTGAGTTGAAGGCACACATCACAAAGTAGTTTCTGAGAATGATTCTGTCTAGTTTTTATTTGAAGATATTTCCTTTTCTACTGTTGGCATCAAATCGCTTGAAATCTCCACTTGCAAACTCCACAAAAAGAGTGTTTCAAATCTGCTCTGTGTAAAGGGACGTTCCACTCTATGAGTTGAATACACACAGCACAAAGAAGTTACTGAGAATTCTTCTGTCTAGCATGAAATGAAGAAATCCCGTTTCCAACGAAGGCCTCAATGCGGTCCATATATCCACTTGCAGACTTTACAAACAGAGTGTTTCCAAACTGCTCTATGAAAAGAAAGGTTAAACTATGTGAGTTGAACGCACACATCACAAAGAATTTTCTGAGAATGATTCTGTCTGGTTTTTATTTGAAGATATTTCCCTTTCTACTGTTGGCATCAAATGGCTAGAAATCTCCACTTGCAAATTCCGCAAAAAGAGTGTTTCAAATCTGCTCTGTCTAAAGGGACGTTCCACTCTGTGAGTTGAATGCACACAACACGAAGAATTTACTGAGAATTCTTCCGTCTAGCATTCAATGAAGAAATCCCGTTTCCAACGAAGGCCTCAAACAGGTCCATATATCCAATTGCAGACTTTACAAACAGTGTGTTTCCAAACTCCTCTATGAAAAGAAAGATTAAACTCTGTGAGTTGAACGCACACATCACAAAGCACTTTCTGAGAATGATTCTGTCTGGTTGTTATACGAAGATATTTCCTTTTCTGCAATTGTCCTCAAATCGCTTGAAATCTCCACCTGAAAATGCCACAGCAAGAGTGTTTCAAATCTGCTCTCTCTAAAGCAAGGTTCAACTCTGTGAGTTGAATACACACAACACAAAAAAGTTACTGAGAACTCTTCTTAGTCTAGCATTAAAGGAAGAAACCCCGTTTGCAACGAAGGCCTCAAAGAGGTCCAAATATCCACTTGCAGACATAACAAGCAGAGTGTTTCTAAACTGCTCTAAGAAAAGAAAGGTTAAACTCTGTGAGTTGAAGGCACACATCACAAAGTAGTTTCTGAGAATGATTCTGTCTAGTTTTTATTTGAAGATATTTCCCTTTCTACTGTTGGCATCAAATGGCTAGAAATCTCCACTTGCAAATTCCGCAAAAAGAGTGTTTCAAATCTGCTCTGTCTAAAGGGACGTTCCACTCTGTGAGTTGAATGCACACAACACAAAGAATTTACTGAGAATTCTTCCGTCTAGCATTCAATGAAGAAATCCCGTTTCCAACGAAGGCCTCAAACAGGTCCATATATCCAATTGAAGACTTTACAAACAGTGTGTTTCCAAACTCCTCTATGAAAAGAAAGGTAAAACTCTGTGAGTTGAACGCACACATCACAAAGCACTTTCTGAGAATGATTCTGTCTAGTTTTTATTTGCAGATATTTCCTTTTCTACTGTTGGCATCAAATCGCTTGAAATCTCCACTTGCAGATTCCACAAAAAGAGTGTTTCAAATCTGCTCTGTGTAAAGGGACGTTCCAATCTGTGTGTTGAATACACACAACACAAAGAAGTTACTGAGAATTCTTCTGTCTAGCATGAAATGAAGAAATCCCGTTTCCAAAGAAGGCCTCAATGCGGTCCATATATCCACTTGCAGACATTACAAACAGAGTGTTTCCAAACTGCTCTATGAAAAGAAAGGTTAAACTATGTGAGTTGAACGCACACATCACAAAGAATTTTCTGAGGATGATTCTGTCTAGTTTTTATTTGAAGATATTTCCTTTTCTACTGTTGGCATCAAATCGCTTGAAATCTCCACTTGCAAACTCCACAAAAAGAGTGTTTCAAATCTGCTCTGTGCAAAGGGACGTTCCACTCTGTGAGTTGAATACACACAGCACAAAGAAGTTACTGAGAATTCTTCTGTCTAGCATGAAATGAAGAAATCCCGTTTCCAACGAAGGCCTCAATGCGGTCCATAGATCCACTTGCAGACTTTACAAACAGAGTGTTTCCAAACTGCTCTATGAAAAGAAAGGTTAAACTATGTGAGTTGAACGCACACATCACAAAGAATTTTCTGAGAATGATTCTGTCTGGTTTTTATTTGAAGATATTTCCCTTTCTACTGTTGGCATCAAATGGCTAGAAATCTCCACTTGCAAATTCCGCAAAAAGAGTGTTTCAAATCTGCTCTGTCTAAAGGGACGTTCCACTCTGTGAGTTGAATGCACACAACACAAAGAATTTACTGAGAATTCTTCCGTCTAGCATTCAATGAAGAAATCCCGTTTCCAACGAAGGCCTCAAACAGGTCCATATATCCACTTGCAGAGTTTACACACAGTGTGTTTCCAAACTCCTCTATGAAAAGAAAGGTTAAACTCTGTGAGTGGAACGCACACATCACAAAGCACTTTCTGAGAATGATTCTGTCTGGTTATTATACGAAGATATTTCCTTTTCTGCAATTGTCCTCAAATCGCTTGAAATCTCCACCTGAAAATGCCACAGCAAGAGGGTTTCAAATCTGCTCTCTCTAAAGCAAGGTTCAACTCTGTGAGTTGAATACACACAACACAAAAAAGTTACTGAGAACTCTTCTTAGTCTAGCATTAAAAGAAGAAACCCCGTTTGCAACGAAGGCCTCAAAGAGGTCCAAATATCCACTTGCAGACATAACAAGCAGAGTGTTTCTAAACTGCTCTAAGAAAAGAAAGGTTAAACTCTGTGAGTTGAAGGCACACATCACAAAGTAGTTTCTGAGAATGATTCTGTCTAGTTTTTATTTGAAGATATTTCCTTTTCTACTGTTGGCATCAAATCGCTTGAAATCTCCACTTGCAAACTCCACAAAAAGAGTGTTTCAAATCTGCTCTGTGCAAAGGGACGTTCCACTCTGTGAGTTGAATACACACAGCACAAAGAAGTTACTGAGAATTCTTCTGTCTAGCATGAAATGAAGAAATCCCGTTTCCAACGAAGGCCTCAATGCGGTCCATATATCCACTTGCAGACTTTACAAACAGAGTGTTTCCAAACTGCTCTATGAAAAGAAAGGTTAAACTATGTGAGTTGAACGCACACATCACAAAGAATTTTCTGAGAATGATTCTGTCTGGTTTTTATTTGAAGATATTTCCCTTTCTACTGTTGGCATCAAATGGCTAGAAATCTCCACTTGCAAATTCCGCAAAAAGAGTGTTTCAAATCTGCTCTGTCTAAAGGGACGTTCCACTCTGTGAGTTGAATGCACACAACACAAAGAATTTACTGAGAATTCTTCCGTCTAGCATTCAATGAAGAAATCCCGTTTCCAATGAAGGCCTCAAACAGGTCCATATATCCACTTGCAGAGTTTACAAACAGTGTGTTTCCAAACTCCTCTATGAAAAGAAAGGTTAAACTCTGTGAGTGGAACGCACACATCACAAAGCACTTTCTGAGAATGATTCTGTCTGGTTATTATACGAAGATATTTCCTTTTCTGCAATTGTCCTCAAAACGCTTGAAATCTCCACCTGAAAATGCCACAGCAAGAGTGTTTCAAATCTGCTCTCTCTAAAGCAAGGTTCAACTCTGTGAGTTGAATACACACAACACAAAAAAGTTACTGAGAACTCTTCTTAGTCTAGCATTAAATGAAGAAACCCCGTTTGCAACGAAGGCCTCAAAGAGGTCCAAATATCAACTTGCAGACATAACAAGCAGAGTGTTTCTAAGCTGCTCTCAGAAAAGAAAGGTTAAACTCGGTGAGTTGAAGGCACACATCACAAAGTAGTTTCTGAGAATGATTCTGTCTAGTTTTTATTTGAAGATACTTCCTTTTCTACTGTTGGCATCAAATCGCTTGAAATCTCCACTTGCAAACTCCACAAAAAGAGTGTTTCAAATCTGCTCTGTGCAAAGGGACGTTCCACTCTGTGAGTTGAATACACACAGCACAAAGAAGTTACTGAGAATTCTTCTGTCTAGCATGAAATGAAGAAATCCCGTTTCCAACGAAGGCCTCAATGCGGTCCATATATCCACTTGCAGACTTTACAAACAGAGTGTTTCCAAACTGCTCTATGAAAAGAAAGGTTAAACTCTGTGAGTTGAACGCACACATCACAAAGCACTTTCTGAGAATGATTCTGTCTAGTTTTTATTTGCAGATATTTCCTTTTCTACTGTTGGCATCAAATCGCTTGAAATCTCCACTTGCAAATTCCACAAACAGAGTGTTTCAAATCTGCTCTGTGTAAAGGGACGTTCCAATCTGTGAGTAGAATACACACAATACAAAGAAGTTACTGAGAATTCTTCTGTCTAGCATGAAATGAAGAAATCCCGTTTCCAACGAAGGCCTCAAACAGGTCCATATATCCACTAGCAGACTTTACAAACAGTGTGTTTCCAAACTCTTCTATGAAAAGAAAGGTTAAACTCTGTGAGTTGAACGCACACATCACAAAGCACTTTCTGAGAATGATTCTGTCTGGTTGTTATACGAAGATATTTCCTTTTCTGCAATTGTCCTCAAATCGCTTGAAATCTCCACCTGAAAATGTCACAGCAAGAGTGTTTCAAATCTGCTCTCTCTAAAGCAAGGTTCAACTCTGTGAGTTGAATACACACAACACAGAAAAGGTTACTGAGAACTCTTCTTAGTCTAGCATGAAAGGAAGAAACCCCGTTTGCAACGAAGGCCTCAAAGAGGTCCAAATATCCACTTGCAGACATAACAAGCAGAGTGTTTCTAAACTGCTCTAAGAAAAGAAAGGTTAAACTCTGTGAGTTGAAGGCACACATCACAAAGTAGTTTCTGAGAATGATTCTGTCCAGTTTTTATTTGAAGATATTTCCTTTTCTACTGTTGGCATCAAATCGCTTGAAATCTCCACTTGCAAACTCCACAAAAAGAGTGTTTCAAATCTGCTCTGTGTAAAGGGACGTTCCACTCTGTGAGTTGAATACACACAGCACAAAGAAGTTACTGAGAATTCTTCTGTCTAGCATGAAATGAAGAAATCCCGTTTCCAACGAAAGCCTCAATGCGGTCCATATATCCACTTGCAGACTTTACAAACAGAGTGTTTCCAAACTGCTCTATGAAAAGAAAGGTTAAACTATGTGAGTTGAACGCACACATCACAAAGAATTTTCTGAGAATGATTCTGTCTGGTTTTTATTTGAAGATATTTCCCTTTCTACTGTTGGCATCAAATGGCTAGAAATCTCCACTTGCAAATTCCGCAAAAAGAGTGTTTCAAATCTGCTCTGTCTAAAGGGACGTTCCACTCTGTCAGTTGAATGCACACAACACAAAGTATTTACTGAGAATTCTTCCGTCTAGCATTCAATGAAGAAATCCCGTTTCCAACGAAGGCCTCAAACAGGTCCATATATCCAATTGCAGACTTTACAAACAGTGTGTTTCCAAACTCCTCTATGAAAAGAAAGGTTAAACTCTGTGAGTTGAACGCACACATCACAAAGCACTTTCTGAGAATGATTCTGTCTGGTTATTATACGAAGATATTTCCTTTTCTGCAATTGTCCTCAAATCGCTTGAAATCTCCACCTGAAAATGCCACAGCAAGAGTGTTTCAAATCTGCTCTCTCTAAAGCAAGGTTCAACTCTGTGAGTTGAATACACACAACACAAAAAAGTTGCTGAGAACTCTTCTTAGTCTAGCATGAAAGGAAGAAACCCCGTTTGCAACGAAGGCCTCAAAGAGGTCCAAATATCCACTTGCAGACATAACAAGCAGAGTGTTTCTAAACTGCTCTAAGAAAAGAAAGGTTAAACTCTGTGAGTTGAAGGCACACATCACAAAGTAGTTTCTGAGAATGATTCTGTCTAGTTTTTATTTGAAGATATTTCCTTTTCTACTGTTGGCATCAAATCGCTTGAAATCTCCACTTGCAAATTCCACAAAAAGAGTGTTTCAAATCTGCTCTGTGCAAAGGGACGTTCCACTCTGTGAGTTGAATACACACAGCACAAAGAAGTTACTGAGAATTCTTCTGTCTAGCATGAAATGAAGAAATCCCGTTTCCAACGAAGGCCTCAATGCGGTCCATATATCCACTTGCAGACTTTACAAACAGAGTGTTTCCAAACTGCTCTATGAAAAGAAAGGTTAAACTATGTGAGTTGAACGCACACATCACAAAGAATTTTCTGAGAATGATTCTGTCTGGTTTTTATTTGAAGATATTTCCCTTTCTACTGTTGGCATCAAATGGCTAGAAATCTCCACTTGCAAATTCCGCAAAAATAGTGTTTCAAATCTGCTCTGTCTAAAGGGACGTTCCACTCTGTGAGTTGAATGCACACCACACAAAGAATTTACTGAGAATTCTTCCGTCTAGCATTCAATGAAGAAATCCCGTTTCAAACGAAGGCCTCAAACAGGTCCATATATCCAATTGCAGACTTTACAAACAGTGTGTTTCCAAACTCCTCTATGAAAAGAAAGGTTAAACTCTGTGAGTTGAACGCACACATCAAAAAGCACTTTCTGAGAATGATTCTGTCTGGTTGTTATACGAAGATATTTCCTTTTCTGCAATTGTCCTCAAATCGCTTGAAATCTCCACCTGAAAATGCCACAGCAAGAGTGTTTCAAATCTGCTCTCTCTAAAGCAAGGTTCAGCTCTGTGAGTTGAATACACACAACACAAAAAAGTTACTGAGAACTCTTCTTAGTCTAGCATGAAAGGAAGAAACCCCGTTTGCAACGAAGGCCTCAAAGAGGTCCAAATATCCACTTGCAGACATAACAAGCAGAGTGTTTCTAAACTGCTCTAAGAAAAGAAAGGTTAAACTCTGTGAGTTGAAGGCACACATCACAAAGTAGTTTCTGAGAATGATTCTGTCTAGTTTTTATTTGAAGATATTTCCTTTTCTACTGTTGGCATCAAATCGCTTGAAATCTCCACTTGCAAATTCCACAAAAAGAGTGTTTCAAATCTGCTCTGTGCAAAGGGACGTTCCACTCTGTGAGTTGAATACACACAGCACAAAGAAGTTACTGAGAATTCTTCTGTCTAGCATGAAATGAAGAAATCCCGTTTCCAACGAAGGCCTCAATGCGGTCCATATATCCACTTGCAGACTTTACAAACAGAGTGTTTCCAAACTGCTCTATGAAAAGAAAGGTTAAACTATGTGAGTTGAACGCACACATCACAAAGAATTTTCTGAGAATGATTCTGTCTGGTTTTTATTTGAAGATATTTCCCTTTCTACTCTTGGCATCAAATGGCTAGAAATCTCCACTTGCAAATTCCGCAAAAAGAGTGTTTCAAATCTGCTCTGTCTAAAGGGACGTTCCACTCTGTGAGTTGAATGCACACAACACAAAGAATTTACTGAGAATTCTTCCGTCTAGCATTCAATGAAGAAATCCCGTTTCCAACGAAGGTCTCAAACAGGTCCATATATCCACTTGCAGACTTTACAAACAGTGTGTTTCCAAACTCCTCTATGAAAAGAAAGGTTAAACTCTGTGAGATGAACGCACACATCACAAAGCACTTCCTGAGAATGATTCTGTCTGGTTATTATACGAAGATATTTCCTTTTCTGCTATTGTCCTCAAATCGCTTGAAATCTCCACCTGAAAATGCCACAGCAAGAGTGTTTCAAATCTGCTCTCTCTAAAGCAAGGTTCAACTCTGTGAGTTGAATACACACAACACAAAAAAGTTACTGAGAACTCTTCTTAGTCTAGCATGAAAGGAAGAAACCCCGTTTGCAACGAAGGCCTCAAAGAGGTCCAAATATCCACTTGCAGACATAACAAGCAGAGTGTTTCTAAACTGCTCTAAGAAAAGAAAGGTTAAACTCTGTGAGTTGAAGGCACACATCACAAAGTAGTTTCTTAGAATGATTCTGTCTAGTTTTTATTTGAAGATATTTCCTTTTCTACTGTTGGCATCAAATCGCTTGAAATCTCCACTTGCAAACTCCACAAAAAGAGTGTTTCAAATCTGCTCTGTGTAAAGGGACGTTCCACTCTGTGAGTTGAATACACACAGCACAAAGAAGTTACTGAGAATTCTTCTGTCTAGCATGAAATGAAGAAATCCCGTTTCCAACGAAGGCCTCAATGCGGTCCATATATCCACTTGCAGACTTTACAAACAGAGTGTTTCCAAACTGCTCTATGAAAAGAAAGGTTAAACTATGTGAGTTGAACGCACACATCACGAAGAATTTTCTGAGAATGATTCTGTCTGGTTTTTATTTGAAGATATTTCCCTTTCTACTGTTGGCATCAAATGGCTAGAAATCTCCACTTGCAAATTCCGCAAAAAGAGTGTTTCAAATCTGCTCTGTCTAAAGGGACGTTCCACTCTGTGAGTTGAATGCACACAACACAAAGAATTTACTGAGAATTCTTCCGTCTAGCATTCAATGAAGAAATCCCGTTTCCAACGAAGGCCTCAAACAGGTCCATATATCCAATTGCAGACTTTACAAACAGTGTGTTTCCAAACTCCTCAATGAAAAGAAAGGTTAAACTCTGTGAGTTGAATGCACACATCACAAAGCACTTTCTGAGAATGATTTCTGTCTGGTTATTATACGAAGATATTTCCTTTTCTGCAATTGTCCTCAAATCGTTTGAAATCTCCACCTGAAAATTCCACAGCGAGAGTGTTTCAAATCTGCTCTCTCTAAAGCAAGGTTCAACTCTGTGAGTTGAATACACACAACACAAAAAAGTTACTGAGAACTCTTCTTAGTCTAGCATTAAAGGAAGAAACCCCGTTTGCAACGAAGGCCTCAAAGAGGTCCAAATATCCACTTGCAGACATAACAAGCAGAGTGTTTCTAAACTGCTCTAAGAAAAGAAAGGTTAAACTCTGTGAGTTGAAGGCACACATCACAAAGTAGTTTCTGAGAATGATTCTGTCTAGTTTTTATTTGCAGATATTTCCTTTTCTACTGTTGGCATCAAATCGCTTGAAATCTCCACTTGCAAGTTCCACAAAAAGAGTGTTTCAAATCTGCTCTGTGTAAAGGGACGTTCCAATCTGTGAGTTGAATACACACAACACAAAGAAGTTACTGAGAATTCTTCTGTCTAGCATGAAATGAAGAAATCCCGTTTCCAACGAAGGCCTCAAATCCGTCCATACATCCACTTGCAGACATTACCAACAGAGTGATTCGAAACTGCTCTATGAAAAGAAAGGTTAAACTATGTGAGTTGAACGCACACATCACAAAGAATTTTCTAAGGATGATTCTGTCTGGTTTTTATTTGAAGATATTTCCCTTTCTACTGTTGGCATCAAATGGCTAGAAATCTCCACTTGCAAATTCCGCAAAAAGAGTGTTTCAAATCTGCTCTGTCTAAAGGGACGTTCCACTCTGTGAGTTGAATGCACACCACACAAAGAATTTACTGAGAATTCTTCCGTCTAGCATTCAATGAAGAAATCCCGTTTCCAACGAAGGCCTCAAACAGGTCCATATATCCAATTGCAGACTTTACAAACAGTGTGTTTCCAAACTCCTCTATGAAAAGAAAGGTTAAACTCTGTGAGTTGAACGCACACATCACAAAGCACTTTCTGAGAATGATTCTGTCTGGTTGTTATACGAAGATATTTCCTTTTCTGCAATTGTCCTCAAATCGCTTGAAATCTCCACCTGAAAATGCCACAGCAAGAGTGTTTCAAATCTGCTCTCTCTAAAGCAAGGTTCAACTCTGTGAGTTGAATACACACAACACAAAAAAGTTACTGAGAACTCTTCTTAGTCTAGCATGAAAGGAAGAAACCCCGTTTGCAACGAAGGCCTCAAAGAGGTCCAAATATCCACTTGCAGACATAACAAGCAGAGTGTTTCTAAACTGCTCTAAGAAAAGAAAGGTTAAACTCTGTGAGTTGAAGGCACACATCACAAAGTAGTTTCTGAGAATGATTCTGTCTAGTTTTTATTTGAAGATATTTCCTTTTCTACTGTTGGCATCAAATCGCTTGAAATCTCCACTTGCAAATTCCACAAAAAGAGTGTTTCAAATCTGCTCTGTGCAAAGGGACGTTCCACTCTGTGAGTTGAATACACACAGCACAAAGAAGTTACTGAGAATTCTTCTGTCTAGCATGAAATGAAGAAATCCCGTTTCCAACGAAGGCCTCAATGCGGTCCATATATCCACTTGCAGACTTTACAAACAGAGTGTTTCCAAACTGCTCTATGAAAAGAAAGGTTAAACTATGTGAGTTGAACGCACACATCACAAAGAATTTTCTGAGAATGATTCTGTCTGGTTTTTATTTGAAGATATTTCCCTTTCTACTGTTGGCATCAAATGGCTAGAAATCTCCACTTGCAAATTCCGCAAAAAGAGTGTTTCAAATCTGCTCTGTCTAAAGGGACGTTCCACTCTGTGAGTTGAATGCACACAACACAAATAATTTACTGAGAATTCTTCCGTCTAGCATTCAATGAAGAAATCCCGTTTCCAACGAAGGCCTCAAACAGGTCCATATATCCACTTGCAGACTTTACAAACAGTGTGTTTCCAAACTCCTCTATGAAAAGAAAGGTTAAACTCTGTGAGTGGAACGCACACATCACAAAGCACTTTCTGAGAATGATTCTGTCTGGTTATTATACGAAGATATTTCCTTTTCTGCAATTGTCCTCAAATCGCTTGAAATCTCCACCTGAAAATGCCACAGCAAGAGTGTTTCAAATCTGCTCTCTCTAAAGCAAGGTTCAACTCTGTGAGTTGAATACACACAACACAAAAAAGTTACTGAGAACTCTTCTTAGTCTAGCATGAAAGGAAGAAACCCCGTTTGCAACGAAGGCCTCAAAGAGGTCCAAATATCCACTTGCAGACATAACAAGCAGAGTGTTTCTAAAGTGTTCTAAGAAAAGAAAGGTTAAACTCTGTGAGTTGAAGGCACACATCACAAAGTAGTTTCTGAGAATGATTCTGTCTAGTTTTTATTTGAAGATATTTCCTTTTCTACTGTTGGCATCAAATCGCTTGAAATCTCCACTTGCAAACTCCACAAAAAGAGTGTTTCAAATCTGCTCTGTGTAAAGGGACGTTCCACTCTGTGAGTTGAAAACACACAGCACAAAGAAGTTACTGAGAATTCTTCTGTCTAGCATGAAATGAAGAAATCCCGTTTCCAACGAAAGCCTCAATGCGGTCCATATATCCACTTGCAGACTTTACAAACAGAGTGTTTCCAAACTGCTCTATGAAAAGAAAGGTTAAACTATGTGAGTTGAACGCACACATCACAAAGAATTTTCTGAGAATGATTCTGTCTGGTTTTTATTTGAAGATATTTCCCTTTCTACTGTTGGCATCAAATGGCTAGAAATCTCCACTTGCAAATTCCGCAAAAAGAGTGTTTCAAATCTGCTCTGTCTAAAGGGACGTTCCACTCTGTGAGTTGAATGCACACAACACAAAGAATTTACTGAGAATTCTTCCGTCTAGCATTCAATGAAGAAATCCCGTTTCCAACGAAGGCCTCAAACAGGTCCATATATCCACTTGCAGACTTTACAAACAGTGTGTTTCCAAACTCCTCTATGAAAAGAAAGGTTAAACTCTGTGAGTGGAACGCACACATCACAAAGCACTTTCTGAGAATGATTCTGTCTGGTTATTATACGAAGATATTTCCTTTTCTGCAATTGTCCTCAAATCGCTTGAAATCTCCACCTGAAAATGCCACAGCAAGAGTGTTTCAAATCTGCTCTCTCTAAAGCAAGGTTCAACTCTGTGAGTTGAATACACACAACACAAAAAAGTTACTGAGAACTCTCTTCTTAGTCTAGACCTGAGGTCAGGAGTTCAAGACCAGCCTGGCCAATATGGTGAAACCCTGTCTCTACTGAAAATACAAAAATTAGCTGGGCATGGTGGTGGGCACCTGTAATCCCAATTACTCAGGAGGCTGAGGCAGAAGAATTGCTTGAACCCGGAGGCAG